>NC_000001.11:45008380-45311410 GCF_000001405.40 Homo sapiens
CCCCAACATAAAGGGACAGGAAAAGGCAGGACCTGGGGGCTTCTCTGACCCTTGAACAGCTTATACTATGAGACCTTGGGAACCTCCTCCATGCAGACACACAAGGCTCAATGTTGGGGGAAGGGAAGGGCCCATAGGTCCAGGACCACAGCCACCTCTGCAGGAGGACAGCTCTGCGGTACAGTACTTCAGGGTCGGTGCCTTCTAGGCGTGGATATCGCACCAGACTAGTTGGCTGGAACAGGTCTGCATTCAACCCTAGTTCCCGCTGTCTAGATGACTTGATCTTGACCCCTCGGAGACGAACATCAATCCCATCATCTGGGGGAAGGGGTCAGAGTAAGGTCATTTACAGCACCTGCTGCCTCCTTGGCCCTCAGACCTGGGACCGGCTCCTTGAACGCTCAGCCTTGTGTCACCGTTAGCCCCTAGAAACTCGGGACCTTCGGGATCACCTTCTATCACCTGATTCTGATTGATCTATTCCTGCTGATTCCTCTGTCTTCCACTAGAATGCTGGGATGCCTGAGGGTCCCAACTCAGTTCCTCTTCCAGGTGAGCCCAACCACCTGTATGGCTTTAAGGCAGGCCTATACCTGGCATGTCCCAGCTGGCTCAGGCCCCAAAGCTCCAAATCCTGGAGTTAGTTCAGCATCGCCTTCACCCCAACTCCAAGCCCATCCTCTTCTCTCCACACACACTCTCTGTTTGCCCCCATCTCCACGCCGGGCTCTCTTTCCCTCCTTATAGCCTTAAACCTCACCTCGGCACTCCACGATGCGGATCTCGATGATCGGGAGGTGGACGGTCATGTCCTCCAGGACACAGACATCCCCGATGAGGGTCCTGAGGAGATGAGTGTGAAGCACTTCAGATACCTCCTGCCTCAGGCCTTCAGAGACTGCTGGAGTCTCACTCAAACTTAGGCTTTCAAGCTGGGCTAGGCTTGGAACATGCCCTACTTCCCTCCCCAGGCCAGCGTGCTCACTCGTCAATGCTCACGTCACTCAGCTTCTTCAGGTTGTCCCCTTCACCCCCATAGACCACCACCCGCTTTGGCATAAAGTTGTCATCTGTGGTATCCACTGTGAGTAGCAGCTTCCTGAAGGGTCAGAGTGTGAATATGAGTCTTTGTGAACCCACAGGGACATAGCCCACCCACCCTGTCCTGCCCAGAGCCTACTTACTTGACAATGGTGCCCTTCTTCATAGTAAGCCGTACCCAGTGTTGGCACTGGGACCCATCGCTCTCCCAGTAGGTATCGGCATTGCTGTCTGTCAGGCAGGACACGTTGAACTCCTCCTGGGGAGGGGCAGAGACGTGAAGTCAGCAGTTACCCTCCCTCCCTGCACTGGGCTTGTGCTCTGGGCCAGGAGCACCAGAGAGAAAGCATAGTGAAGTTGGGCTAACAGGCAACTGGTATGGGATAGGGGGCCGCTGGGTATGTAAGGGGTCCTATAGACGTCCAAGATGGGGAGCTGAACTGAGTGTGGCCTGTGGGGACCCTGTTTTAGTCCTGGCCTGCAGGTGGGGGTTCTTTCTGGATCTAGCCTTGAGGGGTGTGACTATATCTTGCCTGGGGTGGGAGGAGCCCCAGCACCCACCGTGTAGGAGGAAACGTCTATGCTCTCCACATACTGCTTCACGCTACCCAGGTTCTCATCCTCCTTGCCCAGGTGGTCATACAAGAAGTGGATCAGGTCCTCGTCGCACTCGTAGGTCCATGTCGGGGGTACATAGCTAAGCAACCCCAAGCCCCTAATTAGACTGGGCCCAGACGCAGAGCTCCTTCCTCCCCACCCCATTCCAGCTCACTCACAGTAGCCTTTGTACAGCTTCTGCGTATGCCTCTGCCGGCTGAGGTCTCGATCCCAGGCGATGTGAGTATGTCAGGTCCACCACCTGTTCCCACCTGTGGGCACAGAGTAGGGAGTGGGATGGGGAGACATCAGCGGTCAGCAAGACACTACCTCCATGCCGTGTAGCCTTCTTCAGGGCTCTATCTCCCAGTCTCCCTCCGAGCCCCCTTCACGTCCCGCCCCTTTCTGCTCTTAACCCTGCCTCCGCTCCAGTATCCCACCCACCCCAGGCTGTGGCTGAAGTGTTCCCAAGCCCTCCTGGCCCGGCCTTCTGACAGCCAGCCCCGCTCCTTCAAGTGCAGTACCTGAGCACCGGCCGATAATCCACGCCAAAGAGCTGCTGCTGCCGCTGGAGGTGGTTGGGAGTGTCGATGGGTACCAGGCGGGCTCCGCCCTCCGCCGGGCGGCACACCAGCAGCCAGCCTTCCTGCAGCCCGCAGTCGCCCAGGTGCTCTGCCAGCTGCTCCTGCCGGGACGCGTAGGATGGGGACAGCCGTCAGGGAACTGCCCAGCCGCCTGTCGTGCCCAGCCCAGGGCAAAGGGCGCCGAACGCAATGCCAACTCAATACAGGGGAGAAAAGGCAAACAGCCAGAGGTTTCTCTGGCCCCAGGGGTCTTTTACCGGGTCCTGGGCAGGGAAGAGCGCACCTTTGTCAGCTTCACCCAGAGCCCGTGGCCATTGCACAGCTCCTCGCCCGTGGTGCGCACGCAGGCGCCGCGCCGGAGCTCAATGCTGTCGCGGGCGGCGCGGAGGGGCCCGGAGCCGGTACCGGGGGCTGGGCCTGCGGCGCCCACACGCAGCCCCAGGCCCTCTGCCTCCCACACCGGCAGAAGCACGCGCGACGGTCCCGCTGGGTCCTTGTAAAGCTTGTAGAGCACCTCTCGCGGCACGAAAGCCAGCGCTGCTGGCAGCGGCCGCCCGGCGCGGAGGCTCCGCGCTGCCTCTGCCAAGAAGCGCACGCGGCCCAGCAGCTGCCGGGGGGACTCCAGCACCGCGCCCGGGCCAGGACCCGCCATGGCGAAGTGGCGGAGGTGAGCACCTAGAGGCGACCCTGCCCGGGGAACAGCTGGCGCGACCGCGGACAGAGCTTCCCACCACGCCCTTCCCCGCCTTTGGCCAGCCTTTGCCGTATGTTCTGGACTAAGCGCACCCCAGCTCTCACTGTATTGGACTGTGTACTCCCACACTCAACCATATTACTTATCTCTGTGCCACCCTAACCCAGCCGACCAAACCCAAGATTGGTGATTGCTACCTGATCAATCTCCCTCTCTCCATTTCCTTGTGACTACCATTTTATCTCTACTGCTACTACCCTCATTCAAGTCACCATTCTAGCTAGCCTGGGTCATTGCCAACAGTCATTTTTCTGGTTCTTCGGCCTGCTGTTTTTCCTCCCACTCCCAGCGAATCTGCTGGACTCCCTATCCTATGGGTGGTGTGATTAAAGTGTTTGAGACAATGGCCCCTTCCCCTGCCACTGACAGGAGTCTTGAGTCATTAGGGTTGATTCTGTTTGTCACTCCTAATCCCAAGGACACTGGAGATCATTATTCATTTTAATGTGATTGCTGATTTCTGTTTCCCCAGTCTTGTAGCTCCTTAAAGGCTGGGGCTGTCTTGAGCAGAGCTAACCTCTGCACCTACTATAGGTCCAGGCTATAGTATGGACCTGGCTGGATAAGACTGTTGGTATCATGAGTGGGACTTGCGCCAAGCCTCCGGATACCCAGACTGTCAGATGAGAACAAATTCCTCATGTCACCGTAAGATACATTTACAGCGGAGTTTTCTTTTGGGCCTTTGTTGTTGCGTCGCTACAGCAAACTTTACGGTGAAAAAAGGTAGGGGTCCTACGGGCAGCAGCCAGGGCAGCCCTGGAGCTGTCGCTGGAGTCCGATCATGTGATCTTCAACATGGCGACGCTCTTGGTTCCCTACAGAAAGGGGCGGAGCCTGGACTGGGGGGCAGGCTCAGATTCAGGTTAAATTGTGGATTGAGCTCGCAGTTACAGACAGCTGACCATGGAAGCGAATGGGTTGGGGTGAGTTCTCCAGAGCACGCGGTGTGGCTAGCCGGGCTTCTAATTTGAGTCTTCCAACTCAGGACTCTATCCCTCTACTCCCCTTTCCCCACCCTGGAGACCTCCCAACCTGAACTCCGTTAGCTGGGATCCTGAATCCTAAAACCATGGATTTTTGAGATGTTCATCCCAGGGCCTTAATTCAAGGGATGCCTCAGGATTTCCAACCAGGATCTCTATTCTGGGACCATCAACTCTGATCCCTCTTTATCCCCCAGCCTGGGTATTTCTCAGCCCCTGAACCAGCCCAGTGACATTCCCGTTTCTGAGGCTCACTAGTTCGAAGACCCCCAAACTATCCTTAGTGGGCCTTCATTCCCTCCCCCCAGTCCCTCTGGTTGCTTCGAGCTTGGAAGAGTAGAGACTAAGTGGAGGGAAGAGGCCCCAGGGCGGGCCCTTCTGGAGTTTGTGCACCACCTGATAGGCAGAGAGGAGGCGGAACGGGCGGAAAGCCAGGGTTTGGGAGCTGGCCTGGAGGAGGTAGATAGCGGTCCTGGACTGAATCGGCCTTATGAACCCGCGCTTTCCCCAGCCTCCAGCGTAGCATACTGACACCTACCCCCACCCCCACCTGATCGCCAGACCTCAGGGTTTTCCGGAGCTGAAGAATGACACATTCCTGCGAGCAGCCTGGGGAGAGGAAACAGACTACACTCCCGTTTGGTGCATGCGCCAGGCAGGCCGTTACTTACCAGGTAAGAGTCAGGGTCTGGAAATCTAGATAAAACTCCGGAGGGAGAAAAGTTTTCGAGGGGCAGGGGAGGGCTCTGGAGGGCCTCAAGGCTGAGCCCTGTCTTCCCTCTGTATGCAGAGTTTAGGGAAACCCGGGCTGCCCAGGACTTTTTCAGCACGTGTCGCTCTCCTGAGGCCTGCTGTGAACTGACTCTGCAGGTGAGGGGTCCACAAAAGAGGGAAAGATTTATGCCTTCAGTCTGCCACCTAGCAACCTGTCTCCTGTTTCCTACAGCCACTGCGTCGCTTCCCTCTGGATGCTGCCATCATTTTCTCCGACATCCTTGTTGTACCCCAGGTACCCACTCAAACCTGATCCTAGAATATAATCCAAGGACGCCTTGAAAATCCTTCTATCAGTCCAGTCAAGGTTTACAATAAGCACTTATCCTAACTGGATCGAGGGAAAAACTAAGGTTGAAAGAAATGGAGTTTGGCAGAGTTTTATTCTCCTTTTCCTTCCTCCTGGAATGAGCTGAACAGAACCTTTCCTCCTGGATTCCATTTTGGGAACCCAGATGTTTTCTCCCCCTCCAGGCACTGGGCATGGAGGTGACCATGGTACCTGGCAAAGGACCCAGCTTCCCAGAGCCATTAAGAGAAGAGCAGGACCTAGAACGCCTACGGGATCCAGAAGTGGTAGCCTCTGAGCTAGGCTATGTGTTCCAAGCCATCACCCTTACCCGACAACGACTGGCTGGACGTGTGCCGCTGATTGGCTTTGCTGGTGCCCCAGTAATGTGGGACAGGGCAGGGACTCGGGGCGCGGGGAGATCACTCTGGAAGGTCTGGGGTAGACAAAAGGAAGGGTCAGTCTGGCTTCTGTGACACCATCTTTCTATCCTTCTCTAGTGGACCCTGATGACATACATGGTTGAGGGTGGTGGCTCAAGCACCATGGCTCAGGCCAAGCGCTGGCTCTATCAGAGACCTCAGGCTAGTCACCAGCTGCTTCGCATCCTCACTGATGCTCTGGTCCCATATCTGGTAGGACAAGTGGTGGCTGGTGCCCAGGTGAGTCCTGAGAGAGAGAGAAATAGGCTGGGATTTGGTCTGTAAGGACCAGAAGCAAGAGTGTCCTAAACCTGAGAGGGCAGGGGTCTTAATGCCAGGGATGAAAGAACCTTGGCCTCCAGTGATCTAGCGGAGCAGCCAAGCCCATCCTGACACTGACAGTGGGGCTTAATGCTCTAAGTATTCAGACACCAAAGTTAGTGCTGGGATCTGAGGAAAGTAAATTTTTTTTTTTTTAATTACTGGGTTTTTAGGGTCAGGCAGTATCAGGGATTGAAGTCATTTGGGGAAAATTGAGGTGGATTTTGTATGTGGGGGAAACTTCCTCTTTGTGTGTTACATATTTTTCTTCACCATACCCTAACTAGGCATTGCAGCTGTTTGAGTCCCATGCAGGGCATCTTGGCCCACAGCTCTTCAACAAGTTTGCACTGCCTTACATCCGTGATGTGGCCAAGCAAGTGAAGGCCAGGTTGCGGGAGGCAGGCCTGGCACCAGTGCCCATGGTGAGGATTGGGATGGGTTGAGTGAAGGTGGTCCTGTGGAGCTTTCAGGCTAAGTCCTGCATGGACTGGAGTGACCACTGGAGGGCAGCAGAAGTACAGTCAAGAAAGATTAGTGGTTGTAGCAAGGCCCTCTGTAGCCTGAGATCTGCTTTTTTCTAGATCATCTTTGCTAAGGATGGGCATTTTGCCCTGGAGGAGCTGGCCCAAGCTGGCTATGAGGTGGTTGGGCTTGACTGGACAGTGGCCCCAAAGAAAGCCCGGTAAGCCATGGAAGGGTGAGGCCTTGAGGTTGAGGTGGGGGTGTTGGCTGGGGGAGCTGCCATGTATGCAGTTACCAGAACGTGGCGCTGGCTTTGCTTCCAGGGAGTGTGTGGGGAAGACGGTGACATTGCAGGGCAACCTGGACCCCTGTGCCTTGTATGCATCTGAGGTAACAGCCAGGGCCCCTCTGTGTGTCTGTTACTGTGCACTCCTGTGGCTGTGGCTGTATTATTCTGTGTGCACTTGTTTTTAATGTCTGTCTGTCCTTTTCTTCTACTCTGTACAACATAAGCCCTAGAAAGACCGGACTTTTTGTTGCTGTTGTTCATTTGTGTTTATGCTTCATGCCTGGGTCCATACTAGGGATCTGATAAATTTTATTGAATGACTGAATAACACTGAGTAGAAGCATGCCTACATATGCGTTTGTCACTAGTATATATAGGGAGGACAAAGGCTTGCTGGTCCTCCTGTAGCCAGTGCCCTGTTGGTCCCCCAGGAGGAGATCGGGCAGTTGGTGAAGCAGATGCTGGATGACTTTGGACCACATCGCTACATTGCCAACCTGGGCCATGGGCTTTATCCTGACATGGACCCAGAACATGTGGGCGCCTTTGTGGATGCTGTGCATAAACACTCACGTCTGCTTCGACAGAACTGAGTGTATACCTTTACCCTCAAGTACCACTAACACAGATGATTGATCGTTTCCAGGACAATAAAAGTTTCGGAGTTGAACTATTGTGTAGTTTTGTTTGTGAAAGATTGTGCCCATATCCTCAGTTCTTCTTAGCCTCTGCTCCTTCCCTGGGAACCCTCTCTATATCCTCTTCACAAGTCATGGGGGTTAGGTATCAGTGAATATGTACTATAGCACTTAAGGATTCTCATTCCCATCTTACTCTCAGATACCTAAGTCCCAGAACTACATGGGGTAGGGTAGAGCTTTCCTAGCAGTTCAGGTTGTGACATTTGCAGAAAAACGGGTGGGGTCCTCACAACATACAAAGGCCAAATTGATAGGGCTTTATGTCTGGGGAGAAAGGGAAGTATACATCAAAAAGGGGCACAGAAGGGGTTAGAACACTTCAGAGAGGCATGGGGAAGAAGATGGAGTCTAGGCAAGCAGGGAGAAGCTGAGGGACCCTCAGCTTTGACACCAAAATATATAGAGGACATGAAAGCTCAGAGCTAGGTTGCTTAGGATTGGAGCTTTAGACAAGTCGATCATCACCAAAGCAAGAAGTCCTCTGAAACCAAAAGACCCTCTGGCAACTCAAGGTTGCTTTATATTCTTTTCTGAGCATCCCCTTTAATTTTCTCAAGATCTTGGTTATTCCACCCTTCCTGGTGGTACCTGCTTCCCAGGACAAGGCTCTGAGGTGTCTGTAAGCCCTGGGGAAGGGTCTGGTATGGCAAGAAATTCTTTATCTGTCAGTCATTCTGCATCTCCTTAGACCACTAGGCACCCACTGTGCTGTAGGCTGAACCAGCTCCCTGGCCCAGCCAGGGCAATGCAGAAAGGAGAGATGGGTTTCATTTAGTGAGAGAACACAATTTCTGCTTTTAGAAAAATGATCTTTTATGTGATCCATGATTTATTCATAGAAAAGCACTGTGAATTCACACACTTGCTAAAAAAGGGCAACTGTGATACAGAAATGAGAGTGGCTTCTCTCTTTTTTTTAACCAACCCATTGGGCTGAGACGTAGGGGCCCTTGGCTGGACAGTAAGACTTGAGTAGCCACAAATGGCAAATACAACTTCTTGGTCAGTTTGGAGTAAAAAAGGTGACAGTTTGTCGAAGAAAGAAAAAGTAAAGCAGATGGAGAAGTTCTTAGTTCACATTCTAGCTATACCACCCCTTCCCTATCAAACCCCACCCCCAACTCAGGAACTAAGACATGAAACAGTAAACACCAAGACACTGGTTCCAACTGACTTTTCTGAGTGCCCTTGCTACCTCCTATAACAATTCCAGGCTGAGCACAGGGGTCAGGAAGGTAGCAGGAACATGATACACTATGGAGGTCAGCCAGGGCTAAGACAGGACTGCCCACTAGGGCTAGAAATTAGGAAGGGAGAGGCTAAGTGCAGACCAGCCCTAGCCTCCAAGTCAGCGAGCAATGAGACTGTGACAAAAGCCGGCGAGGAAGCTTGAGGTAGAAAGGCAGGGGAAGAAAGCAAGTATGAGGCGAGAAGAGAACTATGGAGCTAAAGCAGCCAATCTGATGGCAGAGGGAGATTGGTGCTTAGAAGCTTGTTTGGTGAGAGAATGAATAGAGGAGGCACAGAGATGGGGAACAAACGTTTAGCTGGCGAGAGAGATTTAAGAGGAATGGGAAAGAGAAATCTGGCAAAAAGGACACATTGATGCAGATCCTCAAACATGAATACACAGACATCCCTACATGTAGAAATACGCTCAGTTACACATATAAAGACACAGATGCATGGATAACAAGCATACACATGGATACAAACATGTTTATACACATGCACTCGTGTACGCAGATACACATACTAAACATGCACAAACATGAGTGCATTTGCACAAAGATGTGCATCCTCACATGTACACAAAATGTGTATATCCTCACGTAGAAACTCACAGTCCAGTGTGCACATATTCAAACAGGTACACAGCCATAGAACTGACACATACACATAAATATATATGTGCACAAACAGGCATGCACAGATGTATCTATGTACATACACACATGTACTTAGCCATAAAGATACACACACACAATTATAGATGAAACCACACACTTGCTAACACAAAGGTGACCACAGTAGATGAATATTATGAACTCAGCGGCTTCCCAGACCTTCATCTTCTCCCTGCACTTGTTTCTCAGGTGTTCAGCAGGCTCCTGAAGAGGCTGTGTGAGGCAGGAGCTTCAATGTCCTCACAGTTTTGTGAGGCAAAAGTCTAAGTCCAGTCCTGGCCTCTGTCCCTCACTCACCACTGGACTATAAATGCCCTGTCTGTAGGTGGGGGATTCTGCATAGACTAGACTTGGGTTGATCCTAACTGGCCATTTTTCTCCTTGGCACCCCCACTCTTCCACTGCTACCAGCAAACACTCTGCAAGGGAAACCTGAGAAATGGTTGTGAGTCTCCTCAGAAAATAAGCATATCCTCCTACCCACAGCTACTTCAAGTGCCCATCAAATCAGAAGCAGAATTATAAATAGTTACAAGTTTACAATAATTAGCAACACATATAGTATTTACAGTCCCACAAATGTGTCTGTTTCTCTGGTTAAGCAATCCCTGAGATGGAACAGTGTTCTGTGTTTGCCAAGGGAGACAGGGCCAATGCTCAGGACACGCAGGATATAGGGGCATGAGGTGGCATGTTGTGGGGTTTCTGGTCGATCTGCAGGGCCCAGCTCCTCCATGAACAGTAGGCTGTAGTCAGAAGCTTGCCAAGGTAGGCATTATCGACTAGAGCTGGACTTTCCCCATCCTTAGCCCTGTGGTCCTTTGGCCTCATCCACAGGTGCTCAGAGTTCTCTCAGGGTGGACAAATGTTTCAGTGCCCTTGGCCTGACCTGATACTACCTGGGAACCCAGGCTGCTCTGGCAGTGAGCTATCTGCTCTCTCAGCCAAAGCGCTCTCGCACCAGCAGCATCAACTTTTTCTTGCCTTTGTAGATCTGTTTGAGGTTGTCGATGAACTGGGCAAACTGCAGGTGGCCATCCTGGGGCAGCAGGAAGGTCTCCCGAGCCTTGCTTAGAAACTCAATGAACTCTCCATAGTGGCGAGGGCTGATGTGTGTTAGGCGTGAGTGTGTAGTGTTGATATAGGCATTGATGGTGGCATCCAGCAACTGGCGCAATGGAGCTTTGTCAGTGGACATGAGCTTTCCAGAGCTTCGGCGGCCTGGGATGCCGGCCAGGCCAGGTGCAGTCACTGTGCAGCGTCGTAAGATGTCTGAAAGCACTGTGGCACAGTGCACACTCTTCACCACCAGGGGGATGAGAGCTGCCAGCTCATTCTTGCCCAGAGAGTGGCTGAGAGCACAAGCCCAGAGCACATCATTGATGGCTGGGTGAGTATCCTGGTTGTAGGCCAGGTTAAGATGGCTCATGGCCAATGAGGCCAGCTTGAAGGCACGTAGCGGGTAGCCACGGAGCTCCATGTAGCGGGCGATGGTGAACAGCTGTGAATGGGTCATACCACCAGCAGCAGCATCAATGGCAATCTGGTAGGCTGCCTCAAAGGCAATGTGGTCTTTCTCACAGAGTGTAAGGGCTGACAGGGCACAGCTCTGTGGATCCTTCATAGCACACTGTAGAGCCAGTGTGCGAGCACAGCTAGCCAGTTCCTCCCGCTGTGGATAGTCAAGACTGAGGCGCAGGATAGTGGTGTGGGATACGGCTGTGGCAGCTACAATACTAGTAGCCTCAGTAGGGGTGAAGAGTGTGTACCAGCTCTGCAAGATGCTCACCAGGGCCCGCACACCTGTCAGGGGGAGCCTGAGCTCAGCCGTGGCCATCTGGGTCCTGATTCAGGTCTACCCAGATTACCATTTGGGGTTTGAACTTGGCCTGCAGAGATGAATTCTTCCTCCTCAGCAACCTTGAGATGATATGAGGCAAACCAGGGCAAGGGGAGCATCCCAGATGGCCAGACCCTGTTTGGGGTCTCTTCCTATCCCTTCTTTCCCCAGGTCAGAGAGTTGAAGGTTTCTGCAGGTGCTCTTAGCCCCTCACAAGGATGGGACAGTAGAGCCTGGGGTTTGCTTGCCCTGAGGCATGGGTTACAGATCTGCCAGGGGTTCTAGCTGAAGTGGGGCCTCTCAGGGTAGAGTCTTGTGCTGGGGCTTTGGGCTTTAGAAAGGGTCCTGAGCCTCTAAGTTGTCTGGAGTTTTTTACAAGCATGCACAGGGATGGGGACCAAACCACTGGGCCCACTACCTCCCAAGGGAGCACTTGAGTAGCAACTGAAAATTCATTCTCTTAGACATGTCTCTGTTGAGAGGATCAAGGGCTGCTGACATCAGGATATGGTTCAAGCAGTGAAGACAGGGCTTGGGCTGGCTGAACAGAGGCCACCTTCTCCTACCAGCAGCCCCATCCTTTCTTAGGCCATCTCCTGATGGACCTAAGATCTCATAGGAATATGAGAGCTCTAAGGATTGATTGTCCTGTCCCAAGAGTAGGGCCTAGAAACTCCTTTCCCCTGGGGGTAGAGGGAGGTGGGAGACTCACCCACTTCTGTAGCACAGGTCACCAACCATCGTACCATCTCCCTGCGTCTCCAGTTAAGGGTTGATAAGGTCATCCGCATCACCTGGGCACAAAAGAGGCCTTTCCAGTGGGCTATGCCTAACTGTTGTGACCTCTCCCTCCCCTTGCATTCATTTATGCGACAAATATTTTCTGGTGCTTTAAACAGTGGTCTCTCCGCTGATAAACATAAAATACAGTTAATTTCTTTCCCAGCCCTCCCACCAATCAGATAGGAAGCTTCTCTGATGATCTGCAGCAAAGTCCTTATTATCATACCTTGCTTGACTTGTAGAAATGGGGAGGTAGAGAGAAGATAGGGACCCCAGGGAGCCTAAAGCTTTATCTTGCTTCTGGCCTTAACTTAAAAGTGGAGCCCAATTTATGAAATCCTTGCCTTTTCCCTAGCCTAGAACTTGTGTTCTGGGCCCAAAGGAAGAGCCAGACTTGGCCTATGCCCAGTCTCCCAGAGATCTTATCTTCTGCCAACTGTCACTAGGTCAGCGGTCTAAACTGTGGATGGCCTACTCTTCCTCCATACCTGTAACCCAAGTTCCAGGGCAACGTTGAGCAGGGTGCTGTCAGTACTACTGTCGGTGGGAGTAGCAATCTTGAATGCATCTTGGGCCAGTTTGAAGATGAGGGAGGAAGAATGAATGTGCTTCTGTATTGCTTCCAGAATTGTTCGGAGTCTCAAAGTGTCTCCTATAGGTGTCAAGAGAAGGGGCAGGGTCTATTTTAAAGTTTTACTAAACAGTCAGCTGACTGCAATAGATACTCATTGAAATGGCTGCTATCAATTCATTGAATGCTTCTGAATGCTACCGCCCCTTCTGGGTTATCGAGCTGTCTCCACTAATCACATTTGAGGCTCCTTCCTTCCCCAGACCCCCATGTGAATCCTATTCTCTCCACCTTTTCATCTGTCTCTACCTAATACCCTCTACCCTCAGGATCCTTTTTTTTTTTGGAGACGGAGTCTTGCTCTGTTGCCCAGGCAGGAGTGCAGTGGCTTGATCTCGGCTCACTGCAAGCTCTGCCTCCCGGGTTCACACCATTCTCCTGCCTCAGCCTCCTGAGTAGCTGGGACTACGGGCGCCCGCCACCACGCCCGGTTAATTTTTTGTATTTTTAGTAGAGATGGGGTTTCACCGTGTTAGCCAGGATGGTCTCGATCTCTGACCCTATGATCTACTGCGCCGGGCAACCCTCAGGATCTTTAGGTACCAGAAATAATTTTCTTGAACACCTTAATTTCCAGAGCTACTTATACAGTAGACAGAAAGTCACATTACTGCCAAAAAAGAACGGCAGTCCCACTGTCTGCTTCTCACTACAGCACCCTGGGGCAAAAAGGAGCGGGGCCACCACTTCTTATTCAATAGGCAGGGATTCTATACAAAAAACAAAGAGTTAAGGAATATAACATCATATGAGGTGAAGGTTGCTGGATGAAGGCAGTAGTGTATGAAAGACTGTTATATCTTATAAAGGACAAATACATTAAGTAAAGATAAAACAAAAAGTAGGCCTTATGTTTTGCTTTGTAACTGCTGATAAAGTCAAAGAGAAGGAATGGTATGACTACAGGCTTTGGAATAAAACACATTGGGGACCGAACCTGGTTCAGCCATTTAAGAGTTTAACAACTTCAGGTTGGGCGCAGTGGCTCTCGCCTGTAATCCCAGCACTTTGGGAGGCTGAGGTGGGTGAATCACTTGAGGTCAGGAGTTCGAGACCAGCCTGGCCAACATGGTGAAACCCCGTCTCTACTAAAAAAATACAAAAATTAGCCAGGCATGGTGGCGTGAGCCTGTAGTCCCAGCTACTAAGGAGGCTGAGGCAGGAGAAGAGCTTGAACCTGGGAGGCGGAGGTTGCAGTGAGCCAAGATTGGGCCACTGCACTCCAGCCTGGGTGACACAGTGAGACTCCGTCTCAAAAAAAAAAAAATAAATAAGAGTTCAATAACTTCATCTATAAAATGGAAACAATTGTTGTGAGAATTATAAAAAATTTGTAATATTCTATGATTCTACTTTATTTTATTTTATTTTATTTTTTTTTGAGACGGAGTCTCGTGCTGTTGCCCAGGCTGGAGTGCAGTGGCGCGATCTTGGCTCACTGCAAGCTCCGCCTCCCAGGTTCATGCCATTCTCCTGCCTCAGCCTCCCGCGTAGCTGAGACTACAGGCGCCCACCACCACGCCCGGCTAATTTTTTGCATTTTTAGTAGAGATGGGGTTTCACCGTGTTAGCCAGGATGGTCTCGATCTCCTGACCTCATGATCCACCCGCCTTGGTCTCCCAAAGTGCTGGGATTACAGGTGTGAGCCACCGCACCTGACCTCTATGATTCTATTTTTATAAAAAAAGATACATAGTGTGTGTGCATATATATGAATAGAAAATCTCCAGGAATATTTATGCCAATGTCTTATTAATAGTTGTTTTTGGGTGCCAGGATTATGCAAGAGATTCCCTTTATTCTTCTATCATCTTTAAAAACAGTTTTTTAAGTTAATAGACTGTGTCTTTAGAGTAGTTTCAGGTTTACAGGAAATTGATCAGATAGTACAGAGAGTTCCCATATATCCCCTATTATTAACATCTTATACTAATGTGGTATATTTGGTAAACCAATATTAATACAGAAATCCCTCAGCACCTGTGGGGGATTGGTTCCATGACTTCCCTTGGATACCAAAATCTGAGGATGCTCAAGTCTTTCATAACCTACCATCATACCCTCCCATATACTTTAAATCACCTCTAGATTACTTATAATATCTAATACAATGCCTATACATCATTACACGTGGATTCAACATAGTGGCTTGTGCCCAGCAAATTGAAGTTTTGCTTTTTGGAACACTGAGGAGTTTTTTTTCCTGAATATTTTTGATCCATGGTTGGTTGAATCCACAGATGCAGAACCCACAGATACAGAGGGCTGATTGTACATAATTATTAGTGTGGTACATTTGATGAACCAATATGCATATATTATTAACTCAAGTCTACAGTTTACATTAGGGTTCACTCTGTGTTATACAGTTGTATGGGTTTTGACAAATGTATGCTATTAATCCACTATCACAGTGTCATATAAAATAGTTTCACCTCTCTAAAAATCTCCTGTGTTCTATCTGTTCATCTCTTTCTCCATTCCCTCTAAGTCCCTGGCAACTATTGATCTTTTTACTGTCTTCATAGTTTTGCCTTTTCCAGCATATCATATACTTGGAATCATATAGTAAGTAGCCTTTTCAGACTGGCTTTTTTCTTTCTTCTTCTTTTTTTTAACTTAAAGACTAGTGTGATAATACAGATTGGCTTCTTACAACATGCAATACGCATTTAAGTTTCCTCCATATCTTTTTTTTTTTCCCCTCAGAGTTTACACCCAAAACTTCCATGTCTCTTTTTTTTTTTTGAGTGTGTGTGGCTTGAGAAACCATGTCTTTTTATTTAGAAATAATAATCAATTCTATGGATATACGATAATTTATTTATCCGTTCACCTTTTGAAGAACATCTTGGTTACCTCCAGTTTGGAGCAATTATAAATAAAGATGCTTTAAACATTCATGTGCAGGCTTTTGTGTCGACATGTTTTCAAATAATTTCAAATAGGTTAAATAACAAGGAGCATGACTGCTGGGTCATACAGTAATACTATGTTGATCTTTGTAAAAAAAAGACCAAACTGTCTTCTAAAGTAACTGTACCATTTTGCATTCCCACCAGAAATGAATAAGAATTGCTGTTGCTCCACATCCTTGTCAGCATTTGGTGCTATCAGTTTTGGATTTTAGCCATCCTAGTACTGTGTAATGATATCTCACTGTAGTTTTAATTTGTAATTCCCTAATGACATATAAGTTGAGCATTATTTCATATGCTTGTTTGATATCTGTGTATCTTCTTTGGTGAGGTGTCTCTCCAGATCTTTAGCCCATTTTAAAATTGGGTTGTTTTCTTATTGTTGAGTTTTAAGAGTTTTTTGTATATTTGGGATATAAGTCCTTTATCAGATTTTTTCAAATATTTTTCTCCCAGTCTCTGCTTGTCTTTTTGTTTTCTTAACAGTTTTTCTTTCTTTTCTTTTCTTTTTTTTTTTTTTTGAGACGGAGTCTCGGTCTTGTCGCCCAGGCTGGAGTGCAATGGCCGTGATCTGGGCTCACTGCAACCTCTGCCTCCTGGGTTCAAGCGATTCTTTTGCCTCAGTCTCCCGAGTAGCTGGGATTACAGGCGTGCGCCACCACTCCTGGCTACTTTTTAAATTTTTATTAGAGACAGGGTTTCACCATGTTGACCAGGCTGGTCTCAAACTCCTGACCTCAGGTGATCCACCTGCCTCGACCTCCCCAAGGGCTGGGATTACAGGCGTGAGCCACTGAGCCCGGCCTCTTTACAGTTTTTCATGGGTTTAAGTTTTGAATTTTAATGAATTCCAACTACTCATTTTTTCTTTCATGATTGTGCTTTTGGTGTTGTATCTAAAAAGTCATTGTCAAACCCCAAATCACCTAGATTTTCTCCTAGATTATCCTCTAGAATTATTATTATTA
The DNA here is from genome assembly GCF_000001405.40 of Homo sapiens. NCBI lineage: Eukaryota > Metazoa > Chordata > Mammalia > Primates > Hominidae > Homo > Homo sapiens. Next base: position 45,024,655 of record NC_000001.11, read on the forward strand.
TTTATTTATTTATTTTTTGAGACCAAGTCTCACTCTGTCGCCCAGGCTGGAGTGCAATGGTGCGATCTTGGCTAACTGCAACCTCCGCCTCCTGGGTTAAAGATATTCTCCTGTCTCAGCCTCCTGAGTAGCTGGGATTACAGATGCGTGATACCATGCCTGGCTAATTTTTGTATTTTTAGTAGAGATGAGGTTTCACCATGTTGGCCAGGCTGGTCTTGAACTCCTGACCTCAGATGATCTGCCCGCCTCAGCCTCCCAAAGTGCTGGGATTACAGGTGTGAGCCACTGCGCCCGGCCATCCTCTAGAAATTTTATAGTTTTGTGTTTTACCTTTAGGTCTATGATCCATTTTGAGTTAATTTTTGTGAAAGGTCTAAGGTCAGTGTCTATATTAATTTCTTTTTGCATGTGAATGTCCAGATTTTCTAGCACCATTTGTTGAAAAGACAATCTTTTGCTCCTTTCTCAGTATCAGTTGACTATATTTGTGTGAGTCTATTTCTGAGCTTTTAATTTTGTTCCATTGATCTGTTTCTCAGTTTTTCAACAGTACCACACTGTCTTGATTAATATTATAGTAAGTGTTTCCATTGGGTAGTGTCAGGCCTCTGACTTGTTCTTCAATATTATGTTGGCTATTCTAGGTCTTTCGTTTTTCCACACAAAGTTTAGAAAGGGTTTGTTGATATGCACAAAATAAATTGCTGGGATTTTGATTGGGATTGTGTTAAATCTATAGATCACATTGGGAAGAACTAACCTCCTAATACACATTCTTATTATCCATGAACATGGACCATTTCTATTTATTTAAATCATCTTTGATTTTTTTTCATCCAAGTTTTACAGTATTCCTCATATCAATCTTATACATATTTTGTTAGATTTATTCCTAAGTACTTCATTTTTGGGGTGCTAATGTAAATGGTACTGTGTTTTTAATTTCAAATTCCAATTGTTCTTTGCTGGCATATAGGAAAGCAATTGAATTTTGTATATTAATCTTATATACTGCAAACTTGCTATAATTACTTGTTAGTTCCAGTTTTTAAAAAAATTGATTCTTTGGGATTCATACATAGTCAATCATGTCATTTGTGAGCAATATGTACAATCCCTTCCTTTCCAATATGTACAATCCCTGGCTTACAATGATTTCACTTAAGAATTTTTGACCTTAAGATGGGTTTATTGGGACATAACCCTGTCATTAGTCAGGGAGCATCTGTGTATCATTTATTTCCTTTTCCTATCTTATTGTATTAGTTAGGAACTTCTAGTATGATGCTGAATAAAAGTGGCAAGAGGGAACATTCTTGTCTTATTCCTGATCTTAAAGGGAAAGCATCTAGTTTCTCACCATTAAGTATAATGGTAGTTAGTTGTAGGTTTTATTTTTTATCTTTAAGCTCTTTTGCCCAGGCTGGAGTGCAGTAGTACAATCATGGTTCACTGCAGCCTTGACTTCCCAGGCTGAAGTGATTCTCTTGCCTCAGCCTCCCAAGTAGCTGGAACTATAGGAGTGTGCCCACCACAACTGGCTATTTTTTATTTTTTAGTAGCGATGAGGTCTTGCTATGTTATCCAGGCTGGTCTTGAACTCCCAGGCTCAAGCGATTCTCTCATCTTGGCCTCCCAAAGTGCTAGGATTACAGGTGTAAGCCACCACACCCAGCCGGTAATTGTAGGTTTTTTTGTAGAAATTCTTTATCAAGTTGAGGCAGTTCTCCTCTATTCCTAGTTTGCTAAGGGTTTTTTTTTTTAAATTATGAATGGGTGTCAGTTATGCTTTTCCTGCATTTACTGATGAATGACTTTTCTTCTTTGCCTGTGGAAAGAATAAATTCCATTAATGGAATTAACGGATTCCATTCATTGATTTTCAAGTGTTGAGACAACTTACATACTTGAAATAAATCCTACTTGTGGTTCATTCTTTTTATACACTGTTGGGTTTGATTTGCTAAAATTTGTTCAAGATTTTTGCATTTATGCTCATGAGTCATACTGATCTGTACTTTTCCTTTCTTGTAATGTCTTTATCTAGTTTTGGTTTTAGAGTAATGCTGGCCTCATAGAGTAAGGAAGTGTTTCCTCTGCTTCTATTTTCTGGAAGAGACTTTAGAGAATCAGTACCATTTATTCCTTAAATATTTGGTAGAACTCACCAGTGAAATAATCTGAGCCTGGCGCTTTCTGTTTTGGAAGGTTATTATTAATTCAATTTCTTTAACAAATATAGGCCTATTCAGATTATTTATTTCTCCTTCTGTGAGTTTTGGTAGATTGTTTTTTTCAAGAAATTGGTCCATCTAATTATCTAAGTTATCAAATTGGTGGGCATAGAGTTGTTCAAATTTTTTTTTTATTATCCTTTTAATGTTCATGGGGATCAGTACTGATGGCCCCTCTTTCATTTATGATATGAGTAATTTAGATCTCCTCTTTTTTTTTTTTCGTGGTTAGCCTAAAGGTTTATCAATTTTATTGATCTTTTCAAAGAACCGGTCTTGCTTTTATTGATTTTTGCCTACTGTTTCTACTTTCAATTTCACTGATTTCTGCTCTAATTTTTGTTATCTATTTTCTTCTGCTAACTTAGATTTACATTGCTCTTCTTTCGCTATTTTCCCCAATGTGGAAGTTTAACTTATAAACTGATTGTTATTTATTCTTTCTCTATTTTACTAATGTGCAAACTTAGATGATTGATTTTATTTTATAATTATTTTTATTTTTTAATTAATTAATTTTTTTTGAGGCAGAGTCTCGCTCTGTCGCCTAAGCTGGAGTGCAGTGGCACGATCTCAGCTCACTGCAACCTCTGCCTCCTGGTTCAAGTGATTCTTCTGCCTCAGCCTCCTGAGTAGCTGAGATTACAGGCGCCTGCCACCATGCCAAGCTAATTTTTGTATTTTTGTAGAGACAGGGTTTCTCCATGTTGGTCAGCCTGGTCTCAAACTCCTGACCTCATATGATTGCCTCGGCCTCTCAAAGTGCTGAGATTATAGGCATGAACCACTGCACCTGGCCTATTTTTTGAGAAAAGGTCTTACTCTTGCCTAGGCTGGAGTGCAGTGGTGTGATCATGGCTCACTTCAGCCTTGACCTCCCAGGCTCAAGTGATCCTCCCACCTCAGCCTCCCAAGCCACTGGGATTATGGGTGTGAGCCACCATGTCTGGCTCTTTTCTCTTTTTCTTCTTTCTTTTTGAGATGGAGTCTCACTCTCTTGACCAGGCTGGAGTGCAATGGCATGATCTTGGCTCACTGCAACCTCTCCCTCCAGGTTCAAGTGATTCTCCTGCCTCAGCCTCCCGAGTAGCTGGGACTACAGGCATGTACCACCACACCCAGCTAATTTTTGTATTTTTAGTACAGGCAGGGTTTTGCCATGTTGGCCAGGCTGGTCTCGAACTCCTGACCTCAGGTGATCCGCCCACCTTGGCCTCCCAAAGTGCTGGGATTACAGGGGTGAGCCACCACGCCTGGCTGCTCTTTTCACTTTCTTGATAATGTTCTTTGATGCACAAAAGATTTAAATTTTGATGAAGTCTAATTTACCTATCTATATTTTTTTTGTTGTTCATGCTTTTGATGTCATAGCTAAGAATCCATTGGCTTACCCAAGGTCATGAAGACTTATTCCTATGTTTTCATGTAAGAGTTTTATGGCTTTAGCTCTTACATTTAGGTTATTGGTTCCATCTCTACTTTTAATCTATCTGTGTCTTTAAAGTGGGTTTCTTATAGACAACATATAGTTGAGTTTTAAAAAGGTTTCTCCACACCTTTGTCAACACACTTTTTCATCAAAAATTTTCTGTGGTGGCTCATGCCTGCAATCCCAGCACTTTGGGAGGCTGAGGTGAGTCGATCACCTGAGGTCAGGAGTTTGAGACCAGCCTGGCTATCATGGCAAAACCCCATCTCTACTAAAAATACAAAAATTAGCTGGGCATGGTGGCAGGCACCTGTAGTCCCAGCTCCTCAGGAGGCTGAGGCAGGAGATTCATTTGAACTCCGGGCACAGGGGTTGCAGTGAGCTGAAATCGCGCCACTCATTTCAGCCTGGGTGACAGAGCGAGACTCTGTCTCAAAAAATAAAAATAAAAAAAAATAAATAAAAATAATAATTTTCCTTGGCTAAGTGTGGTGGCTCACACCTGTAATCCCAGCATTTTGGGAGCCCAAGGTGGGAGGATTACTTGAGGCCAGGAGTTCAAGACCAGCTAGGGTAACATAGGAAGACCTCGTCTCTACTAAAAAATAAAATTTAAAACAAATCCTTTATTTTGAAATAATTTTACTTACAGAAAAGTTTGAAGAATAGAACAGAGATGTTTTTTCTTCTCTCTGAACCATTTGAAAGTAAGTGACTTGATGCCCCATCACTCCTGACTATTGTAGTGTGTATTTCCTACAAAGACACTCTCCTACACCCACAAGACAACCATCAAAAGCAGCAAATTAACAGATATATTCCTACCATCTACCACCGACCTCATTCAAGTTCCACCAATTGTCCCCAAAATGTCTTTTATAGCAAAAAGATTTTATACAAGTTCATGTGTTGCACTTAGTTTGTCATGTGCCTTTAAGTCTTCTTCAATTTGGAAAAATTTCCCCATCTTTCCTTGACATTCATGACCTTGACACTTTTGCAGGCTAGTTATTTTGTAGTATGTCCTTTAATTTGGTATTCCTGATGTTTCCTTATTAGATGTACATTTGCACTTTTGGCTGTAATGTCACAGAAGTGATGCTGAGTTCTTATTGTTTCCTATCAGGTAATCCATGTTTTTTACTTCATTTCTGATGATATTAACTGTGATCAGTTGATTAAAGTGGTGTTGGCCAGGTTTCGATTGTAAAGTTATACATTTTTCCTTTATGATTGGTAAATATTTTGCGAAGAGATACCTTGAGACTATATGAATATCCTGTTTTTCAAATGTTCATGCACTAGCTTTGAATCCATTGATATTTCCCGACTGCAGCTATTTTAGGTATCTCATGTAAGTCAAAATCATACGATCTTTATCCTTTTGTGTCTAGCTTATTTCACTTAGCATGTTCTCAAGGTTCACTCATGTTGTACCATGTATCAGACTTTCATTCCTTTTATGGCTGAATAATATTCCATTGTCTATATATACCACATTTTGTTTATCCATTCATCTGTTGATGAACATTTGGCTATTATGAATAATGTTATTATAAATGTACAACTATCTGTTTGAGTTCCTGCTTGCAATTCTTTTGGACATATAGCTGGTTCATTTTTTTTCGACCCACCTACCTGTTTATGTTTTTAGAGATAGGGTCTCACTTTCTCATCCAGGCAGTGGCACGATAGCTCACTGTAACCTCAAACTTCTGGGCTCAAGCAATCCTCTTGCTTTAGCCTCCTGAGTAGCTGGGACTACAGGGGGGTGCCACCTTGTCCCGCTAGTTTTTAAATTTTTGCAGAGACAGGGTCTCACTATGTTGCCCAGGCTGGTCTCAAACTCCTGTCCTCTAGTGATCTTCCCACCTCAGCCTCCCAAAGTGTTAGGATTACAGGTGTGAGTCACTTTGGCCTTTAATGACTGAATGATTGATTGATCGAGATGGAATCTTGCTCTGTCGCCCAGGCTGGAGTGCAGTGGCGCAATCTCGGCTCACTGCAACCTCTGCCTCCCAGTTCAAGTGATTCTTGTGCCTCAGCCTCCTGAGTAGCTGGGATTACAGGCATGTGCCACCATGCCCGGCTAATTTTTGTATTTTTAGTACAGACAGGGTTTTGCCATGTTGGCCAGGCTGGTCTCGAACTCCTACCTTTAGGTTATCCGCCCGCCTCAGCCTCCCAAAGTGCTGGGATTACAGGCGTGAGCCACTGAGCCTGGCCCTGGCTTTTATTTATTCTTAAGTGAGCTCTGACAGTTTTGTTTTTGAAGGAGTTAGTCCATTTCATCTGTGTTGTTGAATTTACTGGCATAAAGCTGTTTGTAATATTCTCCTATTACCATTTTGATGTCTTTAGAATCTGTAGTGATATCACCTTTCTCATTCCTGATATTGGTCATTTCTGCCTTTTATCTCCTTTTTTCTTGATCAGTCTAGACAGGGATTTAAATTTGATTTATGTTTTCATTCTTTCTTTTTTTTTTTTTTTTGAGATAGAGTCTTACTCTGTCCTCCAGGCTGGAGTGTAGTGGCACGATCTCAGCTCATTGCAACCTCTGTCTCCCTGATTCAAGCAATTCTCCCTGCCTCAGCCTCCTGAGTAGCTGGGATTACAGGCACCCACCACCATGCCCAGCTAATTTTTGTATTTTTTAGTAGAGACAGGGTTGCGCCATGTTGGCCAGCCTTGTCTCTAACTCCTGACCTCAAGCAATCCACCTACCTCGGCTCCCACAGTGCTGGGATTACAGGCGTGAGCCACCGTGCCCAGCCTTAATTGATCTTTTCAAAGAATCAGCTTTTGGTTTCATTGATTATTCTCTATTTCATTGATTTTTGCTCTGATTTTTTTTTTTTTTTTTTTTTTTTTGAGACAGAGTCTTACTTTGTTGCCCAGGCTGGAGGGCAGTGGTGTGATCTTGGCTGACTGCAGCCTCCACCTCCTGTGTTCAGATGATTATAGTACCTCAGCCTCCCGAGTAGCTGGGATTATAGGCGCATGCCACCATGCTCACGCAATTTTTTTTTTTTGTATTTTTGGTAGAGATGGAGTTTTAGCATGTTAGCCAGGCTGGTCTCGAACTCCTGGCTTCAAGTGATCTGCCTTCCTTGGCCTCCCGAAGTGCTGGGATTACAGGTATGAGCCACCGCACCTGTCTGCTCTCATTTTTATTATTTCCTTCCCTATGCTTACCTTGGGTTTTCTTTTTCTGACTTCTTAAAGTGAAATCTGGGCTGGGCACAGTGGCTAACGCCTGTAATCCCAGCACTTTGGGAGGCTGAGGTGGGCGGATCACGAGGTCAGGAGATCGAGACCATCCTGGCAAACACTGTGAAATCCCACCTCTACTAAAAATACAAAAAAATTAGCCGGGCGTGGTGGCGGGCACCCGTAGTCCCAGCTACTCGGGAGGCGGAGGCAGGAGAATGGCATGAACCTAGGGGGTGGAGCTTGCAGTGAGCGGAGATCACGCCACTGCATTCCAACCTGGGCAACGGAGTAAGACTCCATCTCAAAAAAAAAAAAAAAAAAAAGTGAAATCTGAGATCACTGATTTGAAGCATTTTTCATTTATTGCTAAAAATTTATAAGTAAAACCTTAGCTACATTCTACAAATTTTGACTTGTGCTTTCATTTTCATATAGTCAAAAGATTTTCTAATTTTCTTGTGATTTTTTTCTTTGCTCCATGAGTAATATACACGTATGTGGTTTAATTTCCAAAAACTTAAGATATTTTAAAATATCTTTTTATTATCGAATTCTAATTGAACTGTGGTTGTCTGAAAAAGATTTTTAGTTCATCTCTCTTTTTTTTAAGAGTCAGGGTCTTGCTCTGTCACCCAGGTTGGAGTGCAGTGTCATGATGGTAGCTTACTGTAGTCTCTTAACTCCTGGGCTTGAGCAGTCCTTCTGCCTTAGCCTCCTGAGTAGCTGGGACTACGGGTGCTTGCCAGTACACCTGGCTAATTTTTAAAATTTTTTGTAAAGACAGGATCTTGCTATGTTGCTCAGGTTAGTCTCAAACTCCTGGTCTCAAGTGATCCTTCTGCCTTGGCCTCCTAAAGTGCTGGGACTACAGGTGTGAGCCACTGCACCTGGCCTCATCTTTGTTTCTGAAATATATTTTCATTGGTATAAAATTCTAGTTTGACAGTTTTTGTTTTTTTTTTTTTTTTGAGACAGAGTCTCACTCTGTCACCCAGGCAGGAGTTCAGTGGTGCAACTCGGCTCACCGCAACCTCTGCTTCCCAGGTTCAAGCGATCCTCGTGCCACAGCCTCCTGAGTAGCTGGGACTACAGGTGTGCACTACCACGCCCAGCTAATTTTTGTATTTTTAGTAGAGACAGGGGTTTCACCATGTTGGCCAGGATGTTCTCAAACTCCTGATCTCAAGTGATCTGCCCGCCTTGGCCTCCTAAAGTGCTAGGATTATAGGTGTGAGCCACCGTGCCTGGCCTGATAATTTTTTTTTTTTTTAAAGTACTTTAAGGGTTTTTTTTCCCACTGTTTTCTGGCTTACATTGTTTCTAATGAGAAATCTGTTCCCATACTTGTTTTTTTGTCCTTTGTAATGTATCTTTTTTACTCTGATTGCTTTTAAGTAGATTTTCTATTATTGGTTTTAAGCATTTTGGTTATGATGTGCCATGGTATAGTTTTCTTCATGTTTATTATGCTTGTGGTTCATTGATTTCCTTAGATCTGTAGTCCTCCTCCTTATCCTGCTTGGAATCTGATACTCCATGCAGGCTACCGCCACTCCCCACTTGACACTCCTCACATGAATGCACATTATCAGATTTGTTTTTTGCCAATAAGATCAGTAAAAAATGTTATCTCAGGCTAATTTTAATTTGTATTTCTAATGTGATACCAGGTATTTTAGTTGTCTAAAAACGATTTGTATCTCCTTTTCTGTGAACTGTCTGATCATATGCTTTGTTCTATTTTTGTATTTGTTTGCTGATCATTTTTATATTAATTTATATGTAACTTTTACCTTTTCTCTAATAAGCATGTATTTTTGGGGGGACAATAAGAAGATACCACATAAAGTTATTTTTAATTAAAAAATAACTTCAAAATCCATGTAGTTTCCTGGTCTAAAATATTCAGGAGCTCATGGTGGCTAGCATTTTATCATAGCTCCTTCTTATATAGGGGCTTACTTTCACTTCTGTTTGTGGTGAAACCTGCATAGCTAACAGGATGTATGTGAGCTTAAAGGCCTGAGAATCACTTTGGACTGCCTATCTTTTACCAGGGCACTGAAAAAAAAATCACCAACTCTTATATCTGTAAGGAGTTCAGCTCTATCTTAGTCATCACTTCATTAGATCTTCCAGTGGCCCTGGGAGGCTGACAGGTCATTGACAATGATCCCCATTTTATAGATTTGAAACTGAGGCGTAGAAAGGTGAAGTGATTTTATCAAACAGAAGGTTAGACTTAGAAGTACCTTAAAGATCATTTAATTTTACATATTTGGTATCCTACAATTAGTAACTAGGGTAAAGTTTTGGCTTGGATCCAGGTGCTTTTTTTTTTTTTGAGACGGAGTCTTGCTCTGTCACCCAGGCTGGAGTGCAGTGGCACGATCTTGGCTCACTGCAAGCTCTGCCTCACGCCATTCTCCTGCCTCAGCCTCCCGAGTAGCTGGGACTACAGGCGCCCGCCACCACGCCCGGCTACTTTTTGTATTTTTAGTAGAGATGGGGTTTCACCATGTTGGCCAGGATGGTCTCGATCTCTTGACCTCGTGATCTCCCGCCTCGGCCTCCCAAAGTGCTGGGATTACAGGCGTAAGCCACCGCGCCTGGCCAGGTGCTCTTTCTAATGGCAGCAATCAAAGTGAGGACCACTATCACTCTAAATGGTCAAGGAGCTTCTCTTTCTCAGGAGACTGCAGGCCAAGCCTTTGACATGCCATGGTTGGGCAGGCAGACGGGTGATGCTGGAGCTTAAGGTCTATCTATGCTCACCTTTGGCAGCAGTCAGCATGGTGGAGGCCAGTTCACACTGCTGTGATTCCAAGTGTCCAAGCGTGAACCAGCGAGGATAACGGCTGGGCACCACAGACACCATATGGTGAGGGTGGGATGTGTCGCCTGCAGAAGCTGAGTTTTCTAAAACAGGTAACCTGGAAGACCCAGGAAGAATCATCAGCCACCATCCAGACCCTGGGCTTCCGAGCCACCTTAGAGAAGCTTGCTCTTTGCTGGGGAGGAACTGGGGAGAGGAAAGGATTAACTAAGAGCTTTGAAGGTTTTTAAACCTATGGTACTATACACTATATGAGGTGAGTGCCTGGGCACTTAAGAGTACTCAACGCTGAATAGTTTCCACTACAAATGGATGTGAAAGGCCGTTCAAGAGCTATCGGGTTGAATAGTATGATATATTGTAAAAAGAGAGAAAAGTTAATACATTTTTAAAAAGAATCATAGGGTTGTTTATTTTATTTATTTTTGAGACAGTGTCTCTCTCTGTTGCATAGGCTGGAGTGTAGTGGCATAATCACAGCTCACTGCAGCCCCGACCTCCCAGGCTCAAGCGATCCTCCCACCTCAGTCTCTTGAGTAGCTGGGACTTCAGGTGTGCACCAACATGCCTGGCTAATTTTTGTATTTTTTGTTTTTGTAGAGATGGGGTTTCACCATGCTGCCCAGGCTGGTCTCAAACTCCTGGGCTCAAGCAATCTACCTGCCTCGGCCTCCCAAAGTGCTAGGATTATAGGCTTGAGCCACCGTACCCAGCCTGGTTATTTCTAAAAGTATAAGAAATACATGCCAAGGAATTTCCTGTTTTAGCTAAGGTATTCTCCCAGCCTTACAGTCTGACTAAAATTCTTCTTCTGTATAGTCTGCTACATCCCAGAGGTTTAACTGCCTAAACCAAGGATCCTATTCTAGCCTGGAAACAAGATGCCCATAGCTCATTGTTCTCAAGTCTTGGGGTAAACATATTTATCTCTACTTCCCCCAGCTTCTTCTGGGGACCTGTGCCTGGGAACCTTGACTGAGTTGAACTACAGAAGGGCTCAGACCCCTTCTCAGCTTGCCTGAATAACCACTGAACAGGAAGACTCAGGTCTTAAGTGCTCCTTATTTATTAACATCTCAGGGGCTTCCTCAGACAATCAACCATGAGTACTGCCAGGGAACCAAGTCACCAACAAGGAATCCAGATATGAATCCTAGATCATATAAAAATATCTGAGCCATTTTAAGGTACACTTGGTAGCGGGTCCAACAGAATGACAAAGAGGGAAAGAAAAGAAAGTGAAATAAGCAATGAAAAAGAGCACTGGACACTTCTGCTTTGGTGGAGGCAATTGGACTGGGAAAGGGCTACCCACCTCATGGCACGTAAGGCTAATTTATAGGACAGGTCTGGATCATGAGGCAGCAGAGCTGAGAACAAATACTTGGCAAAGGTATGCATGGGAACACTCTCTCGGTGGATGACTTCTCCCAGACCGCTGAAAGGACCTCCTGGAGGAAGATAAGCCAGCCAGTTATTTATCTGTATGCTTCCATCTGCCAGCCTGGACTTGAGCCCCAGTATCTCATGCATGTTTGCTAATCATGGGAACCTTCATTCACTACATTTTAATGTCATAAATGTTCCTGTACTTGTACTCTATTGGAGAGGGGAGCTCAGGGTCATGGGCCAAAGACACCGTGACAAGAGACTCTTTTCTACTTACCTTCCAGCAGTAAGATGCATTGTTTTTGCAGTGTTTGCACTAGCTCATCGTCCAGCTGCAGCTCTTGGAGTTGGCTCAGGAGCTGCTCCTCATTACGGCATACCTTGTCCTGTGCGTAGAGGCCTTCAGGCATTAACCTCTGTTGACCCAGGCCCATCAGTGCAACTTCCAGGGCCAATGACAGGTAGGACTCACTGCTGTTTGGGGAGCCTGCAGCCACAGGTACATGCTGGTACACAGGGGGTCTGCTTTCATTCATATCTGAGGGCAACAGGGCACCAAATTCTTTAGGTTAGGCTTGGTAGAGTCTTCTTTCTTTTTTTTTTTTTTTTTTGAGACAGAGTCTTGCTCTGTTGTCCAGGCTGGAGTACAGTGGTGCAATCTCAGCTCACTGCAGCCTCCGCCTCCCCGGTTCAAGCGATTTTCCTGCCTCAGCCTCCCAAGTAGCTGGGATTACAGGAGCATGCCACAACACCTGTCGAATTTTTGTATTTTTAGTAGAGGGGCGGTTTCATCATGTTGGCCAGGCTGGACTCAAACTCCTGACCTCAGGTGATCTGCCTACCTCGGCCTCCGAATGTGCTGGGATTACAGGTGTGAGCCACCGTATTCGGCCTAGTCTTCTGTCTTTCCCTCCCACCTTTGGGATACAGCTTGGTCAACAGCTATCATAGGGAAGCTGAATCAGAACCCCAGAATAGTAAGGAAAATATACTGAAAAAAAGGTTACACAGAGCCACAAAGATTCACACTTCTTTCTTTTTTAATTTTTTTGGAGACAGAGTCTTGCTTGGTTGCTAAGGCGGGAGTGTAGTGGTGCAATCATGGGTCACTGATGCAGCCTCAACCTCTTGGGCTCAAGCGACCCTCCCACTTCAGCTTCCTGAGTAGCTGGGACTACAGGCACATGCCACCATGCCCAGATAATTTTTAATTTTTTTTTGTAGAGATAGGGTCTCATTATGTTGCCCAGGCTGGTCTCAAACTCCTGGGCTCAAGTGATTTTCCCACCTTGGCCTCCCAAAATGCTGGGATTATAGGCATAAGCCACCATGCCCAGCCCCACCTCCTTTTTTTTTTTTTTTTTTTTGAGAGGGAGTCTCGCTCCATCTCCCAGGCTGGAGAGCAGTGGCACGGTATCGGCTTACTGCAACCTCCGCCTCCTGGGTTCAAGCAATTCATCTGCCTCAGCCTCCTGAGTAGCTGGGATTACAGGCACACACCACCACACCCAGCTAATTTTTATATTTTTAGTAGAGATGGGGTTTCACCATGTTGGCCAGGCTGGTCTCCAACTCCTGACCTCAGGTGATCTGCCTGCCTTGGCCTCCCAAAGTGCTGGGATTACAGGCGAGAGCCACTGCGCCCGGCCCATCTCCTTCTTAATATATGAACTGGCTAAGCCAGTTAGGGAAGTATAAAATCTTATATTTTGCTAGCACATTATGTAATGCTGTAATTGTCTGTTTTTGTTTCTGTCTCTTTCATAGAATGTGAACACCTTAAAGGGATTAGACCATCTTGTTGTTCTAGGTATTGCTATGTGTTAGTGGTGAATGAATAAACCCAAGTGCAAACTCAGGTTTCCAAGATGTAAATGTCACTGTACAGATGAAACAGACCAAAGATGATGATTCACTTTGCAAGGGATCAGAGGGAAGATAAGGAGCAGCCTGCACTTGGCTTGGGGCCACCCCTTATATCTCTACCCAGAGAAATCTGAATCCCTACAGTTAAACTCTTAACTTTTGTAACATTTGCAACCTTTATGTTACTATTATCTCATATGCTCCACCAGTGGGTGCACAATTTCAGGAAGTAAGCACGGTTTAAAAGTCAAAGTCTTGGTTTCTTTTCTTTTCTCCCTCATCTATCTAATAAGTATTTATGAAAGATTGTTAAATGTCAGGTCCTCCACTAAGTGCTAGGAACACAAAGATAAAGAAGTCATAATTTCTGTTTTCAAGTAGCTGACAGTCTAGTAAGAGAGAACTATTTGTAAATAAATTGTAATGTAGCATGCTAAATACTAAAGTAGATATATGTATACAGTAAGTGAAGGTATAAAAGAAAAAAGAATCAATTTTGTCTCTATCTATTCTTGGCTACTCTAATAGAGTCTTGAGGCTCTATTAAATTATTCTCCTCTATTTCTTATTTGTAAAATTGGTACAAAACCATCATGTGGAAGAAAGTTCAAAGGAAACCAGAAAATATTATTATGCAATTGCAAGGGATACACAGATTCTTAATGGAAGTTCTTTCCCACTTTCAGACTGCTCTAGGTTCTCGCCTCTGACTGCTAAAATTTCTCTATCACTTGTTATTCTTCTTGGACTACATTCTTTAGGCATTTATGATAGGGAAATAAAAGGAACAAGGAAGGCTGGCAAGGTAAAATGCAAAATCAGGACAAGGCCAGACCAAAGGGTAGGAAAGGAAGGTGGGAAATGGGCAAGCATGAAGAAACCTCTCAGGGTGCTCTAGTTTGGACAAGAGGGGGAAAAAACTTCAAAAGGAGGTAGAACAGAGTCTGGAAGGGAGAAAAGGGCTGACGAGGGCAGTCTTTTTTTTTTTTTTTTTAATGAAACAGGGTCTCACTTTGTCACCCAGATTGCAGTGCAGTGGTGTGATCTTGACTCACTGCAGCCTCGATCTCCTGGGATCAAGTGATCCTACTGCCTCAGCCCCGAAGTAGCTGGGATTACAGGCGACTGACCACACCTGGCTAATATTTTGTAGAGACAGGGTTTTGCCATGTTGCCCAGGCTGGTCTTGAACTCTTGAACTCAAGTAATCCACCCACCTTGGCCTCCCAAAATGCTAGGATTACAGGTGTGAGCCACCATGCTAACCAACAAGGGCAGTCTTGGTTTGCCTCAGGCTGACCCCTGTACCTGACATCTCCAGATAGCCATCATCATTCAGGCGGCAGGCCTCAGTCAAAGTGAGAAACAGGCAGTCGATGGGATCCAGGGGGTGGCCCACCCAGCCCTCCAGGTTTGTGATGGTTGTGGTTCCTCTCTGCAACAGTTCTGGAAACAAGCAGGTTAAAATTTTAGACAGTGATAGAGACAAACTGCTGTCTGTCCCTGCCTGGGTCTTCTTATCAGTCTCTCCAGCCTTGACCCTGAGAGTCAAATAAAAGCTTCTCTATTGTCTTGCCTTGGGTTGATACGGCTGGCCACAAACATACCAGCCAGCTATAAGGTCACGTGGTCTGCATTTGGGTTGCCTGCTGGTAGTGCATACGTGGATAGAGCTTTACAGGTTTTTGTTTTAAGAGATACCTGAGTCTTCTGAATAGTTGGGACTACAGGCACATGCCACCATGCCCTGTTAATTTTATTTAAAAATTTATTTTTGAGACAGAGTCTCGCTCTATCGCCCAGGCCAGAGTGCAGTGGCGTGATCTTGGCTCATTGCAACCTCCGCCTCCTGGGTTCAAACAATTCTCGTGCCTCAGCCTCCAGAGTAGCTGGGACTACAGGCATGTGCCACTATGCCTGACAATTTTTGTATTTTTGATAGAACTGGGGTTTCACTATGTTGGCCAGGCTGGTCTTGAACTCCTGGCCTCAAGTGATCCACCCGATTCACCCTACCAAAGTCCTGGGATTACAGGCGTGAGCCACTGTGCCTGGCATATTTAATTTAATTTAATTTAATTAATTATTTATTTTAAGACGGAGCTCTGCTCTTGTTGCCCAGGCTGGAGTGCAATGGTGTGATCTCGGCTCACTGCAACCTCCGCCTCCTGGGTTCCAGCGATTCTTCTGCCTCAGCCTCCCAAGTAGCTGGGATTACAGGCACGCGCCACCACGCCCAGCTAATTTTTTGTATTTTTAGTAGAGATGGGGTTTCTCCATGTTGGTCAGGCTGGTCTCGAACTCCCGACCTCAGGTGATTGCCTGCCTCGGCCTCCCAAAGTGCTGGGATTACAGGCGTAAGCCACCATGCCTGGCCTTTATTTTATTTTTGTAAAGATAGGGTCTCACCATGTTGCCCAGGCTGGTCTCAAACTCCTGGCCTCAAGCAATCCTCCTACCTGGGCCTCCCAAAGTGCTGGGATTATAGGTGTGAATCACCATGCCTGTCCACAGCTTTAGAGTTTAAAAATGGTCTTCTCATACCAGATCTTAATGAGCCTTCTAACTGCCTTATGAGGGAGGCAAACAGGTATTATTCCCAAATGAACAGATGAGAAAACTGACATTCATAAAGATAAAGTGAGGCATTCCACACAGCAAGGAGAATGACCCGGAATTCCCTAGTTCTTCTGGGCCTTGTATCCCCTGAGGATCCTCATCAGCTTTGGGCCTAAGGGGGTTAGATGGCTCCTAATTACTATACCTTTCTTCTGATGCTTGTAGATTTCCAGTTGCCGCTGCTGCTGCAACCTCAGAGTATTAATAATGGCCACTGTGAGTCTGAGGGCCTCTTTTGGATAACCATGGGAACGCAGGGCGTCAACTCGAGCACAGGCTGTAGGCACATGCTCTACCAAGTAAGAAGAAGATATTTTGGTCTAGTTAAAATTTCAAGTCAGGAAAATTTATACCTGACAAAGAGAGTTTGTATTCAGTCCAGTTCCTCAAATTCAACCTGACACCTACTGTATACCAGGAACTGTGTCTTTATCTTTAAGGATATAAAAAGTTGAATAAATCACAGGTGATATCTTGAAAGAGCTACCTTGCAGCCTCAGCGTGGTCTATGGTGTAGAAAGGGACACACAAGTAGGATAATAAAATGTAGTTTCTCTTTGCAAACATATATTATACTATGGGAAACCAATGGAGGTAGCAACTAACTGCCTAATGGGAAAAGTCTCATTCATTTAATTAATCCTACATTTCCTGAAAACCTATTAAATGCCAGGGAGTATGCTGGGCAAAGAAAGTACAAAGATGAATAGGAAATGGTCATTGCCCTCAAAGAGCTCACAAATGATACATAAATGTAATTATAAAGCAGCTAAAAAGAAGTAACATGATAGAAATATATACAGAGAGAAAATAATATTTGAGCTGTGCTTTGAAGGACAAGTAAGATTTCAAACAGGTAGACAAACAGGGAAAGACATTCCTGACAAAGGAAACATAAGCAAGGGCATATTGTAAAAGCATAAAAATTATTCAATATATTAATAGCATCCATCTTCAGAGTATGGCAAATAGTTCCATGTAGTTAGAATTATGTTATGTGGCCTAAGATAGCCTGGAAAAGGTAGAGTCTGGAATGTAAACAGCTGTGAATGCCATTCTATGGAGTTTGAATTTACCTTAGGGATAATGGAAGACTACCAAACCAAAGACTTACAAATAGGTGAGTAACTATAACAAGCTTTATGGTTTATTTTGTGCTTTTTTTCTTAAAGATAAAATTAAAAATTATAGAATTGCGGAAAATTTGAAAATACATATAAAGAAATATAAAATAAAAATCAGAAATAATCACTCTTTCCAGTGTCATGTATATTTACTCACACTTTTCTAGTAACTTTTTTTTTTTTTTAGATGGAGTCTCACTCTGTCACCCAGACTGGAGTACAGTGGTGTGATCTCCGCTCACTGCAACCTCCGCCTCCCAGGTCCAAGCAATTCTCCTGCCTCAGCCTCCTGAGTAGCTGGGATTACCGATGTGTGCCACCACACCCGGATAATTTCTAGTATTTTAAGTAGAGACAGGGTTTCACCATGTTGGCCAGGCTGGTCTCAAACTCCTGACCTCAGGTGATCCACCCACCTCAGCCTCTCAATGTGCTGGGATTACAGGCGTGAGCCACTGCGCCCAGCCTAGTAAGTTTTTACTAAAAATGGGATGGTATTATACTTACTGTTTTGTAACTGGCCTTTCCACTTAATAACACATTGTAAATATTTTTCCATGTTATCAAATATACATCTATAACATTAAAAATGATTACATATAATTCTGGTGAATACATGTATATCTATTGAGCTAATCAATCCCCTATTGTTGGACATTTATATGGTTCCCAATTTTTCTCATCTGTACCTTATTTTTATCCATGCTGTAATGAGCCCCTTAGCTATATGCATATCCTTAGTTAATTATGGCTCAGGATAAATTCCTACATGTAGAATTCCTGGATCACATGGGATGAACATATTTTAAGGCTTTTGATAAGAAGAAATACCCTTCAGAAAGACTAAGTATTTACACTCCTATAAGTAGTAAATGAGAGTACCTAGCTCCATGTAACCTCTCCCACACCAGAAACTAATTATCTTAATTAAAAACACCTGACCATTTGAAAATCAAAAAATGCTCAGTGTTGTTTTAATTTGCATCTTTGTTAATGAGATGTATATTCTTTCACATGCTTATTAGATTTACGTTTCAGAAGTGCTGGATCACAGGAGAAGAAAGATGATCAGAGGAAACTTCAGGTGGTGACACGGTGAGTCTGGCTATTGCTTTCAAGAGAGAGAGGGGCATATCTAGATTCAGCAAAATCTTGAGCAAGACAAAGATATGGTGTGAGAGATGGAGGCAGGGAATTGGGAGAAGACAATGAAAATGTATGTCATTGCTGTAAGGCTTGGAAAATGAATATTTTAAAAAGAATGTCTCTTTTGAAATGGGTATCCTTTGATAAAGTCAGGGACAGGTTGATTGAGGGAAAGCCAGGAAACTATTTCAGAGGAGGGTTTAAACTCACAATGAAACAGCTCTATCCTGTTATCATGAACGAAGGTAGGAAGGTGGGGAGGAGAAAAGGAAGACTGCTTGGTGACAAATGCAGATTGTGTCTACTTACTAGCATAGGAGATTTTAAAAAATTCAAATTAGTGCTTTTTTAACAAAACATGTAATTTCAGAGTAGACTATAATGTTGCTCAATAACTCAGAGAAGCTGTGAACTGAGGCCTAATTGCTTTGTTAATGCTCTTTGAGATGCATTAACTCCTTTCACCCCCTCAAAACTTAGAGGACAGGATGCAAATTCTTATTTGAGGTTGCTGTATCACAACTGAGTATACATGCAAATGGCTTAGGCTTCACATAAATATCCCTAATAAAAGCCCCAAAATATCTGTGTGAAAACTGTCCAAATTGTAGTTTGAGTTGCAGGTACGTATGAAGATGGCTCATTTGGGCCTGGCATGAAGTGAGGGTGGCTCTAAAGTTCTTAGAGGAGGGCTAGACTTACCAAGCCACAGTGGCTGGCCTTGGGAATTAAAGAGTAGTCTTTCACTTTCCCGCTGGCAGGCAGGAGCTGTATAAACATCACTGCTGATTATTCGCTGTAGGTGGCTATCCTGCCAATGTAATTCACGCCCCTCAATGGCTCTAGTGAATACTGTTCGTCTTGGTCTGGATAAGGAGTCTGGAGAAAGAAGAACATGCAGCAGTACAGTGACAGGCAATTTGAAGTTTTAAGCCCTGGGTCTTCTTCAGGGTGGGAGGTTGGCTGAATAATAGTATTTTAAAAGAATAACTCTGGCAGCAGTATTGAGAACAGGTTATAAGGAAGGGCAATGAGAGCAGCCACTTGCAATCTCTCTGAGTATCTGTTGTGTTGCCTCCTTCTTGGATAAGCTTTCAGTGTGTGTGTGCTCTTTATAGGAATAACCTTCCCACAGAGATCTATGGCTTACTTCCTCCTTCTACAGAAGACTAATTTCTCCTGAGATCCAGAAGCTACATGAAATAGAAGAGGAGTAGTGGTGCTTAGCCACTCAGTCATGAAGACACAAACTGCTTCTATCAAGGTCAAAGGTAGAGAGAAGAAGCTAGGTAATATCCCTGGCCAATCTGTAACTTGTTTCATACTAACTTTCCCTTATCAGACCAAGGACTTTCATGAAATTCATATTAAGAGTTGAAATAGAGCTGAAGCTATGGTGGCTCCTGCCTGTAATCCCAGAACTTTGGGTGGCTAAAGTGGGAGGATCACTTGAGGCCAGGAGTTCAAGACCAGCCTGGGCAACATAGCAAGACACTGTCTCTACAAAAAATAAAAATTTAAAAATTAGCCCAGCATGGTGGCACATGCCTGTAGTCCTAGCTACTTGGGAGGCTAAGGCAGGAGGACCACTTGAACTCAGGAGGTAGAGGCTGCAGTGAGCCAAGATTACACCACTGCACTCTAGCCTGGGTGACAGAGCAAAATCCCATCTCAAAAAAAAAAAAAAGAGAGAGAGAGAAAGAGCTGAAGCTCTGTATATTCAGGTACCTTTATTACACTGATATCTGCAGGCTTACAGTCTTCTTTCCCAATAAGAAAAAACTGATGAGGCCAGGTGTGATGACTCGCACCTGTTATCCCAGCACTTTGGAAGGCTGAGGCTGGCGGATTGTTTGAGTCCAGGAGTTTGAGACCAGTCTGGGGAATGTGGTGAAACCCGCTCTCTACAAAAAATATAAAAATTGGGCCGGGTGCGGTGGCTCACGCCTGTAATCCCAGAGCTTTGGGAGGCTGAGGTGGGCGGATCATGAGGTCAGGAGATCGAGACCATCCTGACCAACATGGTGAAACTCCGTCTCTACTAAAAATACAAAAAAATTAGCCGGGCATGGTGGCGGGCGCCTGTAGTCCCAGCTACTCTGGAGGCTGAGGTGGGAGAATGGCGTGAACCCGGAAGGCGGAGCTTGCAGTGAGCCGAGATCGCGCCACTGCACTCCAGCCTGGGCGACAGAGCCAGACTCCGTCTCAAAAAAAAAAAAAAAAAAAAAAAATATATATATATATATATATATATATATAAATATATATATATAAATATATATATATAAATATATATATATATATAAATATATATATATAAATATATATATATAGATTAGCCGGGCATGGTGGCGTGGCCTGTATTCCCAGCTATTCAGAGGGGCTGAGTCAGGAGGATCACTTGAGCCCAGGAGGTTGAGGCCACAGTGAGCCGAGATCATGCCACTGGTCTCCAGCCTGAGTAACAAAGCAAGATCATGCCTCAGAAAAAAGAAAAAGAAAAAACTGATGCTAATAAAAGACAAACTTGTTTTCTCACTGGAGTCTTATCTTACCATGCCATCTCCCTTCAGGAAAAGGGCTGCAGGGAAACCAAAACTGCAGACAAAAATGTAGGCTCAACTCTTAAGGGTGGTATGTAGGAGGACCAAATGGAAGATATCTTGCCACAAACCACAGACTTAGGGAGGATCATGGAAATGATATTTAAGGTAATAAGAAACCATGAGGGAGTCATTTAACTGATGCTTTGCCAGATTAATGGCAATTTAAACTATTTTGGGATCAAGAACTGAAGTATTATACTGTACGGACATTTCCAGAGATGCCCAAATGAGGTGTGTACCTACTGATTCTGTGCAAAAAAATTATGAGGGAATGTCAGAGAATTCATACTGAATATGAAAGAACTTAACATATTCAACCATTCGGGAAAAGTCCTTGGAATCTGGTCATTTCTTTAGAATTTAATACATCCCATTGGGTACAGGCTCAGATGGTTGAAGGATATTATCATTAGAGTAGCACTGACAGTATTTACTGAAATTGCTTCTCCTTCATGTTGTCCCTCACAGAAAGCACAATGACTCTTCTACTGGCTGGAATCTAAGCTCCTCTACTGCTGAACTGAGAATCCACCGGTCTGCTCAACCCACAGTGGGTACTGGGCTCCCAATATATTTTTAAATTGATTAAATCAGCAAATAATTTCTGCCTACTATACAGTAGGTACTGTTCTTAGTGTTTAGGACATACAAAGTTCCTGTCTTTATGGACCTTTACATTCAACTAGGGAGAGACAGTTAAGTAAATATATAGTATATCAGATATGTCGTACAGTTAAGAGTGCTATGAAAAAGTATAAAGCAGAGTTAGGGAGAAAAGCAAGCTGGTGTTAGGCAGGGGGTTATTGTTTTATTCATATATAGAATGGTCTCCAGGCAAAAGGAACCGCAAGCACTAAGTCCTAAGGTAGAAGTATATTTGGAGTGTTTGAGAAGAGTGAGGAGGCCAGTATAGTTGGATGGAATGAGCAAGCAGGAGAATCACAGGAGATGAGGTCAGAGACATATTAGAGAACTAGATCATGGAGGGCCATGTAGACCATGAGAAAAAGATGACTTTGGGTTTTTGAGAAAGATGAGAGGCCACTGAAGAGCTTTGAGCTGTGAAGGTATATGATGGGACTTGCATTTTAAAAGGATAACTCTGGCAGCAGTACTGAGAATAGGTTATAAGGTGGAAGGGCAGAAGAAGAGGGAGAAGTCAGGTGGGCACTACAATAATTTTTGAGAGATGATGGTAGTTGGCAGAGAAATAAAGAGTGGAGATGATGAGCAGTAGTTGGATTCTGGATATATTTCAAAGATAAAGGCAATATATTGGATTTGCTCATGGATTACAGCTGGGGTGAGAGAGAGTAAAGAATTAAGAATGACTCCAAGGTTTTTAAGAGAGTTGCCATATATGGAGACAGGAAGACTGCAAGAGGAGCAGGTTTGCGTGGGGCTTGAGGGGTAGGAATCCTACTGAGATGCCTGTTAACAGATAAATGGAGATATCAAAAAGGCAGTTAAATATACATATCTAGAGTTGAGAGGAAAGGTCTGGGCAAGATATGTGTGTGTGTGTGTGTGTGTGTGTGTGTATACACATATATGAGCTGTTAGTATGTAAATGATTACTAAAACAATGCAATCAACAAAGAAGTATAGAAAGAGAGGTGGTAGCCAGGCGCGGTGGCTCATTCCTGTAATCCCAGCACTTTGAGAGGCAGAGGTGAGCGGATCAGAAGGTCAAGAGTTCGAGACCAGCCAGGCTAACATAGTGAAACCCCATCTCTACTGAAAATACAAAAATTAGTCAGGCGTGGTGGTGGGCACCTGTAATCCCAGCTACTCGGGAGGCTGAGGCAGGAGAATCGCTTGAACCTGGGAGGCAGAGGTTGTGGTGAGCCAAGACCACACCAGTGCACTCCAGCCTGGGCAACGAACTCTGTCTCAAAAAAAAAAAAAAAAAAAAAGAAAGAGAGGTGGTCTGATGACAGATCCCTGGGCACTATGGCATTTTAGATTGGGAAATGGGGTAGAGACAGTAAAGACACTTCGAAGGAACGGTCAATGAACTGAGAACCGAGAGAGAATGGTTTCTTGGAAGTCAAATGACAA
This sequence comes from Homo sapiens, assembly GCF_000001405.40. Classification (NCBI taxonomy): domain Eukaryota; kingdom Metazoa; phylum Chordata; class Mammalia; order Primates; family Hominidae; genus Homo; species Homo sapiens. The sequence continues at coordinate 45,047,184 of NC_000001.11, forward strand.
AGTTTCAAGGAGAGTGTGACTAATGTGTCAAATACTGCGGATAGGTCAAGTATCAGTTGAGAACAACTACTAGATTTAGCAACAGTTAGCATTAGTAACAACTACTAGATTTAGCAACAGTTAGCATAAGTAACCGGTACAAGAGCTGTTTCAGTAATGGTAGGGATTGAAAGCCTGACTTGGAGTGAATTCAAGGGAGACTAAGAACAGAAGAAATGGAGATGGCAAATCTGTACTATTCTTTTTAATGATTTTTCCTAACTCTACCACCCATTTCTACCACCCAGAGAGGCACGTGGAGTCATGAGAGTGTTTTTTGTTTTGTTTTGGTATGGGAAATATAACAATATGCTTGTACACTCAAGAATAATTCATGGAGAGTGAAAAATTGGAGATGCAGGAGAGAGAGGAAATAATTTCTTGTTAATTCCTAGAGTGATGTCCTAGATAAAAGTGATGTAATAGGATCTTGAGAACAACTGGAGGGCTTGGATTTAGAAGCATAGACTGCAACAGGGGAAGAGGCAGAGTAGATGGGCAAAGACAGTAATTCTCTGACCTTCTAGAACAGTATTTCTTTTGACCCATCACCACCAGATGTGGTGGTGGAGTTTTGGAAATTCTCTTCTGATTGCTTCTTTATTTTTAGTAAACAGGAAGCAAGCCTCAGTTGAAACTGAGGAAGGAGAGGAAGTACAGAAAATTTTAGGAAAAAGATGGTGTGAAATAGTAATTTATAAGAGTGAAAGATGGCACAGACTAGGGAAATGTACTAGATGTCTAGAAAGTACTGAGGACCCACTTGAAATGAGTGGTCATAAACTTAAAATAAGACCAGTTATTATGGTTGTTTCTTTCTTTCTTTCTTTCTTTCTTTCTTTCTTTCCTTTTCTTTTCTCTTTTTTTTTTTTTTTTTTTGAGACAGGGTCTCATTTTGTTGCCCAGGCTGGAGTGCAGTGGCATGACCGTGGCTCATTGAAGCCTTGACCTCCTGGGCTCAAGCAATCCACGATACCTGGCTAATTTTTGTATTTTTTGTAGAGACAGGATTTCACCATGTTGCCCAGGCTGGTCTCGAACTCCTGAGTTCAAGGGTTCTGCCAGCCTTGGTCTCCCAAAGTACTGGGATTATAGGCAGGAACCACTGTGCCCGGCATGGTTGTTTCTCTCCAGCCATATTCAGCTGTGCAAGTGTACCAAGTAATTAGAGCTGGAATGAACTAAGTTTAGAGTTTTTCCATCAGTGTATCAAAGACAAAGAGGGAGTTAAGTGTGTATGCAAAGGAGTGATTGTAATGAGTTACCAAGGACTCTAACGTGGATGAGGAGGAAAATGAGGCTATCAGAGTGAAAACACATTTTGTCTTACACAGTAAGACAAAAATTCCTAGTGGGTAAAAGAATTATTGAAACTGGGATACTAAAGAAAAGAAGCTAGCAAGATTGATGGTGGTAACTGGTGATGCATGAAATTGAGATTATGAAGAGGGTGTAGTTTTTGGTAATGTCAAGGTTTAGGGTATGATTTTGAGGTTGAATGGCTAAGTTATGGTAGAGGATGAGACTACTGGAAAAGAGGAGATCAAATAATTGAGAGGCCAGGGTATTGGAAGGGTCATCTATGTGGCTACTGAAGTCATCAAGAATTATGATAGGAATCAGCATGGTGGCTCATGCCTATAATCCCAGCACTTTGGGAGGCCAAGGCAGGAGGATTGCTTCAGCTCAGGAGTTCGAGACTAGCCTGGGCAACATGACGAAACCCTGTCTCTACAAAAAATACACTCACAAAAAATATTTGGCTGTGAGTGGTGGCTTGCGCCTGTAGTCCCAACTACTCGGGAGGCTGAGATGGGAGGATCACTGAAGCCTGGGAGACAGAAGTTGCAGTGAGACGAGATCACGCCACTTCACTCTAGCGTGGGTGACACAGTGAGACCCAGTCTCAAAAAAAGAAATTAAAAAAAGAATTATGATCAGAATAGTGATAGAAAGTAGTATTACTAAGCCAATAGCTAAAAATCTTCAAGGACTGAGAGGGATTGACCCAGAGGTCTACAGATGACAAAAACCAGGATGGTGGCAGACAGTATAGTTTGATGGCAGAAACTTAAACCTGGGGGTATTTTAAGAAGGTAGGAAGAATTATGTAGAAATGACTATGAAGAATAGGCAGGAATCAACTGCTTCTCCAGCCCCAAAGGTAAAGGGATGTGAGAGAGGTATCAATCACATCCTGATTGATGTCATTGATATCAATCTGAGAAGGCTTTAGAAGCAGCAACATCTTCAAAGGAGAGCTAACAACAACAAAGAACCAATATATTATGACAAGGAAGAAACTGCCAGACCAGGCTGGTCGCGGTGGCTCATGCCTGTAATACTAGCACTTTGGGAGGCCAAGACGGGCAGATCACTTGAGGAGTTTGACACCAGCCTGGCCAATATGGTGAAACCCTGTATCTACTAAATATACAAAAATTAGCCAGGTGTGGTGGCCCACGCCTGTAGTCCCAACTACTCGGGAAGCTGAGGCAGCAGAATTGCTTGAACCTGGGAGGCAGAGGTTGCAGTGAGCCGAGATCGCAGTACTGCACTCCAGCCTGGGCAACAGAACAAAGCATGTGTTTGTATGCATTTGACCCTCTCTATGCTATCCAAAGCCACTATCAAAGAGATGGCTTCCTGTGTTGTGGAAGCTAGATGAATGCCAGGAAAGGGTAAAGAAGTGGCAAAATTGTAGCCTTTACCTCTTTCATTACCTTAGTTGTCTTAAATATACTGACAACTAATTATGGTACAGAATAAGACCAAACAAAAACAAAAATTTTCATGATTTCCTCCTTGAGACTGAAAATACCAATAGAGTTATTTGAAATAAAAGGAACTGCCAGGCGCAGTGGCTCATGCCTGTAATCCCAGCATTCTGAGAGGCTGACGGTGGGCAGATCACCTGGGGTCAGGAGTTCAAGACCAGGCTGGCCAACATGGCAAAACCCCATCTCTACTAAAAATACAAAAATTAGCCGGGCGTGGTGGCTCTCACACCTGAAATCCCAGCTACTCGGGAGGCTGAGGCATGAGAATTGCTTGAACCCTGGAGGCAGAGGTTGCAGTGAGCCAAGATCGCGCCACTGCACTCCAGCCTGGGGGATAGAGTGAGACCTTGTCTCCAAATAAAATAAAATAAAAGGAACCAATTGTAAAATCAGTGTCTGATAAAATCTTCTACCAATAAAGGCTCTCAATAGGCTAAAGAATAATCAATTGACAACATCAAATAGACTGAATTAGTTGAACTAAAACTGATACGAATGCTGATGTCAAGTGATGTCTGTAGGCGAGTGGGCTCAAAGGGTGGAGGGTATGGTATCACTGTACTGGATGTGTCTTAAAATGGGGCAGGAATCCTACCAATAATATGGGAGGATGATCCCACCCAGCTATTTGCTGTATAAAAATTTGAGGAAAACAGAAGTAAGAAAAGCTATGGTCAGGACACTTTTTAAAATTGCTTCTTACAGGTCTTTTGTTCCTCCCCTAAGTTAGGTCTCAGCTAAAACCAACCCCAACTGAAGCCAAGATATTTAATACATTAGACATGAAGAACCAGAAGAGTAGACCAGGAGTCACGCAGAGGCTCTAGGACATTATGCTGGGCACTGTAAGGACACTCTAGATGTGGAAAAGGACAGCAACTCAATGTCAAAGATAAAAGCTTATCCTTACTTAAGGTTCGGCATTTCAAGATGAATAAAAACACAGGCTTTTCTTATTTAGAATGGCAATTCTGACAGCTAAAAGGCTATCCAGCTACCATTGTTCTAGGGTTTACCCTCCCACCTTTTGAAGTTCCAGGTACAAAGAGCCTAAAAGGACACTTGGCTCACCTGGGCTGTGAATGGCACTCTGGGGAAGTGCATTGGTGATGTTGGGCAGCTCATGTCCATAGTTTCCATCCTCCAGGGGACAGACATCCAGGTCGCTCCACTTCTGCAGCTGCTGCAGCCAGCAGGATTTCTCCTCCAGTTTGCAGTGTGGATTTAAAATTATGCACACCCATAAAGCCCCTGGAAAATAAAGCAACCCATATTCTTAACATCTCTCCTTTGATGTGTGTGTAAGCCTTAATGTTTCAGTTTCATTTTTAGATGGTAGAGAAAGTTTCCAAAGCATTATCTTTTCTTAATATAAAAAACTTGCTAAGATTTTCAGAACTGGCTTGTTTTTCCTTCCCAACACTTCCTTAAAGTAGAGTGACTATCTTATTTCAATCTGTGTGCCTGTGATATAAAGACAGATTTAGGCTTGAACTCTGAGCTCAAATCTGCAGTGTAATAAATATTTATTAAGAGCCTCCTATGTTAAGGCTCTGTGCTGGTGAATAAAGCAGACACTGTTCCTACCCTTGAGGAACTGTCTAGTGAGGGAGACAGATAAATAAACATAATTCCATTTGAATATGATAAGTATTAAGATAAAGATATGTTCAGGGTATGAAAGCAGCATAGAGGAAGGGCATTTAACACAAGGACATGGTTGGAAGCGAGGAAGTCAGAAAAGGTTTTATTTTTTTGCTTAGCTGAACTTCCTGAGCTTCATCAAATCATTCAATTGTAAAACTGAGATCATAAAAATACCTACTTTGTAGGGATATTGTGAGAATTTAATGAGATAACCTTTGTAAAGGGTCTAGCATATTACCTAGCACATAGTAGAATCTTGGTATTTGCTTATCCAAGAAAAATAATTTATTTGGACTTGGATTTTCAAACTGCTGATAACTTGTGATGCCTTAAAACCATTACTTTCTTGGGATTTTTTTTTTTTTTTGAGACAAAGTCTCGCTCTTGCCCCCCAAGCTGGAGTGAGATGGGGCGATCTTGGCTCACTGCTGCAACCTCCACCTCCTGAGTTCAAGCAATTCTCCAGCCTCAGCGCCCCCCCTCGCACCCCACCCCCAACCCTAGTAGCTGGGATTACAGGCATCCGCCACCATGCCCGGCTAATTTTTGTATTTTTAGTAGAGATGAGGTTTCACCATGTCGGCTAGGTTTGTTTAGAACTCCTGACCTCAGGTGATCCACTCGCCTTGGCCTCCCAAAGTGCTGGGATTACAGGCGTGAGCCACCATGGCTGGCTGCAGTATGTCTTAATATAAACATCCTTTAGGATGTAGTTACATCCATGGATAGAAGTACATTTGGACACTATTTCAAAGCCTCTCAAAGCCAAATAGGAATGTTTTGAAAAGCCATCTTAGCCTCAATTTCAGATATTAATTGAAGATGAAAATTAATTTCTGGCTGGGTGCTGTGGCTCACACTTATAATCCCAGCACTTTGGCAGGCCAAGGAGGGCAGATCACTTGAGCTCAGGAGTTTGAGACCAGCCTGGGCAACATGGTGAAACCCTGTCTCTCCCAAAAATACAAAAAATTAGCTGGGCATGGTGGTATGCACCCAGCTGGTCCCAGCTACTCAGGAGGCTGAGGTGGGAGGATTGTTTGAGCCCAGGAGGTGGAAGTTACAGTGAGCCGAGATCACACCACTGCACTCCAGCATGGGTGATGGGAAAAAAAAAAAAGAAAAAACCCTCATTTCTATTTTTTCAATTCAATTTTTTAAATGTACCATGAAAAAGAAACTATATTATGTGTTGGGTGCAGTGGCTCACTCCTGTAATCCTAGCCCTGTGGGAGGCTGAGGTGGGCGGATCACCTGAGGTCGGGAGTTCAAGACCAGCCTGACTGCCATGGAGAAACCCCGTCTCTACTAAAAATACAAAAAATTAGCCAGGTGTGTTGGTGCATGCCTGTAATCCCAGCTACTTGGGAGGCTGTGGTAGGAGAATCGGTTGAATCTGGGAGGCGGAGGTTGCAGTGAGCTGAGATCCCGCCATTGCACTCAAGCCTGAGCAACAAGAGTGAAACTCCGTCTCAAACAAAAAAAAAAAAAAAAAGAAAAAAGGAACTGATACTTACAACAGTGACTCTTTAGGGGATTATAGTAACATTTATTTTACAGTTTAAGAAGGGCTTTTCATCTATAGTGTAGAAACAGATTTTCATATTTAATCTTCACAGGTAAAAAAGAGGACCAAAAAAAGAAGCTACTAAATCTGGCAACTTCAGAAGAACTCTGGTGACCTTAGGAATGGCAAAATCAATAGGATAATAGGAATGGAAAACAGATTAGGTGAGATGAGAGGCTTAAGAGGTAAAGAAACAGGGTGCTAATTCTAGTCCTGGAGGAGTTCCAATTTCCTAGGCATTTTGATATTAAGAAGGGGATCCTGGCCGGGTGCGGTGGCTCATTCCTGTAATCCCAGTGCTTTGGGAGGCGGAGGCAGGTGGATTGCTTGAGGTCAGGAGTTCGAGACCAGCCTGGCCAACATGGTGAAACCCCATCTCTACTAAAAATACAAAAAATTAGCCAGGCATCATAGTGTGTGCCTATAATCCCAGTTACTCAGGTGGCCAAGGCAAGAGAATCTCTTGAGTCCAGGAGGCAAAGGTTGCAGTGAGCCAAGATTGAACTACTGCACTCCAGCCTGGGCGACAGAGCGAGACTCTGTTTCAAAAAAAAAAAAAAAAAAAAAGGATCCCTAGAAAGTGAGCACAAGTACTTTCACCTATAAGTTACAAATGAGTTTTCTGTCTTATTAATTACATCCTTATAAATTTGTTTCAATACAATTACAACCCTGAGAAAGAGACAAAGCAAAAAATCCTACTAGTTGCCTGTATAAAACATCACTCACAAGACTGTTATCAGTATCCAGAAGCATATTTTCCTACAACTTAAAAAAAAGTGTTGGCTTGGTACAGTGTCTCATGCTTGTAATACCAGTGCTTGGGGAGGCTGAGGTGGAGGATCACAAAGCCAGGAGTTTGAGATCAGCCTGGGCAACATAGTGAGACCCTACCTCTACAAAAAATTAGAATTGGCTGAGTGTGATAGCCTCTGCCTGTAATCCCAGCTACTTGGGAGGCTGAGGTGGAAGTATTTCTTGATCCCAGGAGTTTGAGTTGCAGTGAGTTATGATCACACCACTGTATTCCAGCCTAGGGGACAGTGAGATCCTGTCTCAAAGTAAATCAATAAAAATAAATTTGGCCTGGGCGTGGTGGCTCATGTCTATGGTCCCAGCACTTTGGGAGGCCGAGGCAGGTGGATCACTTGAGGTCAGGAGTTTGAGACCAGCCTGGCCAACATGGTGAAACCCTGTCTCTACAAAAGTAGAAAAATTAGCCGGGCGTGGTGGTGCGCGCCTGTAGTCTCAGCTACTTGGGAGGCTGAGGCAGAAGAATTGAGTGAACCCAGGAGGCAGAGGTTGCAGTGAGCTGAGATCGCACCACTGCACTCCAGACTGGGCAACAGAGTGAGACACTTTCTCAAAAAACAACAACAAAAAATTTTAAAAGTATCAAAAACTCAAAGCAAAGGTAGCTACTATGGAAATTAAAATTTTACGTAATTATTAAATATTAAATATAATAAAATAATAGCTATCACTGATTTCTTTTCATCAGCTAGGAATTAAGGTGTTAAGCACTTTATCTCATTCAGTCCTCTAACTCTGAGGATCAACAGGTCTTGGTTTGGATGTAAAAGAAAATAGGGAATCAAGGATAACCCTTAAATTTTCTTCTTGAGCAATGATGGAGTCTCGCTCTGTCACCGAGGCTGGAGTGCAGTGGCATGATCTCAGCTCACTGCAATGTCTGCCTCCCAGGTTCAAGCGATTCTCCTGCCTCAGCCTCCTAAGTAACTGGCATTACAGGCACCTGCCACCATGCCCGGTTAATTTTTTGTATTTTTTTTAAGATGGAGTCTCATTGTGTCGCCTAGGCTGGAGTGCAGTGGCACGGTCTTGGCTCACTGCAAGCTCGCCTCCCGGGTTCATGCCATTCTCCTGCCTCAGCCTCCCGAGTAGCTGGGACTACAGGCGCCCACCACCATGCCTGGCTAATTTTTTGTATTTTTAGTAGAGATGGGGTTTCACCGTGTCAGCCAGGATGGTCTCAATCTCCTGACCTCGTGATCCGCCTGCCTTGGCCTCCCAAAGTGCTGGGATTACAGGTGTGAGCCACTGTGCCCGGCCAGTTTTTTGTATTTTTAGTAGAGACAGGGTTTCACCATGTTGGCCAGGCTTGTCTTGAACCCCTGACCTCAGGTGATCTGCCTGCCTTGTCCTCCCAAAGTGCTAGGATTACAGGCGTGAGAAACCGTGCCTGGCCATTGAGCAACAAGATAATACATCTTGATGCTATATATTGAGATGGCGACAACAAGGGGAAAACAAGGCTTTGGCAGGAAAATTAAGAGTTCTGTGATGTCTGTATTAACTTTGAGATGTTTCTTAGAAGTGATGGGCAGCTGGACACAGCCTGGAGCTCAGGGGAAAGATCAGGGCTAGAGACATACATTTGTGATTTATCTGCATCTGGATAGTATTTAAAGCCATGGGACTGAATATATAATCATTTAGGTAGAGAACGTAAACAGGAAAGTGGATGCTGGGGGGCACTCAATATTTAGAAGGGTTGAGGAAAGGCAGAGAAGTCTGCAAAGGAGACTGAGTGAAAGTCACCAGGAACACAGTGGGGAAACCCAGTGGGTATGCAGTTATGGAAACCAAGAGAAGAGTGTTTCAGAAAGAGTATGGGCATGTGGCTCGTGCCTGTAATCCCAGCACTTTGGGAGATGGAGGCGGTAGAATTGCTTGAGGCTAGGAGTTCAAGACCAGCCTGGGTAACATAGCGAGACCCTGTTGCTACAAAAGGAAGGAAAAATAAAAGAGTATGGTCAAGTATACTGAAAACTGCTAAGCGTTTTGAAGTAAGATAAGAACAGAGAAGTGACTGTTGTATTTAGCAATATGGAAATTATTTGTGATTTCGACAACAGCTACTTCAGGAGACTGGCAGCAATGGGCAATGGAAACCCAACTGGAGTGGGCTCAAGAAAGAATGGAGGGGAGCAAATGGAAAGAGTGACCACAGATAATTTTTTAAAGAAGTGTTATTTCAAAGGGGAGAAGAGAAATGGGTTAATAGTTGGTGAGGACAGTTGGAATATCAAAGGAGTATTTTTTAAAATTTGAGATCAAAGATATTAGAGCAGGTGAGGCACGGTGACTCACGCCTGTAATCTCAACACTTTGGGAGGCCGAGGTGGGTGGATCACCTGAGGTCAGGAGTTTGAGACCAGCCTGGCCAACATGGTGAAACCCCATCTCTACTAAAAATACAAAAATTAGCTGGGCCATGGTGATGCATGCCTGTAGTCCCAGCTACTCAGGGGGCTGGGGCAGAAGAATTGCTTGAACCCAGGAGGCAGAGGTTGCAGTGAGCCAAGACTGTGCCACTGCCAAGACTGCGCCACTGCACTCCATCCTGGGTGACAGAGTGAGACTCTGTCTCAAAAAAAAAAAAAGATATTAGAGCATATTTGTATGCTGATGGAAATGATCCTGTAGAGAGAAAAAAGTTAATAATGCCCAAGCAAAGAAATAATTGTAGGAGCAACATTCTTGAGAAAAGGAGATAGAACAGAACCCAGAGCAAACACGTAAGGGTTGGCCTTTCATGACAGCAGAGATACTTTATGGATTTTAATAGAGGAGAAGGCAAACCATATGGGTAGAGACATAGAAAGCATTAGTAGATTTGTAGGTGGGGAGATGATGAAACTTCATGTGTGATCGGTCCCATTTTCTCTAGTTCAGAAATGGAAAGTAGTGAGCCATTTCTCTCTACATTTGTAGTTCCTACAAACCCTGCCTAGGTTCTCCATAGGTGTATAGGCCTTGTGATCTGTAAGGAGCCCTAAGAATAGCTAGGGGAGCCCTTAGAATAGTTAGGGGAAGCATGAATGCACTGTGTTCTAGTGTCTAACCTAATAAGCCTTCTCTAAGTGCAGTGGTTCTCAAAGTGTGGTCTCTGGATCAGCAGCATCAGCATCCCCTGGGAATTTGTTTGAAATGCAAATTCTCAGGCTCCACTCCAAACCTACTAATTCAGAAACTCGGGATAGGGCCCAGTGATCTGTTTAAACAAGTACTCCAGGTGATTCTGAAAGGTTTGAGAACCACTGTCTTAGCAGAATGCTGAGGGTTTCTTGGATGGTAGGTACAGTAATTTGTTAGATATGAAAATGCCAGAAGCAAGAGTTTTTCATAATGAACCCAAGTATATAACAAGAGTTTCAAAAGCACCAGGAGCCATCTCTACTTACTTCCTCCCAACTACCTTTGTCCCAGAGGTAAAGCCCAAGTTCACAGCACAATCCTGTGACTGGTTCAGAAATTAAGACATTCAGGCCTCAGATGAAACTGACTCTCCCAAGGCTAACTTCAAGTTCTTAAGGAACATGCACTTTGAAGAAATAAAAGGACTTAAGATAGAATTGAGGGAGATGTTACAGAGGGATATTTGATTTAAAGTCAGACAGATTGGGCTTCCAGTGTTAGAGCCAAAACTTACTAGTGTGTGACCCTGAGTTCAGGGTATGGAAGATTCTGAAAGCAGGGCAAGAAGTATTAGCATTGCAAAACTGGTCTTAGAGCAAGGGAATGCTAAAGAGAAATGATGGCCACAGAGGACTGCCTTGATGAGGGAGAACCTAGAACAGTGAGGCCATTAGAAGGTCACAGTTCTAATCTAATCTAAAAGTTTCACGGGGGAATGGACACTACATTGCATTTTAAAGGTTGAGAAATCAAATAAAGTTGGTCACTGGATGTAGGGAATGAAAGAAAAATGAGTGCTTAGCAATAAGTTTGGTAAAGTAAGGAATGGTGGTGCCAATGCCAGTCACAAGAGCCTTTTTTTGTAGGAGAAAGCCCAAGTTCATTTTTGATTTCTCATTGGAAATGGTCAGTGGACATCTACTCATGTGGGACTATAACTCAGATGAGTAGAAAGAATATAAAGGTGAAATGACCATATAAGTAAGCTCTGAAGCTATGATATTTTAAAAAAAGTTATCAAGGGAATATAATGAAGGAAGAATAGAAGGTTAAGTCCAAGTATTGGAAACTGCCCTACGTCTTAAAGGTCTGGCTGGGAGTGATACAGAACAGCAGACTCGGGAAAAGCAACAAAAGTGAGGCTGATAAGTATTTGGAGAGCCAGGTTACTGCCATGAAACAGAAGACAAGCAAAGAGGTTTTCTCTCAACAAAGGTTTCCACTTGTTAACATCTGGAACAGAATGCTTGATGTCAATAGCAAAGCACAATGCTGTGGAAGCAACAAAAGTGAGTTCAGTGTTACTCTGGGTGGCCTCTGTAGAACCTAAGTCTTCTACCAGCTGGACTTAGCAAGATCCATGCAACGACTGATGGCAAGGGCTCATAAACACTGTTGCCACAGGGCAAGATGGTAGAACAAAGCACTTCTCTGAATGATGGGAACTTACCTAGCTCATCCCAGAGCTGCCTGCACTTGTCTGTCATGTTTGTTCCTTGCTGCCTCCAGAGTGTGAGTCGTGGGTCAGCCACAAACTGCTCAGTTATTAGTGTCAGCATCCTTGCTCCATTGGAATCTCTCATCCGCAGCATTTCTCGAACCTGACACATAAGAAGTGGCAAGGGATTGGTGATTGTGTATCACAAAAAAGTAGGAGGAGAAGGAAGTGGGGGAGGGGGAAGTGAAGATGAAGTATCTGAGTACACCATATCCAAAAGAGCCAGAAAGAAGGCCTCTTGTTCTGTAAGCAAGATCTCTGCATGTACCAAGAAAGCCTGATGTTCACAATAAGATACCACTTCACACCCACTAGGATGGCTAGAATTAAAAAGTCAGATAACAAGTGTTGGACAGGATGTAAAGAAATTGACACATCATACACTGTTGGTAGGAACGTAAAATGATGCAGCCACCTTGGAAAACAGACTGGCAGTTCTTCAAATGATTAAGCATAGAGTTACCATATGACCCATCAATTCCACTCCAAGAAAGAAATGAAAATATATGTCCACATAGAACCTTATACAAGAATGTTTATAGCAGCACTATTCATAATAGCCAAAAGGTAGAAACAACTCAAATGTTCACTAACAGATGAATGGATAAATAAAACGTAGGGTATCCACATTTTGAACAATAAATCCACATTTATTGTTCAGACATAAAAAGGAATGAAGTACTGATTCATGCTATGACACTGATGAATCTTAAAAACATTATGCTGAGTGAAGGAAGCCAATCATAAAAGACTACATACTATATGAATGATTCCATTCATATGAAAGTCCAGAATAGGGAAATCTATAGAGACAGAAAGTAGATTAGTGGTTTCTTAGGGCTGAGGGAGGGAGACATAGAGGACAAGGGAGGGATAGGTAAGGGTATAGGGTTTCTTTTTGAGGTGATGAAAATGTCCTAAAGTTGATTGTGGTGATGGTTGCATATAACTATGAATATACTAAAAACCACTGAACTGAATTTTAACACTTTAAATGGGTGAATTGTATAGTATATGAATTATATCTCACTGAAGGTATTAAGGGGAAAAAAAAGAAAAGAAAAACAGCCTGCTGTGAGAGCCCCTAGTTTCAAAATATTAAGTGTCTTTAGGAACAATGTTGAAACTCTAGTCTTCAGGCTTCATCAGGCAGCACTGGATTAAAAGCAGAGGGAAGGTAGTTTCCTTGCTAAAATGCCCCAGCAATACTAACTCTTTTAGAGAGCAGAGCAGAAGGAACAGGACTACCAGGTTGAGGTGGGAGGCCTCCTTGGATGCAACCTGCTCAGGTCTGGTCAGCCTCTCCCACTAGATTTCAAGTATTCAGTTCAGCTATGTCAAGTGAGCTAGGTATAATGCATGAAGCCTGAAGTGTGGTGTGCCCAGTCTGACTTAAGCTTCTTTTGTCAACAACAAAAGAAAAACACCTTTTCATATCTTACCTTGGCAAACATTGAGTTGAGTTGCTTTCCAGAGCCACAGTAACCGCCCTGGGAGAGAAAAAGCTTCACTTGTTCTTTCACCTGTTCTTCATCCAAATGCCAACAGTTCTCATCGTCAATGCTGGCCCCAGCTGTGGGGTCAGGGGCACCTATGAAGAATGAGAACAGTGAAATGAATCACCTGAGTTCACATGCTACACATTCAGCTGGAGGGGCACTTTGTGAGCATATTCAAACAGAGATGGGTCATTCTGCTTTAATATGGGTTTTGTCAACTGTATAGTCCTAAACAAAATAAATAAATACATAAAATTAATTTTTCAAAAAGCCTAAATTAAAAGATCTAATGCTACTTGCATGTTCACTTAAGTCTCAGTTATAGCTTCATCTAAGATCTACAGATACCACTGTAGGGGAAAAAAGGTTAGAAGAGATATACAATATGCAAATTGTGCATTTTTTTCCCCAGGAGAGTGACATTTTGTTTCTTCTTTTTGCTTTTCTATGAAGTTCAAATATGCCTTACTAGGCACACATTATTTTAAAATAAAAATACATTCTTTGAACATGAAAAGTTCTTTTTGTTTGTTTGAGACAGGGTCTCACTCTGTCACCCAGGCTGCTGGAGTGCAGTAGCGTGATCATGGTTCATGGCAGCCTCGACCTCCCAGGCTCCATCGATCCTTCCACCTCAGCCTCCCAAGTAGGTGGCACCACAGGAGAGGGCCACCATGCCCAACTATTTTAAAACAATTTTTTGTAGAGACAGGGTTTTGCCATGTTTCCCAGGCTGGTCTCAAACTCCTGGGCTCAAGCAATCCTCCCAACTCAGTCTCCCAAAGTACTGGGATTATAGGCCAAAAAAATTCTGTTTTTTTAAAGTTCACTAGAAAATTGTCCCCTAAAGCATAAGTAGAGTTTCATACAGGGTGATATGATTTTATAAATTTATATAAAATATATTTTCATATTGAGCTCACCTTGACAAAACCACTTAAAACATAGTTATAGTTATTTACACATCCCTCTCTCCTAGTAGTCTGTTAACTCCTTACTCACAGTTGAATCCCCAGTTGAATCCAAAGCTGTATCACCTATAGCATAGTGCTGATAATGTGACAAGCACTCTGAAAATGTCTGTGAAATGAAAACTGAATCATCTTTCACTCTCTTATAGACAGAGTGCTGTAACAATTTGTTTTTTAAAAAATTTTAACTGACAAATAATTGTGTGTATATATGGGGTACAATGTAATGTTTTAATCTATGCATACTTTTTTTTTTTTTTTTGAGACAGAGTCTCACTCTGTCATCCAGGTTGGAGTGCAGTGGCACGATCTCGGCTCACTGCAACCTCCACCTCCTGGGTTCAAGTGATTTTTGTGCCTCAGCCTCCCAAGTAGCTGGGATTTCAGGCATGTGCCACCATGCCTGGCTAATTTTTGTATTTTTGGCAGAGATGGGGCATCGCCATGTTGGCCAGGCTGGTCTCAAACTCCTGGCCTCAAGTGATCTGCCTGCCTTGGCCTCCCAAAGTGCTGGGATTACAGGTGTGAGCCACCATGCCCACCCAGCCTGACCTATGTATACATTATAGGAAGATTTGATCAAGCCAATTAACATACCCATCACCTCACCAGTTTTTTTTTTTTTTTTGATGTGGTAAGAATGTTAAAAATCTATTTTAGTACTTTTGAAATATACATTATTGGTTGGGTGCAGTGGCTCATGCCTGCACTCCCAGCACTTTGGGAGGCTGAGGCAGGTGGATCACTTGAGGCCAGGAGTTTGAGACTAGCCTGACCAACATGGCGAAACCCTCCTCTACCAAAAGTACAAAAATTAGCTGGGTGTAGTGCTGTATGCCTGTAATCCCAGCTACCTGGGAGACTGAGGCACGAGAATTGCTTGAACCTGGGAGGTGAACATTGCAGTGAGCCGAGATCGTGCCACTGCACTCCCGCCTGGGCAACAGAGTGAGACCCTGTCTCAAAAACAACAAAAATGACAACATTATTATTAACTGTGGTCACCATGTAGTGCAATAGATTACTAAAACTTATTCTGTGACAAGTTTTTAGAAACCTACCTCCAAGTGACAATAGTCCATAAATCAATACTCTATAGGTGTGGTCATGCCATAGGTTACAAATTCATGTCATGTTTAATCAGTTTGCCTTACTCCTCGTCTCCCTATGTCAGAACTCTGCTTAAATAAAATTTGGGTCAGCACAACAAAGCTACTCCTTTGCTATGCTTTTTTGTAGTATATCTTATTCTCTAGGGAATTAGGAGGGCTCACATATTCACTCATTCCACAAATACAAATTAACACATATGATCTGCCACTTTATTGTATCTATTCTATGCTACTTTTCTTCAAATGTCTTATTCTAAACATAGTTTTTTGTTGTTTGTTTTAGACAGGGTCTCACTCTGTTGCCCAGGCTGGAGTGTAGTGGTGCCATCATGGCTCACTGCATCCTCAACCTCCTGCGCTCAAGTGATCCTACCACCTTAGCTTCCCAAGTAGCTGGGACTAAAGACATGCACCACTATGCCCAACTAATTTATTTTTAAATTTTTTTTGTAGAGATAGGGTCTTGCTATATTGCCCAGGCTGGTCTCGAACTCCTGGGCTCAAGAGATCCTCCCACCTCAGCCTCCCAAAGTGTTATTACAGGCATAACCCACCATACCTGGCCGAGTTTTTTAAAAAATAATTTCAACTCTTATTTTAGATTCAGGGGATATACGTACAGGTTTGTTACATGGGTATACTGTGTGATGCTGAGGTTTGGGGTAAAAATGATCCCATCACCCAGGTAGTGAGCATAGTACCCAATAGGTACTTTTTCAGATCTTGTCCCTTCCTTTTCTCTCCTCTCGAGGAGTTCCCAGTGTCTACTGTCCCCATCTTTATGACCATGTGTAACCAATGCTTAGCTCCCACTTATAAGTGAGAACATGTGGTATTTGGCTTCCTATTTCTGAATTAATTTACTTAGGATAATGGCCTCCAGCTGCATCCACATTGCTGCAGAGGAAATTATTTTGGTCTTTTTTTAATAGCTGCATTGAATTCCATGATGTATATGTACCATATTTGCTTTATCCAATCCACTGCTGTTGGGCACCTAGGTTGATTCCACGTCTTTGCTATTGTGAATATGAGTGCCTGTATCTTTTTGGTAGAATGATTTATTCTCCTTTGGGTATATGCCCAGTAATGGGATTGCTGGGTGGCATCATAGTTCTGTTTTAAGTGCTCTGAGAACTCCCCAAATAAACATAGTTCTGATCATAATCACTTCCCTGCTCAAAAGTATTCAGTCATGCCCTATTCTTACTAAATTACGTCCAAATGCCCTAGCATGCCATTCAAGGCCCTCTATGCTCAGGCCCTATCTTTTATTTTTCATCTTGTCTTCCCCTACACTTATGATATGCTTCAGCCAGAAAGACTGTTCCCAGAAGTCAACCACATTGGCTTATGACATTCTTTTCCTCCTCCTTCCTCTAACCTGTTCTTTGACCAAAAAACCCAACCGTTCTCATTGTTAATATTACTTCAGCTCCAGAGTCAGGGCCGCAATGAGAAACAGAAACCATAGGAAGGCGCAGTGGCTCACACCTGTAATCCCAGCACTTTGGGAGGCTGAGGCGGGCGGATCATGAGGTCAGGAGATCGAGACCATCCTGGCTAACACAGTCTCTACTAAAAATACAAAAAATTAGCTGGGTGTGGTGGTGGGTGCATGTAGTCCCAGGTACTTGGGAGGCTGAGGCAGGAGAATGGTGTGAACCCGGAAGGCGGAGCTTGCAGTGAGCCGAGATTGCGCCACTGCACTCCAGCTTGGGCGACAGAGTGAGACTCTGTCTCAGAAAAAAAAAAAAAGAAATCATAAAATTAGTGTACAGAGAGGCTAACACTGCTGAGGTTCATGTATTGCCAGTTTACTTGGCAACAGATTTCTTTTTTAACCTTCTCACTGAATTAGCCATATACTCCATTGCCACCTGCCGAAAGTATGCCCATCTTATTACGCTCATGTGCTCAGCATATAAAGGCAATAACTCTATTTTTTGTATTTGTATTCTCCTGATATTCATTCACTTACTAATTAACATTCTACATAGTACTTTATTATTACGTTCCTTAAATGTTCTTCATAGCACTTTATTATTACTTCTCTTGCACCTTGTTTTACATTAGAATTTTGCATTTCTCATATATTCCCAACTAAATTGAAATTTTTTAAAAATAGGGATTCATTTTTGTACTTCACAGTGTCAGGCTCATCACAGCACTGAGTTAATATTTATAGAATGAACAAATACATATCTCACTAAGCACCACATAGGCATATATTGTGTCCTATGCTTCTTTTATATCCCAAAAGTGGCAAAAGAAAACAAATATACTCCTTATCCTTAAATATTTGTAAGTAACAAGAATTTATTGAGTTCTTTCTGTATGCTAGAGGCACTTTTTATACATATACCCATTAGAATGTATGCTCCTTGAGGGCAAAAGTTTTTGTTTGCTGGTATATTCACAACACATAGAAAGGTGCCTGCCATATAGTAGGTGCTCAATAAATATTTATCGAATAAATTCCAAGGAACCTTCATAACAACTCTATGAGGCCATATTATTCTCCTAATTTTAAAATGAAGAAACTAAAGTTTAGACAAGGTAACTTAGATGTAAAGTATATCAGCCAGGATATATATATTGGTCTCTTTCCAAAGCCTGTCTCTTTACTACAAGGCTATACTTTGGCCTTCAGTCTCATACCGCTGGATTCACTAGTTGGTTTTAGGTCCCCTGAAGCTGTAACTGATGGTGTATCTGAAGATAGCCAAATCCCATATTTTCTCAGCTTATTCTGCTACAGAGAATATGGAATTAGTCAGAATAATGCATTTTTCCCACAGTGAGGATAATTAGAGTTCTTACCAGTACAGTGATTCTCAGATATTAATATACAAAATAATTACTTGGGGTTTCTGTGAAAAATGCAGGTTATGGAGTCTAACTCCTAACAATTCTGGTTTTCAGGAGATCCATAGAGATAAAACTGAGATAAACCAGGTTAAACCAAGGACTGGGTTGTTGAGTACCTTGGAGCTAAGGATTGGGGTTGGAATGAACAGCAATGGTGCTCCAGCAGCAGAGGGCAGAGATGGTTTGAATACCAATTCTGACCCTGGGGTGGTTAAGTTAGGATATGAAAAAGCAGGAACAGGATCTAGTCTTTTAGGGCAGTCGGCCTTAAACAACTGGCTGGAAGTGTGGACTGACACCCTCTCCTCTAAGGGTTTGAAGGGGTATGGAAAAAAGTGGAGAACATTTGGCACCCAGGTGATGATAACGGCAGTAGCTGTGGAAGAAATAAGGCACAGTTTATAAATACCTAGTGTATATCTATGGAAAACTGCTGGGATAGGGCTAGGAAGAGGCAAAACCTTGAGAGTTACTAACAGTACAACTTCACCTAAACTTCAAAAGGGTTTGTTTATTTGATAGGAGAGAAAGGAAAGTAAATTGTACAAATGTTTGCTGGCCTACAATGGACCCCAGGAGAAACTGAGCTGCTAAAATGGGTGACAGCAGCAAAAAAGGAAGTGAGTTAATATTTGGGGCATCGAGGTAACAAACTACAAGGAGTTGGTGTGATTGCTGAGGCAAGCAAAGTCATTTGGGAAGAGAATGAACTGGCAAGAGACCCCATGGAGAATTTTCTTTTTTTTTAATTCTAATTTTATTATTATTATACTTTAAGTTTTAGGGTACATGTGCACAATGTGCAGGTTTGTTATATATGTATACATGTGCCATGTTGCTGTGCTGCATCCATTAACTCGTCATTTAGTATTAGGTATATCTCCTAATGCTATCCCTCCCCCCTCCCCCCACCCCACAACAGTCCCCGGAGTGTGATGTTCCCCTTCCTGTGTCCATGTGTTCTCATTGTTCAATACCCACCTATGAGTGAGAACATGTGGTGTTTGGTTTTTTGTCCTTGCGATAGTTTGCTGAGAATGATGGTTTCCAGTTTCATCCATGTCCCTACAAAGGACATGAACTCTTCATTTTTTATGGCTGTATAGTATTCCCCCCCATGGAGAATTTTCTAAGACATTTTCATTTTCATTTCTAAGACATTTTCATTTATTCAGCCAATATTTATAGAGAGCTTGATATGTACAGAACCTGTGCCTGTGCCAAATACTGGATATATAATGGTAAACAAAGCAGATACGGAGCTTATAGTTGGGGAGAGAGACCTGAAGCAAATAATCACATGTACACATTTTTGTGTGGAAAGGAAGAAGAGTCAAAGAAGGCTTCTCTGAGAAAGTGACATTTAAGCTGACACTTGAAGAATAAATAGGAGTTAGCCTGGCAGAGAGTGGAAGAAATACTGTGTACTTTTTGTTCAAAAAAAACATTATGTCATAAATTGGTAATTAAATACAACTATAATAAGGGAGGGAGGATAGAAATAGTATGGGAAAGGAGGATATTCTCTCAAGGAGAGGGAATATCATGTGAAAATGCAGGCAAAAGCCAGATCATGCAAAGTTTTGTATGCCACAGAAATTTGGACTCGATCCTAACAGTAATAGGAGGCCACTGAAGGATGGTGGTGTGAAGAATGGAATAGAGGGGATTAATAGTGGAAATTGAAAGATCAGTTAGATTGGCTACTATAGCAATTTACGTGAGAGATTATAGTGGTTTGATTTAATAGGGAGAAGTAGAAAATTATGAAATATATTTCAGAGGTAAAATTAACATATCTTGCAATATATTGCATGTGGAATACACAAAAGGCAAAGGTGTTAGGAGTAACTACAAGGTTTTCATCATGATTCCATGGCTAGATGGTGGTGCTATATGGTGAATACAGGAGGATAAATAAATTTGGGGAAGAAGATAATAAAATCACATTTGGGTATGTTGATCTTGGGATGCCTTTATGACATTAAATAGTTGGATATAGAGTCTAACGCTCAAAAGATATGGGCTGAAGAAATACATGTGTGAGGTTGGGCACAGTGGCTCATGCCTGTAATCCTAGCACTTTGGGAGGCCAAGGTGGGTGTGTTGCTTGAGACCAAGAGTTCAAGACCAGCCTGGGCAACACAGTGAGACCCTGTCTCTATAAAAAAATACAAAAATTAGCCAAGCATGGTGACATGAGCCTGTAGTCCCAGCTACTTGGGAGGCTGAGGTGGGAGGATCACCTGAGCCCAGGGAGACTAAGGCTGCAGTGAGCTGTGATTGTGCCACTGCATTCCAGCCTAGGTGAGAGAGTAAGACCCTGCCTCAAAAAAAAAAAAAAAGAAAGAAAGAAAGAAAGAAATACATTTGTGTGTCTTGGAATGTAGATAATATTTGAAGACAAGGATGTAACTGAGATTGCCTACAGAGATCATATAAAATAAGAAGAGGAGAAAATGTAAGATTAATCTATAAGAAATGTCAATATTCAAAGGTCACAGTAGAGGACAGCATTAAGGAATAAACAAGGGCACAAATCATTTAAGTAGATAAACTAGGTGTGGAGTTCACAAACTGGCTTCTTCAGCTATCTCTCACTAACTCCCAGGCAGCATCTTTTCTAAAACTCCTTTCTTTAGTTTAAAAATCAAATTAAATTAAAATGCCCTTATATGTTCACTGGTTAGAATATTTTAGTCTTTTCACAGAAAGAGATGAGTATGAAACCACTTATCTTTAGTAACAGTAAATTAGACCTAGTCAATGTAAATGATACTTTAACATTATAGTCTGAATTTTTTCCTAAGGACTAAAACTAATAAGAGAAATGGTGACAAGTGAAGATAAGATAGAAAGGATGTCTTTTATAAATAATTATGAAACAAACCATTGTGTGGGTTCAGCCTCCACGTAAGCATTGAGGCTTATATAATGAGACCTGTCCTGAGGGGGTTATTAAGTCTAAGGAAGCAATTTTTCTTTTTTTTTTTTTTTCTTTTTTTTTTTTTGAGATGGAGTCTTACTCTATTGCCCAGGCTGGAGTGCAGTGGTGTGATCTCAGCTCACTGCAACCTCCGCCTCCAGGGTCCAAGCCATTCTCCTGCCTCAGCCTCCCAAGTGGCTGGGATTACAGGTGGTGCACACTACCATGCCTGGCTAATTTTTGTATTTTTAGTAGAGATGGGATTTCACCATGCTGGCCAGGCTGGTCTTGAACTCCTGACCGCAGGTGATCTGCCTGCCCCAGCCTCCCAAAGTGCTGGGATTACAGGTGTGAGCCACGGTGCCTGGCTGATAAGTGGTAATTTAAAAATTTTAATGTACGGTGAGCTGAAATCATGCCATTGCACTCCAGTCTGGGCAACGAGAGCGAAACTCCGTCTCAAAAAAAAAAAATTAATGTATTCCAATTTATTGGTCTTTTCCTACTCAAGAAATTTTTCTCTACCTCAAGGACATGAAGGTGTTCTCTTATCTTTTAGGTTTTACTCTTCTACTTTTCACATTTATATCCACAATCCATCCACAACTGATTTTTCTGAATGGTATCAGGTAGAAATCAAGTTTCAACTGGAAAGTTGATTTTTAGTTGATCCAACATCGCTTATTGAAAAGATTATTCTTTTCCCTTTCTTGGCATTTAGTGGAATCCTCTCACTGTTTTGTTGCTGTTGTATGTCTTTTTTTTTTTTTTTTTTTTTTTTTTTTCTGAGACAGGATCTTTGTCTTCCAGGCTGGAGTGCAGTGGTGCCATTGTAGCTTGCTGCAGCCTCAAACTCCTGGGCTCAAGCAATCCTCTGGCCTTGCCTCGGCCTCCTGAGCAGCTGGGACTACAGGCACACACCACCATGCCCAGCTAATCTTTTTGATTTTTTTTTTGTAGAGATGGGGACCTTACTTTGTTGCCCAGGCTGGTCTTGAACTCCTGGGCTCATGCGATCCTCCTGCTTTGACCTCCCAGAGTGCTGGAATTACTGGCGTGAACCATCCCACCCAGTCAGAATCTTTTCACTTTAGAAATTCATGTTTTTGGGCCAGGCACAATGGCTCATGCCTGTAATCCCAGCACTTTGGGAGGCCGAGGTGGGTGGATCACAAGGTCAGCAGATCGAGACCATCCTGGCTAACACGGTGACACCCCGTCTCTACTAAAAATACAAAAAATTAGCCGGGCGTGGTGGTGGGCGCCTGGAGTCCCAGCTACTGGGGAGGCTGAAGTAGGAGAATGGTGTGAACCCGGGAGGCGGAGCTTGCAGTGAGCCAAGATCGTGCCACTGCACTCCAGCCTGGACGACAGAGTGAGACTCCGTCTCCAAAAAAAAAAAAAAGAAATTCACGTTTCATTCTAGAAAATTTTGTTCAATTATTTCATTGGTGAATTCCTTACCTCTGTTTTCTATTTCTGAAACCCCTATTAACCCCTATTAGTTAAACACTGGAATTTGAGGACTCGTTTTAATTTTTGATACATTTTTCCTCCTCTTTTTCATCTCTCTTTTTGTTCTACTCCATAGGAATTTTTTAAGTGGGTTGCAAAAAATAATCACTTTATTTGATATTATAGTTGTAGATATAGAGTATATTTTCTTTAAGAAATGAAAAACTAAGAAGAAAATGCCACTCAACATCGCTGGCATAGCAAAAGGTCAGCAGGAAAAAAAAATACTGTGATAAACTTGTCTCTTTAATACCAAGAATAAATTCTAGGCCAAGCTTCAATATGCTTCCTGTTTTTTCAGTACATATTTCTTTTACTGTTGCTCTTCATTCTTTTCCACATTTCATATTAGAGGACTGGTACAGCCTTTAAAACTTCTTTGATAGGAGCAAATCCAGTATCCACTGATTTCTTCTCAAATGCAGTCTAACCCATCAGATAGACTGGCAGTTTCATTCTCATGAATACTTGAGTAGCTATGAAAAACCTCAATAAGACACACACGAATCCAATGACTAGAAGAAGAAATCTATTGAGTTTTGGGATATTTGGTGCATTCGATCAGTCCAGGATTATGAAACCTAAACCTCCCACTGTAAACAGGAAGCTGGATGCAAGTCCTTCCATAATATACTGTCCATTTACTTTGTAGGCCAAGAAAGCTACTGGCCTCTGATGCCCATGTTCATCAGTCACAGAACCAACACTTGGAGGTTCAACAATAACATCATAAATTATTCCTCTGGTGATGAGGAAGTAAGACGCCACCACCAGAGCATACACAGTCATGGCCAACGGCATGGGCAGCCAGGGTGGCTTCTTCAGCTTCAGGTTAGGACATTCGAGCACAAAGAACGGGACATGGTACAAAGTCTCCATGTTGGTGGCAGCAAGGGCTGTTCTCCATAGGAATTTTATGTTCCAACAATTCTATTGAGTTTTAAAATTTTCTGCCATCAAATTTGTAATATTCATGATTTTTTTCTGTTCTTTGCATTTGTTTTTGTAGTATCTAGTTGTTATTTCATAGGTTGCAATATCTTTTTATTTCTGATACTAATAATTTTTCAAAGTTTTATTCTTTCTGCATAGTTTGTATTTCCCCCAAATTGTCTTTCCATGTTTGTTAGTTCTATCTTCCACAGTATTCCACACTGTTGACCATTCACTTTTTGAAACTCAATGCTACATCTTCTTTGATAATAACTTGCTAGTTTTTTTCCCATTACTTTGTTAATTCCTACATTGGCTCCTCTTTCATCACCTGTTTATTCAAGGATGTTTTCAATCAACAAACACTTATAGAACATTGATTATTTTACAGGTATCGTGCTTGGTGAGGGACACTCAGAAATTAGCAAAACATGGTTCCTGACCTGACTTCTCAAGTTATCTTACTTTTCTCTTGGTATTCAATCTTTCTTTTTTAATTTTAATTTTTGTGGGTAGATAGTAGGTATATATATTTATGGGGTACATGAGATGTTTTGATAGAGACATGCAATGCATAATAATCACAACATGGAAAATGGGGTATCCATTACCTCAAGTATTTATTCTTTGTGTTACAATCCAATTATACTCTTTCAGTGATTTAAAAATGTACAATTAAATTACTTATTGACTATAATCGTCCTGTTGTGCTATCAAATACTAGGTCTTTTTCATTCTAACTATGTTTTGTACACATTAACCATCCCCACCTCCCTGACATCCCCCCACTACCCTTCCCAGCCTCTCATAACCATCCTTCTACTCTATCTCTATGAGCTCAATTGTTTTGATTTTTAGATCTCACAAACAAGTGAGAACATGTGATGATGTTTGTCTTTCTGTGCCTGGGTTATTTCACCTAGCATAATAACCTCCAATTCCATCCATGTTGTTGCAAATGACAGAATCTCTTTTTTTTTTTTTTTTTTTGAGATAGGGTCTCACTCTGTCACCCAGGCTGGAGTGCAGTGGCATGATCATGGCTCACTGCAGCCTTAACCTCCTAAGCTCAAGCAATTCTCTTGCCTCAGCCTCCCCAGTAGTTGAGACTACAGGTGCATGCCACCAACATCTGGCTACTTTTTTGTAATTTTTGTAGAGATAAGAGTTTTGCCATGTTGCCCAGGCTGGTCTTGAACTCCTGAGCTCAAGCAATCTGCCTGCTTCGACCTCCCAAAGTGCTAGGACTACAGGTGTGAGCCACTGCACCCAGCTGATCTCATTCTTTTTTATTGCTGCATAGTACTCCACTGTGTATAAGTACCACATTTTCTTTATCCATTCGTCTGCTGATGGACACTTAGGATGGTTCCAAATCTTGCTTTGTGAACAATGCTGCAACAAACAAACATGCAAGTGCAGACCTCTCTCTGATATACTGATTTCCTTTTCTTTGGAAAGCAGTAGGATTGCTGAATCATATGGTAGCTCTGTTTAGTTTTTTGAGGAACTTTCAAACTGTTCTCCATAGTGGTTGTACTAATTTACTTTGCCACCAACAGTGTACGAGGGTTCCCTTTTCTCCACATCCTCACCAGCACTTCTTATTGCCTGTCTTTTGGATATAAGCCATTTTTACTGAGGTGAGATGATATGTCATTGTGGTTTTGATTTGCATTTCTCTGATGACAAATGATATTGAGTACCTTTTCATATACTCATTTGCCACTTGTATGTCGTCTTTTGAGAAATGTCTGTTCAGATCTATTGCCCATTTTAACATCAGATTATTAGATTTTTTCCTATTGAATTAAGCTCCTTATATATTCTTGTTATTAAGTCCTTGTCAGATGGGTAGTTTGCTAATATTTTCTCCCATTCTGTGGTTTGTCTCTTCACTTTGTCAATTATTTCCTTTCTGTACAGAAGCTTTTTAACTTGATGTGATCCCATTTATCCATTTTTGCTTTGGTTGCCTGTGCTTGTGGGTTATTACTCAAGAAATCTTTGCCCAGTCCAGTGTCCTAGAGAGTTTCCCCAATGTTTTCTTGTAGTAGTTTCATAGTTTCAGGTCTTAGATTTAAGTCTTTAATCCATTTTTATCTGATTTTTGTATATGGCTAGAGATAGGGGTCTAGTTTCATTTCTTCTGCATATGGATATCCAGTTTCCTAGCATCCATTTATTGAAAAAACTGTCTTTTCCCCAGTGTATGTTCTTGGCACCTTTGTAACAAATGAGTTCAGTGTACGTGTGTGGATTTGTTTCTAGGTTTTCTATTCTGTTCCATTGGTCTGTGTGTCTATTTTATGACAGTACCATGCTATTTTGGTTACTATAGCTCTGTAGTATAATGTGAAGTCAAGTAATAACTCCAGTTTTGTTCTTTTTGCTTAGGATAGCTTTGGTTATTCCAGGTCTTTTGTGGTTTCACATAGCAAAAAACAATTTTAGAATTGTGTTTTCTATTTCTGTGAAGAATGTCATTGGTATTTTGATAGGGATTACATTGAATCTGTAGATTGAGTAGTATGAATATTTTAACAATATTGATTTTTCCAATCCATGAACATGGAATATCTTTCCATTTTTTGGTGTCTTCTTCAATTTCTTTCATCAGTGTTTTATAGTTTTCATTATAGAGATCTTTCACTTTCTTGGTTAACTCCTAGGTATTTAATTTTATTTGTGGCCATTGTAAATGGGATTACTTTTTAAATTTATTTTTTAGATTGTTCACTGTTCGCATATACAATTGCTACTGAATTTTTTTTTTTTTTTTTTTTTTTTTTTGGTGGAGTCTCACTGTTGTTGCCCTGGCTGGAGTTGCAGTGGCACGATCTTAGCTCACTGCAACCTCTGCCTCCTGGGTTCAAGCGATTCTCCTGCCTCAGCTTCCCAAGTAGCTGGGATTACTGGTGCCCACCATCACGCCTGGGTAATTTTTGTATTTTTAGTAGAGGTAGAGTTTCACCATGTTGGCCAGGCTTGTCTCAAACTCCTGACCTTAGGTGATCTGCCTGCCTCAGCCTCCCAAAGTGATGGGATTACAGACATGAGCCACTGCGCCCGGCCTGCTGATTTTTGTATGTTGATTTTGTATCCTGCAATTTTACTGAATTTGTTCATCAATTCTAATAGTTTTTTGGTGGAGTCTTTAGGTTTTTCCAAATATAAGATCATATCATCTGCAAACGAGGATAATTTGACTTCTTCCTTTCCAATTTAAATGCCCCTTATTTCTCTCTCTTCTTTGCTTGCTCTAGCTAGGACCTTCAGCATTATGTTGAATAACAGTGGTAACATGGGGCATCCTTGTCACGTTCCAGATCTTAGAGGAAAGGTTTTCAGTTTTTCCCCATTCAATATGATATTAGCTGTGGGTCTGCCATATATGTCTTTTATTATGTTGAGGTATGTTCCTTCTGTACCCATTTTTAAAGCATTTTTATCATGAAGAGATGTTGGATTTTATCAAGTGCTTTTTCAGCATCAATTGAAATGATCATATGGTTTTTATCCTTTATTCTGCTGATATGATGTATCATATTGATTGATTTCCATATATTGAACCATCCTTGCATCTCAGGGATAAATCCCACTTGGTCATGATAAATGATCTTTTTAATGTATTGTTGAATTCAGTTTGCTAGTATTTTGTTGAGGATTTTTTGCATGAATATTCATCAGAGATATTGGCCTGTAGTTTTATTTTTTTGATATGTCTTTGTCTGGTTTTGGTATCAGGGTAATATTTGCCTTGTAGAATGAGTTTGGAAGTATTTCTTCCTCCTCTATTTTCAGAATAGTTTGAATAAGATTGGTATTAATCCTTCTTTAAATGTTTGGTAGAATTCAGCTGGGTCTCAGGCTTTTCATTACTGGGTGACTTTTTTTATTATGGCTTTGAATTTGTTACTTGTTATTGGTCTGTTCAAGTTTTGGGTTTCTTCATGGTTCAGTCTTGATAGGTTATATGAGTCTTGAAATTTGTTCATTGCTTTTAGATTTTCTGATTTACTGGCATATAGTTGTTCACAGTAGCCACTAATGATCCTTTGAATTTCTGTGGTATCAGCTGTAATGTCTCCTTTTTCATCTCTGATTTTATTTATTTGGGTCATCTCTCTTTTTTTCTTAGTATGGCTAAAGGTTTGTCAATTTTGTTTAACTTTTCAAAAAACCAACCTTTTGTTTTATTGATTTTTTTTGTATTGTTTTCATTTCAATTTATTTCTGCTCTGATCTTTATTATTTATTTTCTTCTATTAAATTTGGGTTTGGTTTGCTCTTGCTTTTCTAGTTCTTTAAGATGCATCATTAGATTGTTTATTTGAAGTTTTTCTTCTTTTTGATGTAGGTACTTATAGCTATACATTTCCCTCTTAGTACTGCTTTTGCTGTATCCCATAGGTTTTAGTATGCTGTGTTTCCATTATCATTGGTTTTAAGAAAATTTTCAATTTCCTCTTAATTTCTTTATTGACCCACTGGTCATCCAGGAGCATAATGTTTAATTTCCATGTATTTGTATAGTTTCCAAAATTCCTCTTGTTATTGATTTCTAGTTTTATTCCATTGTGGTCAGAGAAGATGCTTATTTCAATTTTTTTTGACTGTTTTAAGACTTGTTTTGTAACTTAACATGTGGTCTATCTTTGAGAATAATCCATGTGCTGAGGAAAAGAATGTGTATTCTGCAGCTGCTGGCTGAAATGTTCGTAAATATCTATTAGTTGCATTTGGTCTATAGTGCAGATTAAATCCAATGTTTCTTTGTTGATTTTCTGTCTGGAAGATGTGTCCGATGCTGATAGCGGGGTGCTGAAGTCTCCAGCTATTACTACACTGAGGTCTCTCTATTTAGCTGTAATAGTATTTGCTCTATATATTTGGGTGCTCCAGTGTTGGGTGTATATGTATTTACAATTGTTATATTCTCTTACTGAACTAACTCCTTTATCATTATATCATGACCTTCTTTGTCTCTTCTTTTAGTTTTTGTCTTGAAATCTATTTTGTCTGATAAAAGTATAGCTACTCCTGCTCCTTTTTGTTTCCATTGACATGAAATACCTTTTTCAATCCCTTAATTTTCAGTCTATGTTTGTCTTTATAAGTGAAGTGTGTTTCTTGTAGGTAACAGATCACTGGGTCTAATTTTTTTTTAATCCATCCAGCCACTTTATGTCTTTTTATTGGAGAGTTTAGTCTATTTACATTCAGTGTTGTTATTGATAAGTAAGGACTTAGTCCTGCCATTTTGTTATTTGTTTTCTGGTTGTTCTGTGGTCTTCTCTTCCTTCTTTCCTTCCTGTTTTCCTTTAGTGAAGGTAACTTTCTCTGGTGATATGATTTAGTTTCTTACTTTTAACTTTTTGTGTAGCTGTTGTATTTTTTTTTTTTTTTGGCTTGAAGTTACCATGAGGCTTGCAAATACTATCTTATAACCCATTATTTTAAACTGATAACAACTTACACTGTTTAAATAAGCAAACAAACGAGCCAAAAGAAACCTAATAAAAACTCTACAACTTAACTTCGTGCCCCTGCTTCTTAACTTTTTGTTGTTACTACTTTTATCTTATTATGCTATGTCTTGAAAGTTGTAGTTATTATTTGTGATTGGTTCATAGTTTAGTCTTTCTACTTAAGAGTAGTTTACACATCACGGTTACAATGTTATAATATTCTGTGTTCTTCTGTCTACTTACTATCACCAGTGAGTTCTGTACCTTCATATGATTTCTTATTGTTCATTAACATCCTTTTTATACTGATAGAAGTACTCTCTTTTAGCATTTCTTGTAGGCCAGTCTGGTGTTGATGAAAACCCTCAGTTTTTGTTTGTCTGGGAAAGTCTTTATTTCTCCTTCATGTTTGAAGGGTATTTTTGCCAAACATACTACTTTAGGATCAAAGTTTTTTTCCTTCACTTTAAACATGTCATGCCACTAGCTCCTGGCCTGTAGAGTTTCCACTGAGAAGTCTGCTGCCAGACTCCATTGTATGTTACTTTTTCTCTTGCTGCTTTTAGGATCCTTTCTTTATCCTTGACCTTTGGGAGTTTGATTATTAAATGTCTTGAAGTAGTCTTCTTTGGGTTAAATATGCTTGGTGTTCTATAACCTACCTGTACTTGGATATTGATATATCTTCCTCTAGGTTTGGGAAATTCTCTGATATAATCCCTTTGAATAAACTCTCTACCTCCAGTTTCTTTCTCTACGTCGTCTCTAAGCCCAATAACTCTTAGATTTGTCCCTTGAAGCTATATTCTAGATCTTGTAGGTATGTATCACTCATTTTATTCTTTTTTTCGTCTCCTCTGACTGTGAATTTTCAAATAGCCTGTCTTCAAGTTCACTAATTCCTTCTTCTGCTTGATCAGTTCTGCTATTAAAAGACTCTGATGCATTCTTCTGTATGCCAATTGCATTTTTCAGCTCCAGAATTTTTGCTTCTTTTGGATTATTTCAATGTCTTTGTTAAATTTATCTGATAGAATTCTAAACTCCTTCTCTGTGTTATCTTGAATTTCTTTGAGTTTCCTCAAAACAGCTATTTTGAATTCTTTCTGAAAGGTCACACATCTGTGTTTCTCCAGGATTGGTTCCTGGTACCTTTAGTTCATTTGATGAGGTCATGTTTTCCTGAATGGTGTTGATGCTTGTAGATGTTCGTCAGTGTCTGGGCATTGAAGAGTTAGGTATTTGTTGTAGTCTTCTCAGCCTGGGCTTGTTTGTACCTGTCTATTGGGGAACCTGCCCCAATAATCACGTAGGTTCTTTTCTATTTTCCTAAGCGTCGGCTGGCTTGAGAAATAAAGGGACAGAGTACAAAAGAGAGAAATTTTAAAGCTGGGCGTCTGGGGGAGATATCACACGTTGGTAGGATCCGTGATGCCCCACAAGCCACAAAAACCAGCAAGTTTTTATTAGGGATTTTCAAACGGGGAGGGAGTGTGCGAATAGATGTGGGTGACAGACATCAAGTACTTAACAGGGTAATAGACTATCACAAGGCAAGTGGAGGCAGGGCGAGATCACAGGACCACAGGACTGAGGCGAAATTAAAATTGCTAATGAAGTTTTGGGCACCATTGTCATTGATAACATCTTATCAGGAGACAGGGTTTTGAGATCAACTGGTCTGACCAAAATTTATTAGGTGGGAATTTCCTCTTCCTAATAAGCCTGGGAGCGCTATGGGAGACTGGAGTTTATTTCACCCCTGCAGTCTCAACCATAAGAGACAGGTACGCCCCGGGGGGGCCAGTTCAGAGACCTACCCCTAGGTGCACATCCTCTTTCTCAGGGACGTTCCATGCTGAGAAAAAGAATTCAGCGATATTTCTCCCATTTGCTTTTGAAAGAAGAGAAATATGGCTCTGTTCTGCCCTGCTCACTGGCGGTCAGAGTTTAAGGTTATCTCTCTTATTCCCTGAACAATTGCTGTTATCCTGTTCTTTTTTCAAGGTGCTCTGATTTCATATTGTACAAACACACATGCTGTACAATCTGTGCAGTTAATGCAATTATCACAGGGTCCTGAGGCGACATACATCCTTCTTGGCTGACAGGATTAAGAGATTAAAGCAAAGACAGGCATAGGAAAGCACAAGGGTATTGATTGGGGAAGTGATAAGTGTCCATGAAATCTTTACAATTTATGTTTAGAGATTGCAGTAAAGACAGGCATAAGAAATTACAAAACTATTAATTTGGGGAACTAATAAATGTCCATAAAATCTTCACAATCCAAGTTCTTCTGTCATGGCTTCAGCCAGTCCCTCCGTTTGGGGTCCCTGACTTCCCGCAACACCTGTCCTTCTTGGGAAGGCTTTCCAGATATTTGAAAGGACTTGGGTATTGTGATCTAAGCTGTATCTGCTTTAGTGGTCACCCCAACCCCAGTAATGCTGTGGTTCTTGCAGACCCATAGAGGTACTACCTTGGTGGTCTAGAACAAGATCTGGAAGAATTCTCTGGGCAACCACAGGCAGAGACTCTTGTTCTCTTCCCTTAGTTTCTCCCAAACTAATGGGGTCTTTCTCTGTTCTGAGCTACCTGGAGCTGGTAGTGGTGTGACATAAGTACCCTTGTGGCCACCACCACCAGGACTGTGCTTGGTCAAATCTGAAGCCAGCACCAAACTAGGTCTCACCCAAGGTTTGCTGTAACCACTCCCTGGCTACCATCTGTGTTCACTCAAGGCCCTGAGGCTCCAATCAGCAGGTGGCAAAGCCAGCCAGGTCTGTGTCCTTCTCTTCAGGATGGGGGGTTCCTCCAGACTCTGGGTGTGTCCAGAGGTGCCATCCAGGAGCCAGGGACTAGAGTAAAAAAACCTTAGCTGTTCACCTGCTGTTCCATTGTACTGTGGCTGAGCTGGCACTCAAACCACAAGACATAGTCCTTCCTGTCAGGCCTCTGAGCCCAAGCTAAGCCATCGTATCCCCTGTGACCTGAACGTATAGGTCCAGATGGCCCGAAGCAAGTGAAGAATCACAAAAGAAGTGAAAATGGCTGGTTCCTGCCTTAACTGATGACATTCCACCACAAAAGAAGTGAAAATGGCCGGTCCCTGCCTTAAATGATGACATTACCTTGTGAAATTCCTTCTCCTGGCTCATCCTGGCTCAAAAGCTCCCCCATTGAGCACCTTGTGACCCCCACCCCTGCCAGCCAGAGAACAACCCCCTTTGATTGTAATTTTCCACTACCTACCCAAATCTTATAAAACGGCCCCACCCCTATCTCCCTTCACTGACTATCTTTTCGGACTCAGCCCGCCTGCACCCAGGTGAAATAAACAGCCTTGTTGCTTACACAAAGCCTGTTTGGTGGTCTCTTCACATGGACGCGCATGACACTTCCACTCTTCCTGCCCCTTTCCAAAGGCAGAGGAGCCTCCCATGGCCACCATTGCCACAGGCCCACGAGGAGTACCGCCAGACTACCATTTAAGGCCCAAGGCCTCTCCAGTCAGCTTGTGGTGAATGCTGCCCAGCTTGCGACTCACCCTTCAGGGCAGTGCACTCCCCAGTGGCCCAGGGCAGGTCTAGAAAAGCCATCCAAGAGCCAAGTCCTGGAATAAAGGACCCCAAGAGGTCACTTGGTGCTCTAGACCCTGTGGCTGAGCTGGTACCTAAGGTGCAAGACAAAGTCCCCTTTGCTTTTACTTTCACTTTTCTCAAGTGGAAGGCATCTTGCCCCATAGCCACCACAGCTGGGAATGTCCTGAGACTCACCTTAAGCCAGCAAGTTTCAGAGTCTCACCCAAGGTTCTCAATGTAGTACATGAGTATCACTGCTGGTTATTCAGGGCCCCCAGTGCTCTTCAGCTAGCAGGCAATGAATCCTGTCAGGACTAGTTTCTTCCCTTCAAAGGCAGCAGGTTCCTTTCTGGCCCAAGGTGTGTCAAGAAATGTAGTACAGGGAGCTAGGGCCTGGAAAGGGGGCTTCATGACTCTGACTGGTGCCCTATCCTGGTGTGGCTGAGCTGGTATCCAAGATGCAAGACAAACTCATCCCCACTCTTCCCTCTCCTCTCCTCGAGCAAAGGGACGGGGTCTCTTTTGGAGCCATAAGCTGAACTGCCTGGGGTTAAGGGAAGGGTGATGCCATCACTCCCTCAGCTACCCCAGCTGGTGTCTCAGTAGGTCACATGTCTCCCCACAGTCCACTGTCTCTGGGCCCAGTTCAGCATTAGGACTTGCCTAGGAGTTGCAGTCCTTGCGGCCTAGACTGCCTTTCGAGTTTATTTAAGGCCCCAGAGCACTTTAGCCCACAGAGGGGAGGCTTGCTGGAACTCAAGTTTGGACTGCTGGGACTGGCAATTCCTCTTTGGCTAGGGCTGGTTTAAATGCTCCCTCTATGGGGAGGTGTCAGCTGAGTTTGGTCTGGTTTTGTTTTCTGTTATAATAGGGCAGCACTGAGTTTAATGCCTCAGAAATGCTGCAATTTCTGTTTTCCCAGTGCACCAAAATGCTTTCCACACCATGCTATGACTGCTGGGCGATTGGGGAGGTGTGGCACTGGTGATTCAAGACTGTTTTTCCTACTTCCTCAGTGCCTCTTTTAGCAATATGAAGTTAAAACCAGATATTGTGAGTGCTCACCTGATTTTTGGTTCTTATGTGGGTACTTTTTTTGTGTGTAGATGGTTCTTAGATTGGTGTCCTCATGTGAGGAGGTAGGGAACAATTGGTGTAGCCTTCTATTCTGCCATCTTGTTCTGCCTCCTTCCTCAATCTTTCTTTCTGGATAAGAGGAACTGAAGTCCTGGCCAGGATGCTGTACCCCAGAGAATCTTGGGGTATGGAGTTACCAGAGCAAATCACAAATAGGGCATAGAGTAGTGCTGGAGGCAGAGCTGGAAGGATAGTCAAATCTGAGTAACCCACCTAAAAAAGTCAAGGCAATGTCTAGCTACAAACACATATAGGGACTAATACAAGAAATGGTTTCAGGGAAGTAGGGAGCAGAGCAAAGCTTGGATCTGTTCTTAAGATTAAAAGCAGGCAGCTAGCAGTTTTAGGAATTTTATTCCTGCTGTTTTAGGTTTGTTTTGGTGAGGAATGGGGTTAAAGAGAAAGGAGAAGGAAAATGTTCTAAGTGTTTAAAGATTTAGCAGGGAACAGAAATATGATTTTAAACATCATTTTTATCTAAAATTTTTTATTTCAAAAATTCTGACTTTCTCCCTCAGTTCCAGGTCCATATATTCAACTGTTTATCAGAAATCTTTATCTAGCTCCCTCTCCCTCTCCCTCTCCCTCTCCCTCTCCCTCTCCCCATGGTCTCCCTCTCCCCATGGTCTCCCTCTCCCCATGGTCTCCCTCTCCCTCTCTTTCCACGGTCTCCCTCTCACGCCAAGCCGAAGCTGGACTATACTGCTGCCATCTCAGCTCACTGCAACCTCCCTGCCTGATTCTCCTGCCTCAGCCTGCGGAGTGCCTGCAATTGCAGGCGCGCGCCGCCACGCCTGACTGGTTTTCGTATTTTTTTGGTGGAGACGGGGTTTCGCTGTGTTGGCCGGGCTGGTCTCCAGCTCCTAACCGCGAGTGATCCGCCAGCCTCGGCCTCCCGAGGTGCCGGGATTGCAGACGGAGTCTGGTTCACTCAGTGCTCAATGGCACCCAGGCTGGAGTGCAGTGGCGTGATCTCGGCTTGCTACAACCTCCACCTCCCAGCCGCCTGCCTTGACCTCCCAAAGTGCCGAGATTGCAGCCTCTGCCCGGCCGCCACCCCGTCTGGGAAGTGAGGAGCGTCTCTGCCTGGCCACCCATCGTCTGGAAAGTGAGGAGCCCCTCTGCCCGGCCACCACCCCGTCTGGGAGGTGTACCCAACAGCTCATTGAGAACGGGCCAGGATGACAATGGCGGCTTTGTGGAATAGAAAGGGGGGAAAGGTGGGGAAAAGATTGAGAAATCGGATGGTTGCCGTGTCTGTGTAGAAAGAAGTAGACATGGGAGACTTTTCATTTTGTTCTGTACTAAGAAAAATTCTTCTGCCTTGGGATCCTGTTGATCTGTGACCTTATCCCCAACCCTGTGCTCTCTGAAACATGTGCTGTGTCCACTCAGAGTTAAATGGATTAAGGGCGATGCAAGATGTGCTTTGTTAAACAGATGCTTGAAGGCAGCATGCTCATTAAGAGTCATCACACTCCCTAATCTCAAGTACCCAGGGACACAAACGCTGCGGAAGGCCGCAGGGTCCTCTGCCTAGGAAAACCAGAGACCTTTGTTCACTTGTTTATCTGCTGACCTTCCCTCCACTATTGTCCTATGACCCTGCCAAATCCCCCTCTGTGAGAAACACCCAAGAATGATCAATTAAAAAAAAAAAAGAAAAAAAAAAAAGAAATCTTTATCTAAATGTCCTAGAAGTATCTCAAACTTAAATCTATCTTCCTCCTAAATTCATTTCTCCTCTTTTGTTCTCTAATGAATGGCAACATCATTATCAAAACCATCAGTGCCATCCTAGCTAGACATGTTGGAACTCAGTTCTATGTCTTCTTCTTATTCAGTCCTCACTCATCCAATACACTTGGATCTTCAGTCCAGTCCATTTTATCTCTGTGATGTCTCCCCTTTTTGTATCATTGCTTATACCAGTACTGGTTACAGAAATAGATCAGGAAAGAGCCTGTAGAATACTATGGAACCTGTTGTAGAAAGCTAATATAAGTATGGGATAAACATGTATACAGAAGTAGTAGTTCCTGGGGAAGGCTGAGAATCACATCTCAAGTTGATTGTGGCAGCCTAATTTCAGACAAAAATTAAGATATGGGAATGGGAAGTGTAATGAGGAATGTAGGTTTCTTCAGCACAGTAGTAATGAGGGAAGAGGGTTGTTTTGGTGACAGTTGTGGTGAAAAAGACAGGCCAATACAGGTCCTGAACCAAGGCAGCCAATTCAAGAAGAGGCAAGAGAGCTTGGAAATAATTCTGGGGGAAAAGATAGTGGGAATGAGGCACAAAAGCAGGCCATAGCCCAGCTGTCAGGGTACAGAGCTATTCTTCTCTCTGGTGCTACAGGCCTGGGGGATGGGGGCAGAACTCAGGTCTCAAAAAGGAGGTCAGCGTAGAACAGCCTCTCTGTGTGGGATAAGAAGAGATATGGAGAGCTACTTTTTGACAGTATCACTCAAATAGAGAGAGCTCAGTTATTATGTAAACACTGCAACTTTGAGTATAAAGCAACGTAACATTTTTGCTAGTGAGCAAGAGTTCCTAGAAGCCTGTCTGACTGTTCTTTCTTTATTCTTTTAATTTTTTTTTTTGAGACAGAGTCTTACTCTGTTGAGGACAGTAGCATGATCACTGTTCATTGCAGCCTTGACATCCTGGGCTCAAGCAATTCTCCTGCCTCAGCTTCCTGAGTAGCTGGGACCACAAGCGCACACTACCATGCCTAGCTAATTTTTTGCTTTTTTGTAGAGATGAGGTCTCACTATGTTGTTCAGGCTGTTTTCATCTCCTGGACTCTGGCAATCCTCTTGCCTTGACCTCCCAAAGTGTTGGGATTACAAGCGTTAGCCACCATGCCCAGCTCTGACTGTTCTTTCTGAGGTTGTTTGTAAGACTTGATTGGCTCTGTTGAACAACTGGGAAAGACAGGTCCTTTGGCATGTAGACTACTCTATTATACAGGCCACCCACCTGGTCTCATTGCCTCTTTCACACTAGTAGCTAAGTTATTGTATTAGTCTGTTCTTGCACTGCTATAAAGAAATAACTGAAACTGGGTAATTTATAAAGAAAAGTTTAATTGGCTCACTGTTCCACAAGATGTGCAGGAAACATGTCTGGGGAGGCCTCAGGAAACTTACAAGACAAACGGGAAGCAGACATGTCTTACATGGCTGGTGCAGGAGGAAGAGAGAGAAGTGGGAGGTGCTACACACTTTTATTTATATTTATTTATTATTTTGAGACAAAGTCTGGTTCTACCACCAGGCTGGAGTGCAGCGGTGCAATTTTGGTTCACTGCAATCTCTGCCTCCTGGGCTCAAGCCATCCTCCCACCTCAGCCTCCCGAGTAGTAGGGACTACAGGGATGCACCACAATGCCCAGCTAATTTTTGAATTTTTTGTGGAGACAGGGTTTTGCCATGTTTCCCGGGCTGGTCTCAAACTCCTGTGTGCAAGCAATCCACACACCTTGGCTTCCCAAAGTACTGAGATTACAGGTGTGAGCCTCTGCGCCTGGCCTACACACTTTTAAATAACCAGATCTCATGAGAACTCACTCACTATCATGAGAACAGCAAGGGATAAATCCACCCCAATGATCCAATCACCTCCCATCAGGCCCTTCTCCAACAGTGGGGATTACAAATTCAATATGAGATTTGGGTGGGGACACAAATCCAAACCATATCATTCTGCCCCTGGCCCCTTCTAAATCTCATATCCTTCTCACATTGCAAAATACAATCACCCTTCTCAACAGTCCCCCAAGTCTTAACTCATTTCAGCATTAACTCAAAAGTCCACCATCCAAAGTCTCATCTGAGACAAGGCAAGTCTCTTCCACTTATGAGCCGGTAAAATCAAAAACAAGTTACTTCCAAGATACAATGGAAGTATAGGCATTGGGTAAATACACCTACCATTTCAAAAGGGAGAAATCAGCCAAAAGAGAGGGCCTACAGGCCCCAACCAAGTCCAAAACCCAGCAGGGCAGTCACTAAACCTTAAATCTCCAAAATAATCCCCTTTGGCTCCATGTCTCACATCCACGTGACAGTGATGCAATGGGTAGGCACCTAAGGCCTTGAGCAGCTCCACCCCCTGAGAGCTCAGCTCCCACAGCTGCTTTCAAGGGCTGGTGTTGAGTGCCTGTGGCTTTTCCAGGTGCACAGTATAAGCTGTTGGTGGATATACCATCCTGGGATCTGGAGGACAGTAGCCCCCTTCTCAGCTCCAGTAGGCAGTGCTCCAGTGGGGAATCTGTGTGGGGGCTCCAACCCACATTTCCCCTCCACACTGCCCTAGTAGAGGTTCTCCATGAAGGCTCTGCCCCTGCAGCAGACTCCTGCCTGGACATCCAGGCATTTCCATACATCCTCTGAAATCTAGGCAGAGGCTCCCAAGCCTCAACTCTTGACCTCTGTGCTTAACACCATGTGGAAGCCGCCAAGGCTTATGGCTTGCACCCTCTGGAGCTGCGGCCTAAGACATATCTGGGGCCCTTTTAGCCACAGCCAGAGCTGGAGTGGCTGGGATGCAGGGAGCAGTGTCCTAAGGAGCAGGGTAGCGGAGCCCTGGGCCTGGCCTATGAAACCATTCTTCCCTCCTAGGTCTCTGGGCCTGTGATGGGAGGGGCTGCCATGAAGGTGTCTGAAATGCTTTTGAGACATTTTCCTCATTGTCTTGGCTTTACTTAAGCAAATTTCTGCAGCCAGCTTGTATTCCTCCCCTGAAACGGGGAATTGTTTTCTACCATACGGCCAGGCTGAAAATTTTCCAAACTTTTACACTCTGTTTCCCTTTTAAATATAAGTTCTAGTTTTAGGTTAGTTTGTTTGTTTTTTTTTTTTTTTTTTTGCTCATGAATATGAGCTGAGGTTGCTAGAAGCAGTCAGGCTACATCTTCAACACTGCTGCACAGAAATTTCTTCTGCCAGATGCCCCAAATCATCACTCTCAAGTTCAAAGTTCCACAGATCCCAAGGGCAGGGGCACAATGCCTCAAACATCTTTGCTCCAGTTCCCAAAAAGCACCCCATCTTCATCTGAGACCATCTCAGCCTGGACTTCATTGTCAATATCACTATCAGCATTTTGGTCACAACAATTTAACAAGTCTCTAGGAAGCTCCAAACTTTCCTTCATCCTCCTGTCTTCTTCTAAGCCCTCTACACTTTTCTAACCTCTGCCACTTTTCTAACCAGTTCAAAAGCTGCTTCCACATTTTCAGGTATCTTTATGGCAATGCCTGACTTCCCAGTACCAATTTTCTGTATTGGTACATTCTTGCACTGCTATAAAAAAATACCTGAGAATCGGTAATTTATTTTTAAAAAAGAGGTTTAATTGGCTCATGGTTCTGCAGGCTGTACAGGAAGCATGGCTTGGGAGGCCTCAGGAACATTACAATCATGGTGGAAGGCAAAAGGGAAGCAGGCACATTTTACATGGCTGGAGCCGGAGGAAGAGAGAGAAGGGGCAGGTGCTTACACACTTTTCAGTAACTGGATCTTGTGAAAACTCACTCATTATCAGGAGAACAGAGAGGGGGAAATCTGCCCCCATGATCCATTCACCTCCCACAAGGCCCCTCCTCCAACATGGGAGATTACAACTGGATATGACATTTGAGCAGGGACACAAATCCAAACTGTATCAGTTATCATCCAAAAGAGAAAGGTAGTTTAGGGAAACTCAAAAAACTTTAGAGAAATTCAAAAAATTCTTATGTCAAATGAACCTAGGTTATAAATAACTTCCTTATTTATAAAGTAGAAATTATTATACCCCACAAAGTAGTTTTGAAACCTAAATGAATTAATATATATAAAGTCCTCTGTGGATGGAGAACAAAACACTGCATGTTCTCACTCATAGGTGGGAATTGAACAATGAGAACACTTGGACACAGGGCGGGGAACATCACACCCCGGGGGCTGTCGCGGGGTGGAGGGCAGGGGAAGGATAGCATTAGGAGAAATACCTAATGTAAATGATGAGTTAATGGGTGCAGCAAACCAACATGGCACATGTATACCTATGTAACAAACCTACACCTCGTGCACATGTACCCCAGAACTTAAAGTATAATAAAAAATAAAAAAAATAATAAAGTCCTTTGCATGATGCTTGGAACACAGTGGGATCTAAAAAGCAAAATGAAAACTGGCTTATTAACTCTTCTTCTTAAATTTTTTTTTTTTTTTTTTTTGAGATGGAATCTTGCTCTGTCACCCAGGCTGGAGTGCAGTGGCGTGATCTCGGCTCACTGCAGCCTCCACCTCCCAGGTTCAAGCAATTCTCCCGCCTCAGCCTCCAAAGTAGCTGGGATTACAGGCATGCACCATCATGCCTGGATGATTTTTGTATTTTTAATAGAGACAGGGTTTCACCATGTTCACTAGGCTGGTCTTGAACTCCTGACCTCAAGTGATCCACCCACCTTGACCTCCCAAAGTGCTGGGATCACAGGCGTGAGCCACTGTGCCTGGCCCCTTCTTTAAAATTTTCAATGGTTTTCTATGATTAGGCTTCTACAATCTGGTTTCATTATAAAAACAAGCATTTGTTTCAGACCTGTCTGTTGTTGCTACTAGGTTATAAGCTACTTTAAGAACCATGTCTGTTTTAGACCCTCAACAATCAGCACTATTCCCTGCACATGGTACTTAATAAATATTTGTTGAATGAATGAGTGAACATAAACTCTTTCTCCATTAATGCACCCCCAATATATAGTTCATAAGCACAATGCTAACACATGCTCCTTAGGATAACTCTGATGCTAATGTAGGGTCCTGAAATATCAAGGGAATTCTCATATCCATCTCAATTCACTGAATGATACAAATTATTTTGTGCTTTCTTTTACTGTTTTAACACTTCAGGCTCCTAGGGACAGGGTCTGCATCGACAAAGTCCATAAACTAGACCAATATATAATACTATCATTCTCTGTTCTTTTTCACCAAAATCTTTTTGAGATACACAGTTGGACTGTTTTAAGAAACTTAGAGTTAAACACAGTTGTTTGGATAGAATGAAATGATTAAAGTTAAGTGATTGCAACTGCAGAAATATCCCAACCTCTTAACATGCAATAAAGCAACAAAGTAGAGGTAAGAGGGTTGCTTTGGTGACAGTGGTGATGAAAAAGACCTTTTTTTTCAATAAAAAAGTTGTACAATTACCATTCACTTGGTTGATTTCTGAGTTGGAGGATAGAATCTCATCTGCCAGTTTCTGTGCAGTAGGAAGAACTTCAGTGTGGTGTGCCGTGATTAAATATTGAATAAACTTTTGTAGCTGGTCCCTATTCATCTGGAAAAGGGTTTCGGAGATAGGAAGACGCAATTTGACTTGGTCTGGTTTACGGATCCTGTAGAGTGAGAGTGCTACCACATGGGCACAGTAGAATATGTCCTTGTTCCCACAGCCACATGTCACTGAGGTGATTTTGCATCGATCAAAACTGATTGCAACTTTATAAGTCACTGCTGGTTCAGAGGCAGTGGCCAGCTCAGTTACTGTGCCACTCAGATGAAAGCCTAAGGAAACACAAAAGAAACTGTGTTTAGAGATTCTAGAGTAATAAACTTAGATTCTCATTTTACATGTAAATTCATCAATTCATAAATTATGTATTGGGTATCTCCTACACACGTACATGATAGGCTTTGCCACAGACACAGAGGTCAATGAAATTCAGTTACTGCTCTGAAGAAACACACAATATAGAAAGAGTCCTCACCCTGGAGTTCGTGAACCTCCTGAACTCACACTGATATGAAAACTTTAGTTTGTACGTGTATACATTTTTCTGGGGGTGGGGATAGTTCATAGCTATCATCATAGTCTCAGAAAGACTAATAAGGAATCCTAAATAAGTTAAGGACCCCTGTAGTAGATTTTCAGCTCTAGGTGGTAGGCAAAGACAAGTCTACAAATAATATCTGTATAATCTAGAGTAAGGTAGATGTCACAAATGAAAGAGAATCCAAAATGCCATGAGGAAGGACAGAAGGAAGATCAAAGAAGACTAAGGAAAATAATTCTTCTTTAAAACATAAAATTTCACGTGGAATACATAAAAGGCAAGAAATTTAAGACATGAAAGGCACAGCTAGGTGCAATGAAACTATGTAGTGTTACACCTCTACTCACTAGGCACACAGTAACAATAATTTTGAAATGTAGGGAGAACCCATTTTTAACGTAACAAAATTAAAAGATAAAATCAATAGCAAATCAATTCTATAATATTAATTATGCTTTATTATTATTTTTATCTCTGGGGTCTTGCTCTGCCACCGAGGCTGGAGTGCAGTGGTGCAATCTTGGCTCACTTCGGCCTCTGTCTCCTGGGCTCAAGTGATCCTCCCACTCTCAGCCTCAAGTGCAAAAATACAGGAAAATAAAGGAAAGGCTAATGAAAAACGAGCCAGGCACAGTGACTCATTTTTGTATTTTTAGTGCAGACGGGGTTTTACCATGTTGCCCAGGCTGGTCTTGAACTCCAGGGCTCAAGCAATCCGCTTTGGCTCAGCCTCCCAAAGTGCTGGGATTACAGGCGTGAGCCACCATGCCTGGCTATTCTTTACTTTAAATATGATTCTTCTTCTTTGAAAAGAGTATGTATTCATCTAATCATTAAGTCATTCAACAAAAGTTTAATGAGACCTTAAGTATTGAACTGCTAGGCCTAGGGATGCTAACAAAAAAAGAAGATATTTGTGAAGCATCTGCTATGTAGCAGAACTGTTTTGGGTACTTTTAATAATTTATCACAGCAACCTTATAAAATCAGTACTATTTTCCTTAAAGGTATGTAAACTGAGGTTCAGAAAGTTTAAGTAATTTGCCCAAGGCACTAGCAAATGTGACAGACCTGAGATTTGGAACCAGGAGGTCTGACTGACTTCAATGTTAATTTTCTTTTCATTATATTTCATTACCTCTAAAAGGTGCCACAACAAAGTTCTTATCAAAACCCACAGACATGCTTAGTGCGGTGGCTCACATATGTAATCCCAATGGCTCAAGAGGTGCAGGTGAGAGGATTACTTGAGGCCAGGAGTTGGGAGACCAGCCTGGGCAACACAGTGAGACCCTGTCTCTACACAAAATAAAAAAAAAGTAGCCGGTATGGTGGCACGTGCCTGTAGTCCCAGCTACACATATAAGTAAATGATTACAATATGATGTGCCAAATGTTATAGTAGAGACAGGAACAAAGGTGAGGCTAATTTCACAGACTTTCCTGTTTATCTGGACTACACACTGTGAACAGGAAAGCTATTTTAAATAATCTTATATCTGTTGGAGAAATATTTGTCAAGTAATAAAAGGTACATATATAAGTTTCAGAGCCATCATTGTGACCTGGCAGAATTAACAAATGCAGAGAAAACTTTACAAGATTCAAGTTTCAGACAGTTATGGTTAATTAAAATAAGACCCAAATTTACAAGTACGCTCATAAAACCTAGCGAAATTATCACATAAAGCCACATTTAGGTCTAATCCAAAGAAAGGTACACATTACTGAAAACATTCAGATTAATTTCCAGAGCAAGAAAAAGATAAAAATAAATTCACTAACTTCATAGCCTCCAGGTTTGGTTAAACCCCACAGAGGTTTTTTCTCAGCAAAACAAGCTGCAGGTTTAAAAATATTTACTATCATTTGTTTAAAGCAAAATCAAAAAGTTACATTCAAATTAATTATAGGTAAAGATTAATTACAGGTAAAGACTACCTTCACTTAAGAACTAAGAAAGCTGGGCAACATGGCTCAGGTGCTGTAATCCCAGCACTTTCGGAGACCAAGGTGGGAGGATTGCTCGAGGCTAGGAGTTCAAGACCAGCCTCAGCAACATAGCAAAACCCCATATCTACAAAAAATCAAAAAAATTTGTGACCTGACTGCACAGTAAGGTAAAATAAAATAAAATAAAAATAAAATAAAATAAGTAAATAAATAAGCAAGCTGGGTGTGGTGGCACACACTTGTAGTCCTAGCTACTTCAGGACTGAGGTGGGAGGAATGCTTGGGTCCAGGAGTTTGAGGTTGCTAGATAGCTATGATGGTGCCACTGCACTCTAGCCTGGGACACGGGGTGAGACCCTGTCTCTTTAAGAAAAAGAAAAAAAAAAAGAACTAAAGAAGAGAACTGTAGGGTTGGGAAGCAGCTCCTCTCCAGACCTATACCCACCAGACATTGCCAGCAGAGTAATATATAGCAAAGAGCACATTACACTAGGAATTAGGCAGCTAGAACCTGATATTTACTATGGAGTCTTGGGCCACCCACTTTACAACTCTGAGCCTTAGATATCTTCTAAGTAGGTATAATAATACTTGCTCTGCTTACCTCTCAAAAGTACTCTGTAAAACTATAAAATGTCCTACAGATGTATTACTAATGTTTTAATGCAATTATTATTAATGGCTCTCCATGTAAAGGGGATAAGAGACAACTTCCCCAATGGCCAAGTTTCACAGTGGTTGAAAACTAGGTGCTAAGAAAGTACATTCTTAATTTCCCTCGGGCCATTCAGAAGTATGTAGT
Organism: Homo sapiens; assembly: GCF_000001405.40. Classification (NCBI taxonomy): domain Eukaryota; kingdom Metazoa; phylum Chordata; class Mammalia; order Primates; family Hominidae; genus Homo; species Homo sapiens. Next base: position 45,091,262 of record NC_000001.11, read on the forward strand.
ACATTGTTGAGAAATGACTTGAATCCTGATACAAAGACCCTCACAGAAGGGCTACATTAAAATTTCAAACTAAATAGTAATGTCAATGTGGAAAAGCCTAGTTACTAAGCCCCTGAGTCTAAAGGTGGCTCATGCCTGTAATCCCAGCACTGTGGGGGGCCAAGGCAGGAGGATCACTTGAGGCCAGGAGTTCAAGACCAGCCTGGGCAATATAGCAAGACCCTGTCTCTAAAAAAAAAAAAAAAAAAAAAAATAGCTGGGCATGGTGGCACATGCCTGTAGTACCAGCTACTCAGGAGGTTGAGGTGGGAGATCACTTGAGCCCAGGAGGTTGAGGCTGCAATAAGCCATGATGACACCACTGTGCTCCAGATTGAGTGACAGAGCAAGATTCTGTCTCAAAATAAAAACAAACAAACAAAAAACAACCAACCAACCAAACAAACAAACAAAATGAAACATAGAAACATTTCTGCTTTATCCGTTCAATGCTTCAGGCACACTTGGCTTGCAGCACAGTCTCTGAGCCCAACTTCTCCTTCCCTTCCTGCATGAAAACTGAGTAAGAATATTCGTTAGATTTGAGACTGAAATAGTCATCAATAATTATCTTAGTAGGATGTAAGGCTCATGAGGTCAGGGCTTTCTCTGTGTATTGTTCATCACTATGTTATAAAAAAAAAAACAAACCACGCTGGTTGTGTATTTACAAAAACATTGGACCTCAGCTTCTCCATTTTTAAGATGAGAGGCTGGCCTAAATGATCTCCATGGTTTAATCCTGTGCAGATACATTATGGTTCTATAGTGACTATCACTGAATTTCCCACAATGTTAGACACAGAACTTTGCATATTATAGTTATTTAATAAATGGTGGCTGATCTTACAAAGCAAAGGTCTTTTACTTAGCCTTTATGAGGGCTTCTTATGTGTTAGGCTCCATTCTAAGTTCTTTATATGCATTAACACACTTAATTGTCACAGTTTTATGAATTTGATAGTAGGTGTGATGGTAAGTTTTTTTGTTTGTTGGTTTGTTTGTTTGTTTTTTGAGATGGAGTCTCACTCTGTCGCCCAGGCAGGAGTGCAGTGGCCCAAACTCAGCTCACTGCAACCTCCACCCTCCAGGTTCAAGTGATTCTCCTGCCTCAGCCTCCCGAGTAGCTGGGATTACAGGTGCCTGCCAACACACCTGGCTACTTTTTGTATTTTTAGTAGAGACAGGGTTTCACCATCTTGGCCAGGCTGGTCTTGAACTTGTGACCTCGTGATCCACCCCCCCCCCCCCGCCAGCCTTACAAAGTGCTAGGATTACAGGCGTGAGCCCCCGCACCTGGCCCGATGGTTAGTTTTATGTGTTAATTTGACTAGGCTATGGTACCCAGCTATTCAACCAAACACTAATCTAGGTGTTGCTGTGCAGGTAATTTGTAGATGTGGTTAATATTTACAATCAGTTGACTTTATCTAATGCAGATTATCCTCAATTATGTGGGTGGGCCTCATACAATTGACTGAAAAGTCTTACAAGCGAAAGTCTAAGGTTTCTCTGATAAAGAACAAATTCTGCCTCAAGTCTGCAGCACCGGGGCCTGCCCCAAAATTTCCAGCCTGCCCTGCAGATTTCATACTTCTCAGCTGCCCATATCACATAGGCCAATTCCTTGAAATAAATCCTATCTATCTATCTATCTATCTATCATCTCCCACTAGTTTTGATTCTCTGGAAAATTTTGATTACTATTACTACTCCCATATTTATGTATGAGAAAACATAAGCATAGAAAGCTTAAGTAACTCATTCAAAGGTCACTCTGCTAGGAAGTGACAAAGCCAGGATTCACACCCAGGCAGTCTGGTTCTGAAGCTCAAACTCTTAACTCTTATACCATACTGCCTCTCCATAATATTGTACTGTAGGCAATTAATACCACATTTAACTAATGGAATTATAAACTATAAAACAATATAACTAGAAATATTATTAGAAAATAATGATCAGGTTTATTAAAATTCTAAAATTTCAGTTTTTACAGCATTGGTAATGGCTTGAAACCTCTAGGTTAATCTACAATTAGAGCTCAAGTATCAATTTAGATTCCAGTTGTCTTCAAAATAGATCAAAATTAAAACAACTAGAAACTTTCTGCAAAATATTTTTCAAAGCTAATTATACATGGCTCCCTAGAGGCTCTGGCTAAGGCTCATGATTGATGCTCTTGGGAACATGTTCATTTGAGCTGTGTAAATGTTTGGGCTCTGTCAGCTGTATTAACACTGGTATAGCTCATGCTTCAGGCCTAGGCCCATCTGAAAGGCAGAAGGCTCTGAGTGGCTCTGGGTAAGTTTCCTTGTTGGGAGTTTCTTTTTCCCCTCATATATCTTAAAAGGGAAGTCCCTTTCAAATATCTATACCCCTTGCCTTATTGTAACCTAGCAACATTTTTTAAAAAGTCTGATTACTCCTGAGAATAAAGCCAAGTAGACTAGGTTTAATGTAGTGTTTCTTTCCCATTGCAAACCTAACAGCCATAAACATGTCCATCAATAATCTATTAATTTAAGCAAACATGTAGAAGCTTGTTTTTTTTTTTTTTTGAGACAGGGTCTTGCTCCGTTACCCAGGCTGGAGTGCAGTGGTGCGACCACGGCTTGCTGCAACCTTGACCTCCTGGGCTCAAGGAATTCTCCCAAATTAATTTCCCCAAGTAGCAGAAACTACAGGTGCATGCCACTATGCCTGGCTAATTTTTATTTTTATATTTATTTATTTATTTATTTATTTATTTATTTATTTATTTATTTATTTTTGAGACGGAGTCTTACCCTGTCGCCAGGCTGGAGTGCAGTGGCGCAATTTTGGCTCACCACAACCTCCAACTTCCTGGTTCAAGTGATTCTCCCACCTCAGCCTCCCAAGTAGCTGGGATTACAGGCACGCGCCACCACGCCCAGCTAATTTTTGTATTTTTAGTAGAGTTGGGGTTTCACCATGTTGGTCAGGATGGTCTCGATCTCCTGACTTCGTGATCCGCCTGCCTCAGCATCCCAAAGTACTGGGATTACAGGCACGAGCCACTGTGCCCAGCTGCCTGGCTAATTTTTTTGCATTTTTTGTAGAGATGGGATTTCACCATGTTGCCCAGGGTGATCTCAAACTCTGGGGCTCAGAAGCTTGGTTTTTAAAAATCCTTACTGGCTGGGTGTGGTGGCTCATGCCTGTAATCCCAGCACTTTGGGAGCCCAAGGTGGGAGGACTGCTTGAGCCCAGGAGTTCAAGGCCAGCCTGGCTATCAAACAAAAAAGTACAGAGACAGGGCCAGGCTTGGCGGCTCATGCCTGTAATCCCAGCACTTTAGGAGGCTGAGGCAGGTGGATCACTTGAGCTCAGGAGTTCAAGACCAGCCTGGCAACATGGCGAAACCCTGCCTCCATGAAAAGTACAAAAAATTAGCCAGGCGTGGTGGTGCACGCCTATAGTCCCATAGCCACAGTCCCAGATACTTGGGGGGTTGAGGTGGGAAGATCACTGGAGCCTGGGAGATCGAGGTTACAGTGAGCCAAGATCATATCACTGTACTCCAGAACAAGGCAAGCAAAAAAAAAAAAAACAAAAGACAGAGACAGCAGTATGTTGAGTCCCCATGTATGCATCACTTAACTTCAACAATTATCAACACAAAGACAAATTTCTTTAACCTACCGTTTACCAACTCCTTTCCTACCTCCTCCATAGATTACTTTGAAAGCAAATCCCACAAATATCATTTCATTGGTAAACACCTCTGTATGAATCTCTAAAAGGTAAGAACTAAAATTTGTAATTCCTTAATATCAAATATTCAGTGTTCAGATTTCCATAATTAACTTTTTTTTTTTTTTGAGACAGGGTCTCTCTCTGTTGCCCAAGCTGGAGTGCAGTGGTGTGATCATGGCTTACTGCAGCCTCAACCTCCTGGGCTCAAGTGAACCTCCCACCTCAGCCTCCTGAAAAGTTGGAACTACAGGCATGTGCTACCATCTCTAATTTTTTTTTATTTTTTGTAGAGATGGGGTCTCAATGTGTTGTCCAGGCTGGTCTTGAACTCCTGGCCTCAACTGATCCTCCTGCCTCAGCCTCCCAAAGTCCTGGGATTATAGGCATGAACCACTGTGCCTGGCTCTTTATTTTTATTTTTCTTTAACAGGATGTTTGTTCAAATCAAGATGCAAACAAGGTGCAGACATTTAATTTTGTTGTTATGTCTCTTAAACTACAAGTTCCCTTCTTCCCCAACATCCTAATATTGAAAAATAATGTGAGTTCTAGAGACTTGATGAGATTTGGGTTTTTTGCTGAAATTACTTCACAGGCTGTGTTGCATACTTTCTATTGCATCACATCAGGAGACATATAACGCCTGATTGTCTTTCTTTTCATGCTGTTGAGGAATGACCAGTGGGTTTTGGTGTTTTTGACCTGATCTCTCCCTTACAAAGTTCCTTGTCAGCTTTTCACCTAATGGTTTTAACAGTCATTGATGATTGTTGCCTTGACTTATTATTTCATCAGGCGTGAATTTATTTTTTATTTAAAGTTTTGACTGTCTTTCTTTGATTCTTAACACATTTATCTGTAAAATAAAGAAAAAAAACACATAAAGTGGTTAGGTCAGTGCCTGGAACCTGGTAGGCTCTTAACAAAAACAGTAACAGAAACAACCACCACAAAAATTGCTTAGAAACTCATGGGAAAAACAACTACTTTATAAAAGACGTTTTCCCAAATATCATCTTTGTGATACTCCTTCATTCACATTTTCCTAAAATACAAAAACAAAATACATACATTGTGAAGTTATTCTACTTATCAAATATTCAAGTGCCCAAGAACTATATAGGCTTTTAAAACAGTCTATTTTATTAGTTATAGGTCTTCAAGTGATTAGGATATAGATAAATTGTGGGGAGCAATAGGCAGGTATAAAGAGAAGCAATATATAATGTTAGACTTGGTAGTGTACCACAGTTAAAACACACACACGCACGCACACATACACACACACACCCCTACCTGCTTTACTAGTGACTCCAGTGGGCCATAAAGGTAAAACATCGCTATTTTGTTCCTTCCTACAGTCCATTTTTTGATGCAAAGCAGTCAGAGATGGTGGACCTGGTAGATAACTGTTTGTGTGTGTGTGTGTGTGTGTGTGTGTGCGTGTGTGTGCATGTGTGTATGTTTTTAAAGAAAATGGACAATCAGGCAGCTGCTTGCCTTGTGGCCCTATCAACACACACACACACACACGCACACACACACACACACACACAGCCCTCAAGTGCTTTAACACTGAGCAGGCCCTGCATAAAGCACCAAACATTTTCAAGGAGTTCCTGTTTAGTTTTACAACCAGTGCATTTACCCACCCCTTGCCCCTCGGATCACAAAGCAAAGCCTTGCCCTGAGAAGAAGAGATGCTTCATGCCGTTCTATGGCTTAGACAGCTTCCCTACCTGACCTGTAGATTGTTTAGAACTGTAAGAATAAAATTGTACCGCAGCTGCTTCTCCATTACATATCACACTGGCTGTGACATCTCTGCTTCCAGAAAAATCACTGGCCTTCTATAAACACCTGCTATTATAAGAACCCCCACCATCATGTCATCCTATAAATGAGCCATGCTTTCTTTGCCTTCAACGTGCTCCAAGTGCGACTTAGGAAAGATTTAAAAATGTATCAAAATGGCCTCACAGGCTCCTAACAACCAAGTACTTTGCAGGTGGTCCTTGCAAGAGCTAGACATGCTTAAATGTGCAGCAAGAGCTCTGGGAACCACAAGATCAGTAAGAAACTTAAAAATCCATGGTTTAAAAGAGTTCTGATTCTCCTGCCTTCTAAACTGAGGACACGGGAATTGACTGAAATTGTTCACTTAACAGTTTTCTTTCCCAGCATTAAGGCTGGGGAATCCCGAGCATGGGCTAGACTCCACCTTGGATTAAACAGAAAAGGACTAAAGACCATTTTTCTGTTTGGACATGTGTGACAGACAGATATATACAAATTTCCCCTCTCCAAATAAGGAAATTCTATGTTCTTCATGGCTTAGCTCAAATATCACCTCTATATAAAACTACTTGGTGCCCCAACTGTTGAAATGAATCATAGTAAGTGAAAAAGCCTTAACATTTATGGGTATGGAGCTTATATTCTAGTTTATATGAGTGAGATTTTACTCAAAATGAAGTAGTAAAGGACCTGAGACATAATCATTTCACAGATGAGGAACAAGGTTCAAAGAAGTTACGTGATTTGCCCTAATCTTATTGCATGATTATAGTCGTGGTAACAGAAATTATTATAAAATGATCATAATTTCACATTCTGAAACAATGTTGGGCTTTAAAAACTAGGAAAAATAAATTTATAGCATTTCTTTCAACTCAATGTGCTTCTTTTTTTTTGTTTTTGAGACAAGGTCTCACTCTGTCACCCAGGCTGGAGTGCAGTGGTGCGATCTCAGCTCACTGCAACCTCTGCCTCCCAGGTTCAAGCAATTCTCCTGCCTCAGTCTCCTGAGTAGCTGGGATTATAGGTCCCCACCACCACACCCGGCTATTGAGTTCTAATTGTGTTAAGTACTATAAAGAAGTAGTATAAAATGATAGGGTAGTATATAATAGCGGGGGACCTGAACTGATTCAGGGACAGAAGTGGTAAGGGATGAGTTTTTGAGGAAATAATATTTTGTCCAGAATTCTGTAGAATAAGTAGGAATTAATTAGGTGAAAGGATGGAGAATGGCAGAGTAGTGGTAAAGAAGACTCCAGGCAAGAGAGAGACAGACAGACAGACAAAAAGAGACAGAGACACATATGCAGAAGTGCTGAGTCATAGAGGATCATGGAATGTTCAAAGAAGAGAAAGAAGACCAGTGACTGGAAAGCCAACAGGAAGCGGGAAAGTGACAAGTGATGGAGCTGTAGAGTCAGGCAGGAGCCACTGCTCTGGGGTTTATCCTTGGCTTCTCCTTCTGATTCATATACAAAAGGTCACTAAATCCTGTGGATTCTGCCTCCTAAATATTTTTCCATTCTAGTTCCTCCACTTTAACTCCCCTAACACCACCTCAATTTGAGATCATAATAATCTCTTGCCTGGGTTAACTAATCTTCCTGCCTTTAAGTCTTATTCCCTCTACTCATCTTCCATAAACATGAGCAGAAGGTCTTTCCAATGGGGAAATAATATCATGTCATTCCTATAAAACTGTGAACTCAGCTCCGCACCAAGCAGACCTAATAGACATCTACAGAACTCTCCACCCCAAATCAACAGAATATACATTCTTCTCAGCACCACATCGCACTTATTCCAAAATTGACCACATAGCTGGAAGTAAAGCACTCCTCAGCAAATGTAAAAGAACAGAAATCACAACAAACTGCCTCTCAGACCACAGTGCAATCAAATTAGAACTCAGGATTAAGAAACTCACTCAAAACCGCACAACTACATGGAAACTGAACAACCTGCTCCTGAATGACTACTGGGTACATAACTAAATGAAGGCAGAAATAAAGATGTTCTTTGAAACCAATGAGAAAAAAGACACACCATACGAGAATCTCTGGGACACATTTAAAGCAGTGTGTAGAAGGAAATTTATAGCACTAAATGCCCACAAGAGAAAGCGGTGAAGATCTAAAATAGACACCTTAACATCACAATTAAAAGAACTAGAGAAGCAAGAGCAAACACATTCAAAAGCTAGCAGAAGGCAAGAAATAACTAAGATCAGAGCAGAACTGAAGGAGACAGTGACACAAAAAACCCTTCAAAAAACCAATGAATCCAGCAGCTGGTTTTTTGAAAAGATCAACAAAATTGATAGACCGCTAGCAAGACTAGTAAAGAAGAAAAGAGAGAAGAATCAAATAGACACAATAAAGAATGATAAAAGGGATATTACCACCAATCCCACAGAAATACAAACTACCATCAGAGAATACTATAAACACCTCTACAAAAATAAACTAGAAAATCTAGAAGAAATGGATAAATTCCTGGACACATACACCTTCCCAAGACTAAACCAGGAAGAAATTGAATCTCTGAATAGACCAATAACAGGCTCTGAAATTGAGGCAATAATTAATATCCTACCAACCAAAAAAAGTCCAGGACCAGATGGATTCACAGCCGAACTCTACCAGAGGTACAAAGAGGAGCTGGTACCATTCCTTCTGAAACTATTCCAATCAAGAGAAAAACAGGGAATCCTCCCTAACTCATTTTATGAGGCCAGCATCATCCTGATACCAAAGCCTGGCAGAGACACACAAAAAAAGAGAATTTTAGACCAATATCCCTGATGATCATCAATGTGAAAATCCTCAATAAAATACTGGCAAACCGAATCCAGCAGCACATCAAAAAGCTTATCTACCATGATCAAGTCGGCTTCATCCCTGGGATGCAAGGCTGGTTCAACACACGCAAATCAATAAACATAATCCGTCACACAAACAGAACCAACAACAAAACCCACATGTTTATCTCAATAGATGCAGAAAAGGCCTTCAACAAAATTCAACAGCCTTCATGCTAAAAACTCTCAATAAATTAGGTATTGATGTAACGTATCTCAAAATAATAAGAGCAATTTATGACAAACCCACAGCCAATATCATACTGAATGGGCAAAAACTGGAAGCATTCCCTTTGAAAACTGGCACAAGACAGGGATGCCCTCTCTCACAACTCCTATTCAACATAGTATTGGAAGTTCTGGCCAGGGCAATCAGGCAAGAGAAAGAAATAAAGGGTATCCAATTAGGAAAAGAGGAAATCAAATTGTCCCTGTTTGCAGATGACATGGGTGTATATTTAGAAAACTCCATTGTCTCAGCCCAAAATCTTCTTAAGCTGATAAGCAATGTCAGCAAAGTCTCAGGATACAAAATCAATGTGCAAAAATCACAAGCATTCCTATACACCAATAACAGACAAACAGAGAGCCAAATCATGAGTGAACTCCCATTCACAATTGCTTCAAAGAGAATAAAATACCTAGGAATCCAACTTACAAGGGATGTGAAGGACCTCTTCAAGGAGAACTACAAACCACTGCTCAAACAAAATAAAAGAGGACACAAACAAATGGAAGAACATTCCATGCTCGTGGATAGGAAGAATCAGTATCATGAAAACGGCCATACTGCCCAAAGTAATTTATAGATTGAATGCCATCCCCATCAAACTACCAATGACTTTCTTCACAGAATTGGAAAAAACTACTTTAAAGTTCATATGGAACCAAAAAAGAGCCTGCATTGCCAAGACAATCCTAAGCCAAAAGAACAAAGCTGGAGGCATCATGCTACCTGACTTCAAACTATACTACAAGGCTACAGTAACCAAAACAATATGGTACTGGTACCAAAACAGATATACAGACCAATGGAACAGAACAGAGGCCTCAGAAATAACACCACACATCTACAACCATCTGATCTTTGACAAACCTGACAAAAACAAGAAATGGGGAAAGGATTCCCTATTTAATAAATGGTGCTGGGAAAACTGGCTAGCCATATGTAGAAAGCTGAAACTGGATCCTTTCCTTATACCTTATACAAAAATTAATTCAAGATGGATTAAAGACTTAAATGTTAGACCTAAAACCATAAAAACCACAGAAGAAAACCTAGGCAATACCATTCAGGACATAGGCATGGACTTCATGACTAAACCACCAAAAGCAATGGCAACAAAAGCCAAAATTGACAAATGGGATCTAATTAAACTAAAGAGCTTCTGCACAGCAAAAGAAACTACCATCAGAGTGAACAGGCAACCTACAGAATGGGAGAAAATTTTTGCAATCTACTCATCTGACAAAGGGCTAATATCTGGAATCTACAAAGAACTTAAACAAATTTACAAGAAAAAAAACGACCCCATCAAAAAGTGGGCAAAGGATATGCACAGACACTTCTCAAAAGGAGACATTTAGGCAGCCAACAGACACATGAAAAAATGCTCATCATCACTGGTCATCAGAGAAATGCAAATCAAAACCACAATGAGATACCATCTCACACCAGTTAGAATGGTGATCATTAAAAAGTCAGGAAACAACAGATGCTGGAGAGGATGTGGAGAAATAGGAATGCTTTACACTGTTGGTGGGAGTGTAAACTAGTTCAACCATTGTGGAAGACAGTGTGGCGATTCCTCAAGGATGTAGAACTAGAAATACCATTTGACCCAGAGATTCCACTACTGAGTATATACCCAAAGGATTATAAATCATGCTACTATAAAGACACATGCACATGTATGTTTACTGCAACACTATTCACAATAGCAAAGACTTGGAACCAACCCAAATATCCATCAGTGATAGACTGGATTAAGAAAATGTGACACATATACACCACGGAATATTATGCAGCCATAAAAAGGACGAGTTCATGTCCTTTGCAGGGACATGGATACAGCTAGAAACCATCATTCTGAGCAAACTGTCACAAGGACAGAAAACCAAACACCGCATGTTCTCACTCATAGGTGGGAGTTGAACAATGAGAACACCTGTACACAGGGCGGGGAACATCATATCCCAGGGCCTGTCGTGGGGTGGAGGGCAGGGGAAGGGATAGCATTAGCAGAAATACCTAATGTAAATGACGAGTTAATGAGTGCAGCAAACCAACATGGCACATGTATACCTATGTAACAAACCTGCACATTGTGCACATGTACCCTAGAACTTAAAGTATAATAAAAAAAAAAAAACTGTGAACTATGTATTTTATATTTCTGTTACCTAACAGTCTGGCATAGAGTAAACATTTATAAAAGTGTTTGCTGAACTGAATTGCTTAAAATCATTCAATGGTTCTCCACTGATTACAAGATAAAGTTCAAACTTCTTACAATATGATTTCTTTCTATCTCTTCAGACTTGCTTCATACCACTCTCCCACATTCCAAACACACCAAACTATTTGCAGATTCTTGACTATGCTGTTTTCTCCATTTTCTTATCCTTTATGCCTTTGCATGTGAAGTTTCCTATACCAGGCATGACCTTCTCATTTCCTTCTCATGCTAATTCTTGACTCAAATGAGCCCCTACTCTGGGAAGTCTTCCCTCATCTTTTTGGACAGCTAGTTAAGTGCTTCTTCCTAAGCACTCATTTTTCATCAGTCATATCTCCATTATAGTACTTGACATCAATGTAATTGTCTTCACATTTATCGTTTCCCTTTAGATTGTGAGTTCCTTGAATAAGGGAGTTATGTATATCTTTTTCATCTCTATATTTTCATCTCAGGCACATGGTAAGGACTTAATAACTGACTGTGTATGGATGAATGAATAAATGAACACTAAACTGAATCTTTTACATATTTATATCTACAGTTCACAGAGGATTAAGCATGTTTATAAAATTCCTGATTTGTGATTAAAATAAGCCAGTAATTAAATAATTTTACTGAGACGGTGAGCAAAGTAACAATAATTTGTATATTTGGTATAATATTGAAACACCAAGATTATTTTCCATAATGTATGTATATAGATTTTTAAATTATTTATTTATTTATTTATTTGGTGGGGGTACAGGGTCTTGCTTTGTCGCCTAGGCTGGAATGTACTGGCATGATCACGGCTCACTGCAACTTCGACCTTCAGGGTCAAGTGATCCTCTCACCTCAGCCTCCCAAGCAGCTGAGACCACAGGCATGCGCCACCAATACCTGGCTAATTATTATTTTTTTAATGTTTGTAGAGATGAGTCTTGCTATATTGCCTAGGCTGGTCTCAAACTCCTGGTCTCAACTGATCTTCCTGCCTTGGCCTCCCAAAGTGCTGAGATTGAAGGTGTGAGCTGAGCCACCATGCCCGGCTCATAATTGATATTTATGCCTGTTATGCTTCTGCCAATTTTTATAACCTATTTTCAAAAATATAAAATACAAGCAGTTTTTATCAGCCAACATTTACTGGATATACTTACTACATGACAGATAGTATTCTAAGTGCTTCCCATGTATTAACTAATTAACTAATTAAATGCTCAAAGCAACCCTACAAAGTAGATTCTGTTGTTATTTCCCTGTTTCCGATAAGAAAACTAGGATAAGAGAGATAGAAGAACTTGTCTAAGATCACACAACCTGTAAAATGTAAAGTTGGGATCTGAACACAGGTAGTCTGGCTCCAGAGCCTATATTCTTAAGGACTACAATATATTAAATATGACTCTGAAGTTTAAATTTGTATACAAAACTTTGTAAAGGTAATTAGCAAGTGTAATTCTACAAAGACAGAGAGTCCTGCACTAATAACAAGTCAGTAAACTCTGACATTTGCCTGTTTTCCTGGGCAAATGTTCAAGGTAACTGAAACTGACAAGTGCTGTGATGCTCTCATAGTTGGAATGAAGGTGGGCTCATGAACTCATCTGTACAAGAAAATGTATCAGGACATGAGTGAATCATCTGCTTAGAGTTCTAAAGGAAAGCACTTCTCAGTGCAGCCCTTTGACACCATTCAAAGCCTTTTGTTTTTCTGAGTGCAAGAAAGGCTCTAGTAAAGCTTGGGCAATTAAAACCACTTTTCTCATTGCTCTTTTGATTCACCAGGCCCCTAGGCAGGTGTTAATGCATGAAAATGATTATCATTTCAGCCAATAGCAGGGAAAAGAAGAGATGTGGTTTATGAAAAGAATATTTTTTCTTATAGTCAGTTAAAAAGGATATGCAAATATATAAACTAAGTAACTTCTTTGACTGAGAAAGCTTCCTCTTGAATAAATTTGGTTTTGATGAAACTGCATAGTATAAATTAGACCTTCTCACTTAATTCCTGTCTCCCGGAAGGCCACAGCAGTATACCAGCAGAAGTAAAGCAGCCACTCTTTCTCTCCTTTTTGTCACTTAGCAAAACAGTAACCAGAACAATTAAAACAATGAGAGTGACATCTATAAAATAACTAATTTCCTTTCCAGAAAGCCTTTCTCAAAAGCTGGGTAACAACTGCCTAAACAAGAGCACTGGAATGGCTCCATATACTATCGATACAAACAGATTAGGAATCAGAATGCTTGAGTTGTAATTCTAGTACCCCTCAATTCCTCTTTGCCTCAGTTTCTTAATTATGCAAATAGACATAATACTACTTAGCTGCCTATCAGACTCATGTGAAAGTAATTTGTAAAGAACACATTTCCCAAAGATATCATTCAATAGCAATCCCAACTGGCCACGCCTGGGGCCTATATAAGTTCACAAGAAGCAGATGGTGCCCAAACACTGGGTGAGGGTGCGAGAGATTGCAAAGTGAGGAGCAGTATTGTTATTTGGGAATACAAATGATGCTGCCCCATTACCCTGAGAACTACTTGGTTTGTTTGTATTATAGAGGTCACCCTAAGCTTCTCAGAGCAGCTGAGTAAGCTAGAGGGCCCTTCTTGCGGCCATCTGCTCCCCTCCCAGACTCCTCTGGCAAATCAAGTGGTTTTCCCTGTATTAACCTCCGAAGAACAGCCATTGGCCCCCCTCAGCACCAGCTTCAGCAGCCAGTGGTCTCTGTTCTCCATCTGTACCAGAAACCACAGTTCAAGAACAATGAGGCTTCCGAAGCCCAGGTATTCACTTACAGCGATAACCTTGCATTTACCTAGTTTTCTAGTGTTCTTTCACTTGTGCCCCTACAAGGAAATTAGATGTGTATTTTAAAAGACTGAGATCTTCGGCTCGCCGCAACCTCCCTGCCTTGGGCTCCGGTGATTCTCCTGCCTTGGCCTGCCGAGTGCCTGGGATGCCAGGCACGCGCCGCCACTCCTGACTGGTTTTTGTATTTTTGGTGGAGACGGGGTTTCACCGTGTTGACCAGGCTGGTCTCCAGCTCCTGGCCTCGGGTGATCTCCCCGCCTCAGCCTCCCGAGGTGCTGGGATTGCAGACGGAGTCTCGCTCACTCATGCTCAATGTTGCCCAGGCTGGAGTGCAGTGGCATGATCTCGGCTCGCTACAACCTCCACCTCCCAGCCGCCTGCCTTGGCCTCCCAAAGTGCTAAGATTACAGCCTCTGCCTGCCTGCCACCCCGTCTAGGAAGTGAGCAGCGTCTCTGCCCGGCCGCCCATCGTCTGGGATGTGAGGTGTGCCTCTGCCCGGCCGCCCCGTCTGGGAAGTGAGGAGCGCCTCTGCCCGGCCGCCCCGAATGGGAAGTGAGGAGCGCCTCTGCCTGGCCGCCCCGTCTGGGATGAAGTGAGGAGCGCCTCTGCCCGGCTGCCCCGAATGGGAAGTGAGGAGTGCCTCTGCCTGGCCGCCCCCTCTGGGAAGTGAGGAGCGCCTCTGCCCGGCCGCCCTGTCTGGGAGGAAGTGAGGAGCACCTCTGCCCAGCTGCCCCGAATGGGAAGTGAGGAGTGCCTCTGCCTGGCTGCCCCCGTCGGGGAAGTGAGGAGCACCTCTGCCCCGCCGCCACCCCATCTAGGAAGTGAGGAGTGTCTCTGCCTGGCTGCCCATTGTCTGGGATGTGAGGAGAGCCTCTGCCCGGCCGCCCCGTCTGGGATGTGAGGAGCACCTCTGCCTGGCCGCCCCATCTGAGAAGTGAGGAGCACCTCTGCCCGGCCGCCCCGTCTGGGAGGAAGTGAGGAGCGCCTCTGCCCAGTTGCCCCAAATGGGAAGTGAGGAGCGCCTCTGCCCGGTTGCCCCGAATGGGAAGTGAGGAGCGCCTCTGCCCGGCCGCCCCGTCTGGGAGGTGAGGAGCGCCTCTGCCCGGCCGCCCCGTCTGGGAGGTGAGGAGCGCCTCTGCACGGCCGCCCCGTCTGGGAGGTGAGGAGCGCCTCTGTCCGGCTGCCCCGTCTGGGAGGTGAGGGGCGTCTCTGCCCGGCCGCCCCGTCGGGGAAGTGGGCGCCTCTGCCCGGCCGCCCCCTCTGGGAGGTGAGGGGCGTCTCTGCCCGGCCGCCCTGTCTGGGAGGTGAGGAGCACCTCTGCCCCGCCCCCTCTGGGAGGTGGGGAGCGCCTCTGCCTGGCCGCCCATCGTCTGGGAGGTGGGGAGCGCCTCTGCCCGGCTGCCCCGTCTGGGATGTGGGGAGCGCCTCTGCCCGGCCACCCCATCTGGGAAGTGAGGAGCGCCTCTGCCCGGCCGCCCCATCTGGGATATGAGGAGCGCCTCTGCCCGGCCGCCCTGTCTGGGAAGTGGGGGGCGCCTCTGCCCGGCCGCTCTTACTCTGGGAGGTGGGGAGCGCCTCTGCCCGGCCGCCCATCATCTGGGATGTGAGGAGCGCCTCTGCCCAGCTGCCACCCTGTCTGGGAAGTGAGGTGCCTCTGCCCGGCCGCCCCGTCTGGGAAGTGAGGCGCGCCTCTGCCCGGCCGCCCCGTCTGGGAAGTGAGGAGCGCCTCCGCCAGGCTGCCCCATCTGGGAAGTGTATCCAACAGCTCCAAAGAGACAGCGACCATCAAGAATGGGCCATGATGACTATGGCGGTTTTGTCGAAAAGAAAAGGGGGAAATGTGGGGAAAAGAAAGAGAGATCAGATTGTTACTGTGTCTGTGTAGAAAGAAGTAGACATAGGAGACTCCATTTTGTTCTGTACTAAGAAAAATTCTTCTGCCTTGGGATGCTGTTAATCTATAACCTTACCCCCAACCCCCTGCTCTCTGAAACATGTGCGTGTCAACTCAGGGTTAAATAGATTAAGGGTGGTGCAAGATGTGCTTTGTTAAACAGATACTTGAAGACAGCATACTCGTTAAGAGTCATCACCACTCCCTAATCTCAAGTACCCAGGGACACAAACAGGGCCGAAGGCCACAGGAACCTCTGCCTAGGAAAACCAGAGACCTTTGTTCTCGTGTTTATCTGCTGACCTTCTCTCCCTATTATCCTATGACCCTGCCACATCCCCCTCTCTGAGAAACACCCAAGAATGATCAATAAATACTAAAAAAAAAAGACTGAGATGTTATTTTCGTTATTTTGGAAACATTTCGTGTATAAAAAAGGTAAAATGAGAGGCATTTGTCTGGAAAATTCATTAAAAAATCTAACATGCATAAAACAATTACTTTAAAAATAGTGATTTAGGCTGGGCGTGGTGGCTCACACCTGTAATCCCAGTACTTTGGGAGGCTGAGGCGGGTGGATCATGAGGTCAGGTGATTGAGACCATCCTGGCTAACACAGTGAAATCCTGTCTCTACTAAAAAAAATACAAAAAAATTAGCCGGGCCTGGTGGTGGGCACCTGTTGTCCCAGCTACTCAGGAGGCTGAGACAGGAGAATGGCGTGAACCCGGGAGGCGGAGCTTGCAGTGAGCCGAGATCACACCACTGCACTCCAGCCTGGGCGACAGAGTGAGACTCTGTCTCAAAAAAAAAAAAAAAAAAAAAAATAGTGATTTAATTTTCCCCCAACAACTCTGTGGCACACAAGACTTACAGAACAACTTACCTCACATCATGGTGGATAACCATTCTATTCAGAACTGCAGATCAGATGCCTCCTTTTCTTTCTTTCTTTTCTTTTCTTATTTTTTTGAGACAGGGTCTTGCTATGTCACCTACGCTGGAGTGCAGTAGCACAATCACAGCTTACTGCAGCCTTGATCTCCCTGGCTTGGCTTAAGCGATCCTCCCATCTTAGCCTCCCAAGTAGCTGGGACCACAGGCATGCATTACCATGTCCAGCTAATGTTTTATTTTTTGTAGAGATGGGATCTCACTATATTGTCCAGGCTGGCCTTGAACTCCTGAACTCAAGGGATCCTCCTGCCTCGGCCTCCCAAAGGGTTGGGATTAATTACATGTGTGAGCCACTGTGCTGAGTCCAGATGCCTCCTTTTCAGCTCACAGATTTGAACATAGATTGGGAAAAATAAATCACCCTCCTCAAGCATTTCTTTGGAGAAATAATGTGCACACATACAAGGTACATATGTTGCCAAAATGGTAGTTAGAGGCTAATGTCTACCACCTGACTTATTGATTCAAACAGAGAAAAGGGCAACATATAATTGTAAACTGATTTTAGAAATTATTCTGTTCCATTATATCAATGTTGGGAGGACAGTGGGGGAGGGGAAGAATAAAAAGTAAACAATAAACTTCTTTCAAAAGGAAGAGGACATAGGTAGCTATTTTTGACCAACCACAGTATTGCATGATCAATGGTTTATTTTTGAGAGCCTTCGAAATAGTTTTCAGATTTATTTTAAAGTATTAAAAAATTAGTCATACCCTTTTCCAGGAGGAAAGAGATTTCCTGGCTACTTCTCTTGAGACTGAGAAGCCTTCTTCTGTGAGTTATATTCTGTGCACTGAATCAAGTCATCAGAATATACTGAAATTATATTTAAATGTGTTTTATATATAATATATATTACATATAATGATCTTATAATAGTGTCTGGCATACTGTAAGCATTCAAAAAATATTATTATGTTAATGTTCTGCCTATAATTCCAGCTAGCTCCTTTATTCAAATACTTAAAAAACTCATTTCAAGCAGAGTCAAACCTCAAATAATCTAATGAAAAATGCCTATGCATAAATATCATAAAAACTATAATCAAATTCTCATAGTAATCAAAAGACTAATTTTCAGGTGATCTTAATCCTCATCTTTTAAAAACTCCATGATATTTTATTTCCAACATGGCCTTTTTAATATGGAGATGAATGCATATTTCCCATTACATGCTTTATTTAAAGATTTCATATCCTAGTAAGAATGCCATTCCAAACATTTACAGCATTTTGGTCAAGGCCGTATATCACCCTCTAGCTCTAGTCTTTTGTTCCATCTTGCAACTTGACCTGTATGGGGCAGCAAGAATGTCAAAACAAATTCAGTTAGGACAATGCTTATCATTTTGTTTAGGAACTGGAGCAAAACCATTTTTCCACATTCTACAGTAACCTGATTCCATATAAACACCAAGGCAGAAGATATTCATTCTCATTAAGTCTTTATTCAGGGTTGTATATACATTCACATCACCCATGGGATTTAAGGAACAGTTCTTCATAGGAAAAACCTCTAGTGTCAGCAACTCTAGTGAATCAAAATTATATTACTGTACAACCCCATTAATTGGCCAGCATCTCCTTGTGTTCTTATATAGCTTTTAACTCCTTTGCTGCTCTAACCCAAAGGCAGGGAACAAAATTGCTAAAAAGAAGGTTATTCCTGGCTAGACGCGGTGGCTCACGCCTGTAATCACAGCACTTTGGGAGGCTGAGGTGGGCAGATCACGAGGTCAGGAGTTCAAGACCAGCCCGCCCAACATGGTGAAACCCTGTCTCTACCAAAAATACAAAAAATTTGCTGGGCATGGTGGCGCGCGCCTGTAGTCCCAGCTACTCGGGAGGCTGAGGCAGAAGAATCACTTGAACCTGGGAGGCAGAGGTTGCGGTGAGCCAAGATCGAGCCACTGCAATCCATCCTGGGCGACAGAGCTAGACTTCGTATGAAAAAAAAAAAAAGAATGTTATTCCTCACATATACTACTTCTTCAGAAAGATTCCCTGAACATCTTTTGAATACCTAAACTGTCAATTGTGTATTTATGAATTCTCACGCTCTATGTACTATATTTTTCCTTTTTTTTTAGGCAAGGTCTCGCTGTGTTACACAGGCTAGAGTGCAGTGGCATGAAGACAGCTCACTGCACTCTCAATCTCCCAAGCTCAAGCGATCCTCCCGCCTCAGCCTCCCAGCAAGCTGGGACCACAGATGCACACCACCACACCTGGCTAATTTTTAATTTTTTTTGGCAGAGATGGGATATCACTATGTTGCCCAGGCTGGTCTTGAACTTCTGGGCTCAAACAATCCTCCCACCTTGGCCTCCCAAAGTGCTGGGATTATAGATGTGAGCCACCACACCTGCCCTTGTATTTAAACAATGTTTAAATTTGTTTATAAAACAGTCATATTCTGAGCTGAAGCTCAATTTACCCTGGTCTGTTCTCAGAATTAAAGCAGACTATAGCTCAGAAAGTATACAGACATCAAGAAAAAGAAAAGCCTTCTTCTGTGAGTTATAAAAATCAAACTCACTGGGGGAGTCTGTAGGATAAACAAAAAGTCTAGAGGAAGCCTTCTCCCATCTAATTCAGGTCTAGATTCAAGAGTTCATCTATAGTTCATGAAGAGGCTTTCAAGACTAAGAATGCTGGTGAAGAAGAGAGCTCTGGGATGTTTTTGCAGAAATGAATATGCAGAGTCCTGGAGGGTGAATGAAAATACTCTTACCTTCAAGGCAGCTGAAAGATAAAAATCTAAAGAATTCATGTAGATCAAGAGCCAAGTAAGTTTCTTTCGCTCAAAAGTCTTGGACCACACAGTAGAATCCTATTCCCTGTGCCAAAATATTATGCCAGGTAAAGCATTTTCTCATGCAAAATCGACAAGAAAAAGAAAAATAACCAAGCAAGTCTCTACGGAAATAGTGCTAAAATTTAATAATCATTTGAGAGAATGAATGCTGAAAGGGATAAATCTCTGATCAGCAAGTTAGGACTCATATTTTTTATGGTGGCCACAGAGAGCTCTTTATCTTAATTTCTGTACCCTGATGGAGAAAAACATTGACTTTTAAGCTCAGGATGAATGTAATATTCCAACAGCAATCCCAAGATATCGATCTGGTGACTGACTGATTGATTCATTTACTCATTCATCAAACATTTAAGCCCTTACAGTACAGTACCCTTTAAGCTGGGTATACAGGATACTAAGATGAGAAGGAATGTTGTCTAGTGGGAGAGACAGACAAGTAAACATTTATAATTGAGGAAGTAAATGTTATAGCAAAACTCAGCAAGTGGTAGAACAAAGCAGGAACACTTGTCCAAGTCTAGGGGGCTCAGGAAAAACTTCCAGGCAGAAGCGACATTTGAGTTAAACCTTGAAATGTGAGTAGGAAGGAGGCAGATAGGTGCTAAGATCTGCATTATTTGACATGCAATATGAGAATGGCTACAGAGTAAGTTAAAAACACAAAGGTGAACCAACTAATCCAGACTGAAGAGGGGGCCAGGAAAGTTTCTCCAGAAGTGGGTAAAGGAGGCAGACTGTTATACATAGAAACAAAACAGCAGTGGGAAGGCCTGGCAACAAGAAATATAGTACAGTATGTGATGCAACGGAATACACTGAGTGTATTAGTTTCCTATCGCTGCTGTAACAAATTACCACAAATTTGGTGGATTAAAATAACACAAATGTATTATTTTACAGTTCTGGAAGTCAGAAGTCCAAAATGGGTCTCAATGGGCTAAAATCAAAGTGTTGGCAGGGCTGCATTCCTTCTGGAGGCTCTAGGGGAAAATCTGTTTCCTTGCCTTTCCAGCTTCTGGAGGTTGCCTGTATTCCTTGGCTCATAGCCCCTTCCTCCACCTTCAATGCCAGCAATGGCTGTATCTTACGCTGTATCAATCTGACATTGAATCTCTTTCACTGCTTTCCTCTTTCACTTATAAGGATGTATGTGGTTGCATTGGGCCTGCCCAGATAATCCGGGTAAATATCTCTGTATCAAAGTCAGCTAATTAGTAAATTTATTCTCCCTGCAACCTTAATTCCCTCTTGCCATGTAATACAACATATTCATAGGTTCTGATGGCTTGTATGCTGACATCTTTGGAGAACTAGTATTCTGCCTAACATAATGATTGAAATTGCACATGCTGGAGTCATACTGCCTGGGTTCATATTACAGGATTTTTTTAAAGCTGATTTATTAAGGTATAATTGACACACCATAATTGCACATATTTAAAGGGTACAATTTGTTAAGTTTTGACACATGTATGCACTCACGAAACTATCTTCACAAACAAGACAGTGAACCTATCTATCACCCCCAAATCTATCTTCATGGCCCTGGCTCCCTGTTCCCCATTCCAGACAACAACTGATCTGTCACTATACATTAATTTTCATTTCTCAGAATTTTACATAAATGAAGCCACACAGTATGTTGTTATGCTTCTTTTACCCAGCATAGTTATTTTGAGATTCATCATGTTCTGCCATCTTTATAATTAGTTTTGTGATCTTCAGCAGGTTACATAACTTGTCTGTACCTGAAGTACAAATAAGTATACTTATCTGTAAAATGGAATAATAATAGTAACTACTTTATTTCATTGTAGTGAGAAATCAATGAGTTAATATGTATGTAGGTAAAGGGAAACTGTTTTATATGAGATTTTGACTTTTGATTCAATTTCTAACTATGTTCCCCTGAAAATCTGATAAAGGTAAAATGTCGGCTATGTTCCTGAACAACTTTATGATTAAAAATGACTCCTGATTGGTAAGAACTGGAAGACTTATAAATACCTAGTTGGAAGCCAAATCTGTGGGCTTCCCTAAGTGTAGTAACTCTTGTAATTTAGCATGACCCTTAAGGGGACTCTGACTACTATGCCTATGGAATTGCTACAAGAGATACTAGCTCCTGGGGAATGTGAGGATTTATACACAGGACAACTCATAAATCTATCCAATGTGGATCTCATTCCTTTGTACCAGAGCATCACCCAGGGAAACGAAGGCAAAGAGTAGCTCATGGACAACTGTGTAGACAGTTCTATGAAGTGCTACAAGGTCTCACTGAAAATGAATGTCTTGCTAGCAAGCTTTGGCTCCTGTCCTATGTACTTTTGAGTAGACTGATGTCAAGTGTGGCCTATTATAGGCTTGCGAGTCTGAATGCTTAATTGATTCTAAGAAGACAACCCTCGTAGATGTGGAAAACTGTAAAGCTCTTAAAAAGTGCTGCTACATGATAGGTGTTAAGTGTTAGCTATTTTTTATTACATATAAACTGCTTAGAGTAATGACGGGCACAATTCTAACACTTGTTGAAAAAATATTGCTATGATTAGTAGTATCAACACCCACCTCTATCACCAGCACTGTAATGTGGTTTATACATGGAATTATAAATGGTCCTATATGGCTGAAGGTTAGATTATAAAAAAGAGAATGGCAGAGATGATATTGAAGAGGTAGGGAGGGATGAGATTATAAAGGAAACAGGTAAAGAATTTTCATTCTGAAGACAAGGAAGAGCCATTTAAATTTTATTTATTTATTTTTTAGAGACAGGGTCTTGCTGTGTTGCCTAGGCTGGCCTCAAACTCCTGGGCTCAAGCAATCCTCCCACCTCAGCCTCCTAAGTAACTGGGACTGCAGGTACATGCCAATGCACCAGGCTAAAAGGTTATTTTAAATAAGGAAATGTCATGATCAGATCTATGTTTTAGAAAGATCATTCTTTTAGAAGTGTGGAGAATGGATTGAAAGAGAGAAACTGGAACAGAAGCAGAAAGATTAGTTAGGAGGCTGTCATGATTATCTACAGAAGATAAAATGATGGTAAGAATTAAGATAGCTTAAAATATGTCAATGATTGCTTTTTGCTGGTAATACCCAAAAGAATAACTCCAAAAATCTAGGCACCAGACCTATATTTCCAACTGCCTGCTGGACATCCCCTCAAGAAGTCACTTCAAACTCAATTTGTCCCAAACTGAACTCATCATCTTTCTCCTAAAAATTATGCTCCTCCTGATTTCCCAGAATCTGTTAAAGAAACCATCCTGATCACTTAATGTTGAACCTTGCTTAGTCTAATGTTCTACAACTTCTACTTTTCCTCACCTTCCACATATGTAGTTTATAAGTTCTCCCAAAATGATTTTAGAAACTATCTGTTCATTCACTTGGCCAACCATTCAAGCAAACAATCAAACAACATCTTTTGAACAATGTGCTAAATTTGAGCAGTGACAATACATAATTAAACACAATCCTTAAATATAATGTGCAAGTCCAAAATCAAGAAAGTTCAGGGGATCATGTGATGTCAGCTTCATGGAAGAAATCAACCTAAATAACTATCCTTCGGCATGGAAGGTTGGGGAGAAGATCATTCATGGGGGAAAAAAGCACCACAAGCATTATAAGGAGAGTAACTAGTTTGCCTGGTACAAAGTGGGCTTATGTCTACTGTCTCAATATAATTGTAAAGAAGCTAGTATGGTTATATTAATATAAAATAAAATAAATTGTAAGACAAGGAATGTATACCAGAGATGAAGGACATTTTATAATGATAAAAAGGATCAATAGGAAGAAAATAATTATCATAAATGCACATGTATTTAATAACAGAGCTTCAAAATACATGAAGCAAAAACTAACAGAATTAAAGAAGACACGGGTAAATTCGCTATTTTAGTGGAGACTTCAATACTTCCTTTTTCAATAATTGATAGAAAAAATAATATATAGTTCTGCTTTTTCAAATGACAGCTGGTCAAGTCTTGCACACAGCATGTTTGTACTCTGTATCTTTTTTTTTTTTTTTTAGTATTTATTGATCATTCTTGGGTGTTTCTCGGAGAGGGATTTGGCAGGGTCATAGGACAATAGTGGAGGGAAGGTCAGCAGATAAACATGTGAACAAGGGTCTCTGGTTTTCCTAGGCAGAGGACCCTGCGGCCTTCCGCAGTGTTTGTGTCCCTTGGTACTTGAGATTAGGGAGTGGTGATGACTCTTAATGAGCATGCTGCCTTCAAGCATCTGTTTAACAAAGCACATCTTGCACTGCCCTTAATCCATTTAACCCTTAGTGGACACAGCACATGTTTCAGAGAGCACGGGGTTGGGGGTAAGGTCATAGATCAACAGCATCCCAAGGCAGAAGAATTTCTCTCAGTACAGAACAAAATGGAGTCTCCCATGTCCACCTCTTTCCACACAGACACAGTAACAATCCGATTTCTCTTTCTTTTCCCCACATTTCCCCCTTTTCTATTCAACAAAACCGCCATCGTCATCATGGCCGGTTCCCAGTGAGCTGTTGGGTACACCTCCCAGACGGGGTGGCCGCCGGGCAGAGGGGCTCCTCACTTCCCAGATGGGGCAGCCAGGCAGAGGTGCCCCCCACCTCCCGGGCGAGGTGGCTGCCGGGCGGGGGCGGGGGCTGCCCCCCACCTCCCTCCTGGATGGGGCGGCTGGCCGGGTGGAGACGCTCCTCATTTCCCAGACGGGGTGGCTGCCGGGCGGAGGGGCTCCTCACTTCCCAGACTGGGCGGCTGCTGGGCGGAGGGGCTCCTCACTTCTCAGACGGGGCGGCCGGGCAGAGACGCTCCTCACCTTCCAGACGGGGTGGCGGTCGGGCAGAGACACTCCTCAGTTCCCAGACGGGGTCGCGGCCGGGCAGAGGCGCTCCTCACATCCCAGACGGGGCGCGGGGCAGAGGCGCTCCCCACATCTCAGACGATGGGCGGCCGGGCAGAGACGCTCGTCACTTCCCAGACGGGATGGCGGCCGGGAAGAGGCGCTCCTCACTTCCCAGGCTGGTCGGCCAGGCAGAGGGGCTCCTCACATCCCAGACGATGGGCGGCCAGGCAGAGACGCTCGTCACTTCCCAGACGGGATGGCGGCTGGGAAGAGGCGCTCCTCACTTCCCAGGCTGGGCGGCCAGGCAGAGGGGCTCCTCACATCCCAGACGATGGGCGGCCAGGCAGAGACACTCCTCACTTCCCAGACGGGGTGGCGGCCGGGCAGAGGCTGCAATCTTGGCACTTTGGGAGGCCAAGGCAGGCGGCTGGGAGGTGGAGGTTGTAGCGAGCCGAGATCACGCCACTGCACTCCAGCAAAAACCAGTCAGGCGTGGTGGCGCGCGCCCGCAATCCCAGGCACTCGCAGGCTGAGGCAGGAGAATCAGGCAGGGAGGTTGCAGTGAGCCGAGATGGCGGCAGTACAGTCCAGCCTCGGCTGGGCATCAGAGGGAGACCATGGAGAGAGGGACAGCGAGACAGAGAGGGAGGGGGAGGGGGAGAGGGCTCTATATCTTTTCTTTTTGTAGCCAAACATTAATCAATCCTGTATCACTCTGTTCAACAAAATGCCGTATATTACAGCAATGAGTTTCATTGCTTTCATAACTTATAAAATTGGAAATAAGGAACTGGTTGCAATTCCCCAGACTTTTCTCCCTAGAGAATATAGGAGATTTTAATCAGCACCTGAGCTATCGATACGGTTGTCAGTTTTTTCATCCTGAGGAATGCTTCATGAGCAATCTCTTTTCTCCTCCTTCTAGCAAATGCTTCATTAATAACACAAGTACATTCTCTTTTCTCCTCCTTACTAGCAAATGCTTCATTAATAACACAAGTAGAGTCTGAAGCTGGAAGTATAGATAGCAGACTGTGATTAAAAAAACAAAACCAAACCACTTCCTGCTCTATTTACACAGCTTCTTTTTAGTAATGTTAAACTGCAGAAGAAAGCCCTCCTATGAGGCCAGAGAACAACTGAAGGCAGTAAGGTATGGCAGGAAAAACCAATGGCCAAACAGTATAACCTCCGAAAATGATAAGCAATTACCTTGAGGAATTAAAAAAATTATTTGACTACCTTCCAGTTTACTGTCTAGGACTTTTGTTTTTTTTTAAAGGATGATATTATTCAGTATGGTCAGCAAGGATATACCGATTGGCAACATAAAGAATTCCAAAGGATAGGTTAGAAATTCAGGACACTATGTTACATTTGCTCCTCACCCCTGTCCATACCCATCTTGGATAAGAGAGGAAGAACACAGATAAAAAACACAAAAGAACTTTAAGTAACTATATTTAGGGTAGGCTGTTTACAATAAGCCAAAGGTAACACACGTAGTCAAAACATTTTAAACTTTGAAGAATTCAAGGTCAAGTCATTTTATTATGCAATAGTTGGGATCCACAGCAGGAACCTACACAGAAGGCAGCCTATTTGTATGAGGGTGAAAGGAAGCTCAAAAGACAGAAAAAAGGAATTTTTATAAGCTTGATAACTAACCCTCACAACCAAGACCCGAATCAGAAGGAGCAAGGTATAAAACAGTGGAGTGTTAGGGTGAAGGCAGAGCAACAACTGAAGATGAAAATGTAGCAAGAGTGTTTGTATCCAGTCACTGGTTGAGAAACTCCTTCAACTCTAGATAGAGGATCATTATCAGATCATTCAGAATAGAGAAATCAAATCCTATATAACTCTCCCTGGTTACATGGTTGCCCAGTTAAATTCACTTCATAAAATAACAGGGAGGCCGGTCACAGTGGCTCACACCTATAATCCCAGAACGTTGGGAGGCCAAAGTGGGAGGACTGCTTGAGCCTAGGAGTTTGAGACCAGCCCTGGCAACATAGTGAAACCCTGTCTACTAAAAATAAAAAAATTAGCCAGGCATGATAGTACATACTTGTAGTCCCAGCTACCTGGGAGATGAGGTGGGAGGATGGCTTGAGCCTGGGAGATTGAGGCTGCAGTGAGCCATATTATGCCACTGCACTCTAGCCTGGTTAACAGAGAGAGACCTTGTTTCAAAAAAAAGTAACAAGGAGGTCATCCTCAATCATCTCCTACACTAGTTTAAACCAATAGGGTTGGGTTGTATGAGCATAAAGTGGTACAGAGACTGGTTACTGTAACTTAAGTGGCCTTGTTTAAATTCAGCAAAGATGGCAGAAAATATTCAGTAGCTTTAATAAAAGAGAATGGCAAGTCAATCTATATCAGTTTGTATGAAAAAGCAGGTGTCAATCATTCAGGTCCAGATTATTTGAGGGTTGCATCTGAAAATAGGTCATATAGTGGTTTTGGTAGTTGTTCATGTGGAAGGTGGAGGTGTGAGAATCACTTGAACCTGGGAGGCAGAGCTTGCAGAGAGGCAGAGCTTGCAGGCAGGCAGAGCTTGCAGGGAGCCGAGATCATGCCACTGCACTCCAGCCTGGGCAACAGAGCAAGACCCTGCCTTGAAAAAAAAAATTCTTGTTGTAAATCTATAACTACCACTTTAAATCAATATCCCTATCATGATACTCACATTTGAAGATTTGTACTTAAATGCTTTAAAGTACAACTAACTCCACACGCATTGCCAGACAATCATTAAGAAATAAACTGTGGTCCAAGATGATTATTTTTCTCCTCAAAAACAATAAGCAAAGTGAGAAAGTATTTAAATGTCTATCACATTGCTAAATGTAACAGTAATTTTTAGATGATGCAGAGAGCCACAAAAGTGAGGAATACTTTAATTTAATCACTTATTTTGATACTAATTTCCTGAGTACTAAGAAAAATAAACTCAGGGAAAATTTTATTGATTTTTGGTGGGGCGAGGTGGCCCAGGCCTATAATCCCAGTACTTCGGGATACCGAGGCAGGCAGAGGTGTGAGTCCAGGAGTTTGAGATCAGCCTGGGCAACATGGTGAAACCCCATCTCTACAAAAAATACAAAAAATTAGCCAAGTGTGCTGGTGCATGCCTGTAGTCCCAGCTACTCTGGAGGCTGAGGTGGTAGGATCACCTGAGCCTGGGAGGTGGAGGTTGCAGTGAGCTGAGATGAAGCCACTGCACTCCAGCCTGGGTGACAGAGAACCTGTCTCAAAAAAAAAAAAAAAAAAGAAAAGAAAAGAAAAGAAAAAATTATTTTATTGGACGAATTAATCACTTATCCAATATTTATTGAGCACTACTATGTACTAGACACTGTTTTAGGTACTGAAAACACAGTAGTAAATAAGAGAAACAGGGCCCTGTCCTCATGGAGCTTATAATAGAGAGGAGCAGGCAATAAATGAGTAGACAAAATAACTTCTTCCTATGTTAGTACAATAAAAGAATTAAAATGTCATGTATATTCAGGGGTGTAGACAGGGAAGGAGAACAGAGTGACCATTTTAGATGGTATGGTTAAGAATGGCCTAAAGAGATGACATTTTAACTGAAACTGGAAGAAAAGCAGCCAACAGGTTCAACAGAAACCCACCCAAGAATTTTAAACAGGGAAATGACATGATTCTCTAGCACTTACCATGATTTGAGAAAATCTTAATCTGGGCTTAAGACCATTTTTTTCCACCCATTCTTTTCCCCAAGTTTATAGTCCTGCTTACCTCACTCTAGTTTCTCATCAGCATCCCAACCCCCTTGTTCTTATTCCAGACCTTCCTCACACTGCAGTAAAAGGTCATTGTATCATAGAAGTCTCTGTGAAATAATTATAAAATCCACCCTTTATGCTACTGTATTTAAGCTCGGAAATACTCGGGCCCATCCCTTCAGACACTGCACTTTACTCTTTTCTGAGCATTAAAATTCAATTTCAAAAATTCCTTCTTTAAAGATACCTAAGATGACTATGCAGCCTTATTTCAAGTGCTATTATCTTGCGGGGTAAGGACGGTCAACTAGTTAAGTTTCCTCAGGCCTTAGAAGCATGCTAAAGAAATATTACAAACTTGTCAATGTATGCTGTTACAAATTCATGGTTTCCAATCTCAGTTTCTCTGAGAAACTCTGACTTTCTTTCACTCATCGTCAGTAGCTGTCTTAAATTTTGTCACACTAACTATAAGTTACCCAACAGTAGGAGTTTTGTCTTATGATTATCATTTACCTTTGTATCTCCAAACCTAGCACAGTCTGGTAGTAATGACTTACAATCCCAAAACTTCTCATTTTCACATCTCTTCTGATGATCTCATCTTACACCTCCCAGAGAAATCAGAAGCCAACAGTAATTTCCCATTGTTCTACCGACAAAATTATCTTTATCACATCCACTCTCTTTTACTCACTTCAGTTCTACTTTGCACAACCATCCTTTCATTTTACCCAATGGCAAAACCCTAAGTCTAGATGAACCCAATTGCCTGTTCTTTCTAAATTCAACCACAGTTGCTGAACATTGCTATCAAAACCCATACAAGCCAGGCGCAACTGCTCACACCTGTAATCCCAGCACTATGGGAGGCCGAGGTGGGTGGATCACTTGAGGTCAGGCATTCTAGACTAGCCTGGCCAACATGGTGAAACCCCATCTCTACTAAAACTACAAAAATTAACTGGGCGTGGTGGCACATGCTTGTAGTCTCAGCTACTCGAGAGGCTGAGGCAGGAGAATCACTTGAACCCCGGAGGGGGAGGTCGCAGTGAGCCGCCACCACACTCCAGCCTGGGTGACAGGGCGAAAAAACAACAACAACAACAAAAACCACACAACACTGCAAATTGACACTAATACATTAATTATAGCTATCAACCTCAAACACACTCTCAATTTCTCATATCATTCCAATGGTTTCCATATTCAGTTCTCTATCTTACTCCACAGGGGCTACTTCTTCTTTCAAGGTATTGCTCTGTTGCCCAGGCTGGAGAGTGCAATGGTGTGACCATGGCTCAGTGCAGCCTTGACCTCCTGGGCTCAAGCAGTCCTCCTGCCTCAGCATCCTTCCTGAGTAGCTGGGACCACAGGTACATGCTACCATGCCTGGCTAGTTTTTCTTTCTTTTTTTTTTTGTAGACATGGGGGTCTCCCTATGTTGCCCAGGCTGGTGTCGAACTCCTGGGCTCAAGTGATCCTCCTGCCTTGGCCTCTCAAAGTGCTGGGATTGTAAGTGTGAGTCGCCATGCCCAGCCCACAGGGGCTATTTCATTCTCCACTACTCTCGAACTTCCAACCTCCCCCAAAGCTTCTAAACCTATACACTATTCTTCATCCCCAGCCCTCCTTTCACTTTTCTTCTTGTCAAAATAGATGTTTCGCTCCTAGTTAAGGGTAATTCTTCCACCTCTGCTCTGGATCCTATCACTTTTCATCTTTTTTTTTTTTGAGACGGAGTCTCGCTCTGTCCCCAGGCTGGAGTGTGGTGGCGCGATCTCGGCTCACTGCAAGCTCCACCGCCCGGGTTCACGCCATTCTCCTGCCTTAGCCTCCCGAGTAGCTGGGACTACAGGCGCCCGCCACCTTGCCCAGTTAATTTTTTGTATTTTTTTAGTAGAGACAGGGTTTCACCATGTTAGCCAGGATGGTCTCGATCTCCTGACCTCGTGATCTGCTCGTCTCAGCCTCCCAAAGTGTTCGGATTACAGGCGTGAGCCACAGCACCCGGCCCACCTTTCGTCTTAATTCAACTCTTTGGATTATTTTTTCTCATACAGTAGTCAGTTTTCCTTATTCATTGGCTTCTACTCAACAGTCCTCTCTGTAGGCTCTTATTCCTCTGCCTATCACTTTAATGTTCCTCAGGATTCTGTCTTAAATCGCTGTCTCCTTTTATCCTCTCTCATGATCCCATGGCATCAATGACCACAAGTCTAGTCCAAACCCATGTAACCAACTTCATTATCACTTGGATTTTCCGCAGGGACTTAGACTTAATGTGTATAAAACTTGATTCTTCTTCACCCCAAACCTCTTTCTTTATCCACTCATTTATAGATAGGAATCTTTTTTTTTCTTCTTCTTTTTTTTTTTTTTTTTGAGACAGGGTCTTGCTGTTGCCTAGGCTGGAGTGCAGTGGCACAATCATAGCTCACTGTGGCCCTGAATTTCTGGGCTCACTTCTGCCTCAGCCTCTCAAGTAGCTAGGACTATGGGTATGTGTCACCACACCCAGCTAATTTTTCCTTTGTAGAGACAGGGTCTCACTATGTTGCCCAGTCTGGTCTAAATGACGGGGCTCAAGTGATCCCCTCACCTCAGCCTCTTAAAGTGCTGGGATTAGAGGCATGAGCCACCACACCTGACCAAGAATCATTCTTGATGCTTCCTTTTCCTAATCCTTGTCTTTCTCTGTCTATCCAAATTCCATTAATCTCTCTTAAACAGTTCAAATCTCATGAACTCCAAATATCTTCCTTGATGATCTCAAATTATACTGATTTCTCACTCTGCTAACCTGTTTGGCACCTATTATCTATAGTACACAATTAATTACATTCTGTCTTACTCATTAACTTATTTAATAGTTTTAAATAATATCAGTATATTGAGGCTAATACCCAGAGAAACAGTATTATCAAGTGTTAAAGAAAACTGGCTCTGGAATCAGACCTGGGTTCAAAGGCTGACTCTGTCACTCAACAGCTATATGTCTTGAGAAAGCTGCTTGACCTTTCAGTACCACAGCTTCTTCATATGTAAAATGGTGATAATAATCTGCATTTCATGTCATTGCAAGGATTAAATAAACAAATGTATGCAAAACACTCAGACTAGTGCTAAACATATAGTAAACACTCAATGACAAGTAATGACAGTTAAAACTTATATAACAGCCATTAGTAACTTCTTCTGGGAAGATGGAGTAGATATATTTTTTCCTATTCTTCCCATGAATACATCCAACAAACCCTGGACATTATATACAAAACAAACATAAAAAGACTCTGAAAGGTGGAGGGCAGAAGGCAGACTGGTTAGGAACTTCAGGACCCAAGGAATGACACAGTGAGGATTTCCCTGGGTTTTCTTTTTGTTTCATATATCTCAGAGTTGGAGGTGTGAATAAGCCTGCAACCAAGAAATGCCAACAGATGCAGACCAAAAAACACAGAAAAACACAAAAAATCCAACCCCAACAAAAAAGCCTGCTCTCTCTAACTAAAGGGCAGCCTAGGAAGACAAAGGCACTTTTAGACAATAACAGTTCTACTCCAGACAAACAGCACAGAGAACACTGAAACCAAACCCCCACCAAGGCTGAGTGGGGAGCCTTCTATATCTGTCAGGCTATAACAAGGTGCCCCCTATGTCCTCCTCTCCCTGCTGCAGTGGTGTCAGATGAAGCCCAGTGGAAAATCAGGACTTTCACTACCCAGTGGTAACGAGGCCACCACCCTTCCACCTCTGGTGTCAGTAGAGGCCATGCAAGGAACAGTAATGAAGGATTCCTAATTCTCTAAGCATGGAGGGGCCTGAGTGGAGAACCAGGACTTCTACCTCCACCTAGCAATAATGAGGCTGCTCCCTTCCTACCTCTGCCACAAGAGTATCAGAGGAAACCAGCTAAAACGGAAGTTTAAATAAAATCCAGAGTCTTATAATATAATGCCCCAAATGTCCAGGTTTAAAATCACTCGATACACCAAGAACAAAGAAAATCTCAACTTGAATAAAAAAAGACAATAAGTAGATATCAACACCAAAGTGACAGGGATATAGAATTTTGTCACAAAGATTTTAAAGTATCCATTATAAAAACATTTTCAATGAGCAATGACAACTGTATGTGAAAGAAATGAAAAAATAGAATCTCTCAGCAGAGAAACAGAAGATACAAAGAAGAACAAAGTGGAAATTTTAAAACAGAAGAATACAATAACTGAAATAAAAAAATGTATGGACTCAGCAGCAGATGGACGAAACAGAGAAATCGGTAAACTTGAAGACAGAATAACAGAAATTACCTAATCTGAAAAACAGAGAATAGACTAAAACAAAACAAAACAGAAAACCACACCAGAGTCTCAGGGACCTGTCAGACTACAACAAAAGATCTAATCTCACTGGAATCCCAGAAGCAGAAAAAAGAGGGCAGAGCTGAAAAAATACTTGAAATAATGTCTGAAAACTCCCCAAATTTGGCAAAAGACATAAAGCTACAGATTCAAGAAGCTGAATAAACCCCAAAGAGGATTATACCCAAAGAAATCCACGTCAAGATACATCATAGTTAAACTTCTGAAAACTAAAGACAAGAAAACCAAACAAGTAAACAAAACCCCAGACCTTAAAAGCAGCAAGAGAAATAACACCTACAGGAGAAAACAATTCAAATGGTAGCAGATTTCTCATCAGAAACCAGGCAGGCCAGAAGAAATAACACAGTTTTTTCAAGTGTTGAAAGAAAACAACTATAAACCCCAAATTCTATCTCCAGCAAAAACAAAAACAAAAACCCTTCAGAAATGAAGGCAAAATCAAGACATTAAAACAAATCTGCTGTCTACCCTAAAACAGTAGCTAAAGGAAGTTTCCCAAACAGAGGGGAAATGATAAAAGAAGATATCTCAAAACACCAAGAAGAAAAAAGGCAGTAAACAAAAATATGAGTAAATTAAATAGGTTTTCCTTCTCCAATTGAGTTTTCTAAATTGTATTTGACACTTGGAAAAAAAAATTATAACACTGTCTGATCTGCTTCTAAATGTATGTAGAGAAAATATTTAAGCCAATTATAAATGGAGAAAGTAAAGAGATATAAAGAAAAGTAAGGTTTCTATACTTCACTTGAAGTGGTAAAATATCAACATCAGTATACTATGATTAAATTATGTATACAGAACATAAAACCTAGAATAGCTATTATATAAAAACTGTAAAAAGAGATACACTACAAATGCTATAGATAGATCAAAATCGAATTCTAAAAAATGTTCAAGTAACAACCCACAGAAAAAGAAAGGCAAAAGAAAACAGAAACAGAAATCAGCAATAAACAGAAAACAAAAAATAAAATGAAAGACATGTCAAAACATACATTAAATGAAAATGGTCTAAATATACCAACTAAAAGACAAGAGATTGGTAGAGCAGATATTTTAAAAACATGACCCAAGTATATCCTGTCTAGAAGGAGCTCACTTCAAATATAACAATACAGGTAAGATTGTAAAAGAAAGGAAAAAGATGTATCATGAAAACATTAATCAAAAGAAAGTAGTAGTTATATTACCAGAGGGACTTTAGAGCAAATAAAATTATCAGAAAGTGAGGGACATTACATAATGATAGAGTCAATTAACCCAGAAGACACAGCAATCCTAAATTTGTATGAACCAACATGCTGCAAAACATGTGAAGCAAAATCTGACTGACCTGAAAAAAGATACAGACAAATCCACAATACAGTTAATACCTCTCTCAGCAACTGACAGAACAACTATACAGAAAATCAACAAGGAATAAATATATAGAAGAACTCAACAATGCCATCAACCAAGAGAATTCAATCGATATTTATAAAACATCTCCTCCAGCAAAGCAGAATAAACATTGTTTTTCACATACTTGTGAAACATATGCCAAAATAGACCATTTCCAGGTAATGAGGCAAATTTCAATGAATTTAAAAGAATGAAAATAATACAGAGTGTGTTATCTGACCATATTTTTTTAAACAATCAAACTAGAAGTCAATAACAGAAAGGTAACAGGAAAATCACCCAACACTTGGAAATTAAACAACATACTTCTAAATAATCCAGGGGTCAAAGAAGTCTCAAGGAAAATGAAGAATATATATTAAACTGAATAAAAATGAAAATATAACAGACAAAAATTTGTGGAATGCAGGTAGAGCAATGCTGAGAGGGAAATTTATAGCAGGAACTGCTTTACATCAAAAAAAACAAAAAAAAACAAAAGGCCACGCCTATAATCCCAGCAATTTGGGAGGCCAACGCAGGGGGAATCACGAGGTCAGGAGTTTGAGACCACCCTGGCTAACATGGTGAAACCCTGTCTCTACTAAAAATACAAAAATTAGCCGGGCATGGTGGCAAGCGCCTGTAATCCCAGCTACTCGGGAGGCTGAGGCAGGAGAATCTCTTAATCCTGGGAGGCGGAGCCGAGATTGCGTCATTGCACTCCAGCCTGGCTAACAAAAGCAAAACTCCGTTTCACAAAAAAAAAAAAAAAGGAAGGCCGGCACAATGGCTCATGCCTATAATCCCAGCATTTTGGGAGGCCAAGGCAGGAGAATCGCTTGAGGCCAGGAGTTTGAGATCAGCTTGGGCAGCATAGCAATATCTTATCTCTACAAAAAAATTTTAAAAATTAGCTGGGCATGGTGGCAAGAGCTTGCACCCCTAGCTACTCTGAAGACTGAGGTGGGAGGATTGCTTGAACCCAGGAGCTTGAGGTTACAGTGAGCCTTGATTGCACCGCTGCACTCCAGCTTGGGTGACAGAGCGAGACCTTGTCTCAAAAATAATTAATTAAATTTAAAAAAAATTTTAAAGGAAAAAAAAATCTCAAATTAACATAAGTTCCACCTGAAAAATCTAGGAAAATTGAAATAAACCAAGCAGAAAGGAGGAAGTAATAAAGGTAAAGAGAAGAAATCCATGAAACTGAAAAAAAAAAAATCAATGAAACAAAAATCTGGTTCACTGAAAAAATAAATAAAATTGATAAACCTTCAGCAAGAATGACAAAGGAAAAAAGAGAAGACACAATACCAACATGAGGAATGAAACAAGGAATATTACTACCAGCCCTGCAGACTTCAAAAGAATAATAAGTAAATACTATGAACAACTCTACGCACACACATTTAAGGACACAGATGAAAAGAAAAAAAACCAATTCCTTAGAAAGCACAAACTACCAAAACTCATCCAGTAAGAAACAGATTAACTGAAACAGCCCTAACACTATCAAGAAAATTGAATCCATAATCTCAAAACTCCCAAGGGAAATCCTTGTGCCCAAATTATTTTACTGGAGAATCCTACCAAATGTTCAAAAATGAATCAATGCTGGGCACAGTGGCTCACACCTGTAATCCCAGCACTTAGAGAGGCAGAAGCAGGAGGATAGCTTGAGCTCAGGAGTTCAACACCTACCTGGACAACATAGTGAGACTCTGTTCTCCACAAAAAGGAAAAAAAAAATGAATTTATATCAATTCTACATAATTGCTTATAGAAATGTAAGAGAAGAGAACACTCCCCAAATCATTTTATTAGAAAAACAACAACAACTTGTTTTAAGAGATGGGGTCTCACTCTGTCAACTATCCTGGAGTGCAGTAGCACGATCACAGCTCACTATGGCCTGGAACTCCTGGGCTCAAGCAATGCTACCACCTCGTTCTCCCGAGTAGCTGGGATTACAGGCACAAGACACTGTGACCAGCTGCCAAATCACTTTATTAAACTACCTTTACCCTGATACCAAAACCAAAGACAGTATCAAGTAAGAAAACTAAGGACAAATATCCCTCATAAATATGAGACAAAAATCCTTAACAAAACATGAGCACTCAGAAGTCAACGATATATAAAAAGAATAGTACACCATGACCAAGTAGAATTCAGTCCAGGGCTGCAAAGCTGATATAATATTTGGAAATCAACTAATGCGCTCCATCATATTAACAGGCTAAAAAAAAATCACCCAATAATCATATAATCATATCAGTTGACACAGGAAAAGTATTTGGACAAAATTTAATACACATTAAATTCCTCAATTTGATACAGAGCATCTACAAAAAACCTACAGCTAACATACTTAATGGTGAAAGATTAAATGCTTTACGCTAAGATAGGGAACAAGGCAAGATTCTGCTCTCACTTTTTTTTTTTTTTTAAAAGAGACAGGGTCTCATTCTGTCACCTAGGCTGGAGTGCCATGCTGCCATCATAGTTCACTGCATACTTGATCTCCCAGGTTTAAGGGATCCTCCTGGGTAGCTGGGCCTACAGGTGCACACCACGATGCCAGGCTAATTTAAAAAAAAAAATTTTTTTTTTAGAGATGGGGTCTTGCTTTGTTGCCCAGGCTGGTCTCAAACTCTTGGCCTCAAGCCATCCTTCCGCCTCAGCCTCCTAAAGTGCTAGGATTACAGGCTTGAGCCCTCACCACTCTTACTGTACAAAGCAGTGGTGAATCAGTGAGTTCAGTCAGGTCACATGACATAAGATGAACATATGAAAAATAAACTGTATTTCTATATACTAGTAATGAACATATAGAAACCCAAACTAAAAACTTAATACTATTTAGAGTCACTGAAAAAAGAAGAAAAGACGAGGGAGTATAATATAAATCTAACAAAACATATACAGAACTTTTATGCTGGAAACTATAAAATACTACTGGTGAAAGAAAACATAGATCTAAATAAATGAAGAGACATTCCATGTTCATGGATTAGAAGACTCAATATAGTAAAAATGTCAATTCTTTCTAAATGCCATTAATGTAATTCCCATCAAAATTCTGGAAAGATTTTTTTGCAGACATAGACAACATAGACAAGATTATTCTAAAATTTATATGGAAAGTCAAAGGCACTTAAATACGGAAAAAGAAGAATAAGGTAGAAAGAAACAGTCTACACTCTTTCTTTCTCTCTCTTTCTTTCTTTGACACTGTCTTAGTCTGTCATCACAGCTCACTGCAGCCTCAACTCCCTGGGCTCAAGCAATCCTCCCACCTCCAGCCTCCCAAATAGCTGTGACCACAGGCACACACCATGCCCAGCTAGTTTTTTGTTTGTTTAATTTTTGTAGAGACAGGGTCTCATTATGTTGCCCAGGCTGGTCTTGAACTCCTGGCCTCAAGCGATCCTCCCGCTTTGGCCTCCCAAAGTGCTGGGATTACAGGTGTATGCCACCGCCCCTGGCCCACTATTTTAAGAGTTGTTACAGAGATATAGTAATTAAAACTATGTAGCACTGGAGGGAGAGGCACATAAATCAATGGAACAGGGAATCCAAAAATAGACTCACATAAACGTGCCAGCTAATATTTATTTGTTTTAAAGTACATTTGTTAATATTAGGGTCCATCCTTTATGTTGTATAGGTCTATGAGTTTGATAAATGCATAATGCCATGTATCTACTATTACAGTATCATACAGAATAGTTTCACTGCCTCAAATATCCCTAGTGCTCCACTTATTCATCCTTTCCCTGCTACTACTCCACAAACCTCTGGCAACCACTAGGTTTTTCTTCTTTTTTTTACTGTCTAAAGTTTTACCTTTTCCCAAATGTCATATACTTGGAATCATACAGTATGTAGCCTTTTTATACTGATTTCTTTCACTTAATATGCATTCAAAGTTCCTGCATGTCTTCTCATGGCTTGACAGCTCTTTTTAGCACCAAAAAATATCTCATTGTCTGGAAATACCACAGATTATTTACCCATTCGCCTACTGACAACTTGATAATATTGAGTCTTCCTATCCACGAACATGAAACATCTTTCCCCTTATTTAGGTCTTCTTTGATTTCTTTCATCAGAGTTTTATACTTTTCCTCACATACATCTTGTTTTTTTTTTTTTTTTTTTTTTTTTGAGACAGAGTCTCGCTGTTGCCCAGGCTGAAGCGCAATTGCGCAATCTCAGCTCACTGCAAGCTCTGCCTCCTGAGTTCATGCCATTCTCCTGCCTCAGCCTCCCGAGTAGCTGGGACTACAGGCGCCCGCCACCACCCCTGGCTAATTTTTTGTATTTTAATAGAGACGAGGTTTCACCATGTTAGCCAGGATGGTCTCGATATCCTGACCTCGTGATCCGCCCGCCTCAGCCTCCCAAAGTGCTGGGATTACAGGCGTGAGCCACCATGCCCAGCCAGATCTTGCATTTTTTTTTAAGAGTTATGTATATGTTTCTCTTTCTTTTTTTGGTGGGGAGAAGTCCTAATATAAATAGTGTTATTTTAAATTTCAAATTCCAGTTGTTCATTGCTGACATATAGGAAAGCAATTGACTTTCATATATTTACCTGCTTCCTTCAACCTTGCTATAATCCTGATTTTTTACAAAGGTACAAAAGCAATACAATGGAGAGAAAATAAAGTCTTTTGAACAAATGATACAACTAAATGTCCACGGCAAAAAATAATACAAGTAATAAACTTTGACTTAAACTTCACACCTTACACAAAAATGAACTCAAAATGAACCACAGATTAAATGTAAAGTTATAAAAGTTTTAGAAGAATAGAAAAAAATCTTCAGGATCAAGGGCTAAGAGTCCCTAGACTTGACACCAAAAACATAATCCATAAAAGGAAATTTTTTTTTTTTTTGAGATGGAGTTCTGCTCTGTCACCCAGGCTGCAGTGCAGCAGTGTGATCTCAGCTCACTGCAACCTCCGCCTCCCGGGTTCAAGTGATTCTCCTGCCTCAGCCTCCTGAGTAGCTGGAATTACAGGTGCCTGCCACCATGCCCGGCTAATTTTTGTATTTTTAGTAGAGACAGGGTTTCGCCATGTTGGCCAGGCTGGTCTCGAACTCCTGACCTCAAGTGATCCACATGCCTTGGCCTCCCAAAGTGTTGGGATTACAGGCGTGGGCCACCATGCCCAGCATCATAAAAAGAAATACTGTAAACTGGAGTTCGTCAAAATTACAAACTCTTGCTCTATTAAAGAACCTATTAATAGGATGAAAGGACAAGCTACAGACTGGGAGAAAATATTTGCAAACTAATTATCAAACAAAGGAACACTATTTATAATATACAAAGAACACTTAAAACACACACACACACACACACACACACACAAAACCCAAAAACCAAACAACGCAATTAGCAAATGGGCAAAAGACATGAAGAGACATCTCACCAAAAAGGATAGACAGATGGCAAATAAAAAGATGTTCAACATAACAGGCCACTAGGGAAAAACAAATTAAAACCACAATGAGATATCACAACACACCTATCAGAATGGCTAAAATAAAAAAAAATAGCAACACCACCAAACACTGATGAGAATGCAGAAAAACCGAATCACTTGTAAGTTGTTGGTGGAAATGTAAAATGGTACAGTGAACTGGAAAACAGATTCAGAGTGTCTTAAAAAACTAAACATACAACTAACAAATGACTTAGCAATTGCACTCCTGGGCATTCAGGAAAATTAAAACTGAACACATAAACCTCTTGAAAGCAGCTTTATTCATAATTCATATTCAGCTAAAAACTGGAAGTCATTCAGATGTCCTTCAGTGGGTGAACAGTTAAACTGTAGTGTACATTCATACCATGGAATACTACTCAACAATAAAAAAACATGCAATTGATAACACACAACAGCACCATGCAACTTAAAATCTCCAGAGAATTATGCTGAGTGAAAAGAGACAATCCCCCAAAGCTACATTATACTATTCCATCTATGTAACATTTACATTTTTGAAATGGTAAAATTATAGGAGAACAGATTAGTGGTTGGCAGGGATTAGGATGTTGATGGAGAGAGTAATACCAGATGGAAATGAGTATAGCTATAAAGTAACAATGGGATGGATTCTCGTGGTGATGTAAACATTTTGAATCTTAAATATATCAATGTCAATATCCTGGTTGTAATATTCTACTATAGTTTGAAGGTGTTATCATTGGGGGAAATTAGGTAAAGGGCATTTGGGATCTCTTTACATTATTTCTTAGGATTGCATATAAATTTATAATTATCTCAAAATAAAAAGTTTAATAAAAAACATATAATGCTTATAAAGATGAATAATATATAATATTCTTGCCCCTGGTGAGCCAATGAACTCACAGAGCAGTGGTGGGGAAGTCAGGCATTTAAATCAAAATCACAGCCGGGTGCTGTGGCTCATGTCTGTAATTCTAGCACTTTGGGAGGCTGAGGTGGGTGGACCACTTAAGCTCCGGAATTTGAAACCAGCCTCGCCAACATGGCGAAACCCAGTCCCCACTAAAAATACAAAAAATTAGCTGGGCACGGTGGTGTGTACCCATAGCCCCAGCTACTCGGGAGGCTGAGGCACGAGAATCACTTAAACTCAAGAGGTGGAGGTTGCAGTGAGCCAAGACTGGGCCACTGAACTCCAGCCTGGGAGACAAAGCAAGACTCTGTCTCAAAAAAAAAAAAAAAAAAAAAAATCACAATCACAATTAATTAATGATGATAGTAGCTACTAAAAGGTAGTACTATTATTATTATTATTTTATGGATGACCAAACTGAAGTATAGAGCTGTCTAGTGACTTCTTACAATTAGTAGCTAACAAGTGATATAAAAGTTATATACAATTATACAATGTATGGAGAGAACATAAAGATTGGAGTGACCAGTTTATATGCTGGGGCAGGGCAGCTGACACAAAGTCTCACTGAATAACTGAAACTTGACGGATACTAAGGAGTTGATCAGGTATTCTAAGCAGAAAGATCAAAAAATTTTAGAATTTTATAATAATAAATTATATAATAATATATAATTTTACAAACATTTTATAATTTTATAATAATTTCACTATGTATATATGTAATTGAATATCACTATATATTTATATATGTACTTGTATATGAAAACATCATGTTGTATACATTAAATTTATACAACAAAAAATAAGAAAAAAACATGCAAATTTCACTGATGTGCGGTGAGAAGATGCTACTCAAAGAGATGTCATTTATAATAGCTTCCCTGGCTCTCAATTTTCTCCCTCATAAAATAAGCAGTTAAAACTATTTTATCTCTGAAGTCCCGTCTAGTTCATACAGTCTATGATTCTATGCTGGTAGCATTGAAAGTTAAACAAATTACTGGGACACTGT
This sequence comes from Homo sapiens, assembly GCF_000001405.40. Lineage (NCBI taxonomy): Eukaryota > Metazoa > Chordata > Mammalia > Primates > Hominidae > Homo > Homo sapiens. The sequence goes on from NC_000001.11 coordinate 45,132,426, forward strand.
AGGCACAGTACTTTTCTCTATGCAATACTAGAATAAATCATGGGAAATGTGTCCCTGTGCCCTAAAAACAAGGATATAGCTACTGTCACTTATAAATTAAATAGCACTGTGATTCAAGTTAAAAAAGACTTAGGAGTTTGAGACATTGAACCACCATTTATAATGTGCCTACGGGAAAATAATTTTTTTTCTTTTTTTTTATTATACTTTAAGTTCTAGGGTACATGTGCACAACATGCAGGTTTGTTACATATGTATACATGTGCCATGTTGGTGTGCTGCACCCATTAACTCGTCATTTGCATTTGGTATATCTCCTAATGCTATCCCTCCCCACTCCCCGCACCCCACAACAGGCCCCAGTGTGTGATGTTCCCCTTCCTGTGTCCAAATGTTCTCATTGTTCAATTCCCACCTATAAGTGAGAACATGTGGTGTTTGGTTTTTTTGTCCTTGTGATAGTTTGCTGAGAATGATGGTTTCCAGCCTCATCCATGTCCCTACAAAGGACATGAACTCATCCTTTTTTATGGCTGCATAGTATTCCATGGTGTATATGTGCCACATTTTCTTAATCCAGTCTATCATTGATGGACATTTGGGTTGGTTCCAAGTCTTTGCTACTGTGAATAGTGCCACAATAAACATATGTGTGCATGTGTCTTTATAGCAGCATGATTTATAATCTTTTGGGTATATACCCAGTAATAGGATGGCTGGGTCAAATGGTATTTCTAGTTCTTGATCCTTGAGGAATCGCCACACTGTCTGCCACAATGGTTGAACTAGTTTACAGTCCCACCAACAGTGGAAAAGTGTTCCTGTTTCTCCACATCCTCTACAGCACCTGTTGTTTCCTGACTTTTTAATGATTGCCATTCTAACTGGTGTGAGATGGTTTCTCATTGTGGTTTTGATTTGCATTTCTCTGATGGCCAGTGATGATGAGCATTTTTTCATGTGTCTGTTGGCTGCATAAATGTCTTCTTTTGAGAAGTGTCCATTCATATCCTTTGCCCACTTTTTGATGGGGTTGTTTTTATCTTGTAAATTTGTTTGAGTTCTTTGTAGATTCTGGATATTAGCCCTTTGTCAGATGGGTAGATTGCAAAAATTTTCTCTCATTCTGTAGGTTGCCTGTTCACTCTGATGGTAGTTTCTTTTGCTGTGCAGAAGCTCTTTAGTTTAATTAGATCCCATTTGTCAATTTTGGGTTTTGTTGCCATTGCTTTTGGTGTTTTAGACATGAAGTCCTTGACCATGCCTATGTCCTGAATGGTATTGCCTAGGTTTTCTTCTAGGGTTTTTATGGTTTTGGGTCTAACATTTAAGTCTTTAATCCATCTTGAATTAGTTTTTGTATAAGGTGTAAGGAAGGGATCCAGTTTCAGCTTTCTACATATGGCTAGCCAGTTTTCCCAGCACCGTTTATTAAATAGGGAATCCTTTCCCCATTGCTTGTTTTTGTCAGGTTTGTCAAAGATCAGATGGTTGTAGATGTGTGGTATTATTTCCGAGGGCTCTGTTCTGTTCCATGGGTCTATATCTCTGTTTTGGTACCAGTACCATGCTGTTTTGGTTACTGTAGCCTTGTAGTATAGTTTGAAGTCAGGTAGCATGATGCCTCCAGCTTTGTTCTTTTGGCTTAGGATTGTCTTGGCGATGCGGGCTCTTTTTTGGTTCCATATGAACTTTAAAGTAGTTTTTTCCAATTCTGTGAAGAAAGTCACTGGTAGCTTGATGGTGATGGCATTGAATCTATAAATTACCTTGGGCAGTATGGCCATTTTCACGATACTGATTCTTCCTATCCATGAGCATTTTGCTTTTTGCCTAGAAGCAAAACTAGTGAAAATAAAAGTATAAAAATAAATACAATTTACATTAATATAAATAAATAACTTTTAAACTAAATATGGCATATAAAGCAATTGTTTAAAAACTATCCATACTCCAAATGTATTCTAAAATGTTTGCTAAAGAGAAAGGAAAAAGATGAGTCCTTTAAAAATGTTAGACTCAGGCTTGGAAAGGGCTGTAGGTCTTGAAGAGAAAAGTTAATGAATAATCTTTTGTGTCTGATGCCAGTTAGTTTTTATAACAGTTTCAAGGCTTCAAAGGACAGGAAGCTGTAGAGCAGAGTTCAAGAGAAAATTTCCATCCAGACTGGAAAAAGCAGCAGAGGGTAATCCCAGGAAAACAGTGCATATGTAAACAGAATCATTTCCTTCTTTTTGGTTTAGATTGGAAAAAAGCATGATGCTGAAAGATACTGGAAGGCAAGCAAAACCTGAGCTGGGAAGAAAAACAGAACAGAAATAGTCTCTAGCGGTCAGGTGCAGTGGCTCACACCTGTAATGGCCAGCCACTTCTATGTGAGATACTTCATATGAATAGAATCATACAATATTTGTCAATTAGTGGCTGGCTATTTCGCTTAGCACAATGTCCTCAAGGCTCATCCATGTTGTAGCATATGAAAGGATTTCTTTCTTTTTAAAGCCTGCATTACACATCATTGTATGTATATAACACCTTTCCTCTATCTATTCATTCATCAGTGGACATTTGGGTTGTGTCCACCTCTTGTCTATTGTGAATAATGCTACAATGAACATGGGATTATTTTTAAATTCTGCTTTGAATTCTTTTGGATATATACTCAGAAATGGGATTGCTAGATCATACGGTAATTCTGTTTTTTTTTTTTTTTGAGGAACCTTCATACTGTTTCCATAATGTAAAAATACCATTTTACATTCCCACTCACAGTGCATGTGGGTTCCAATTTTTCTGCATCAGTCATAGAAACAGAAAGCAGAAAAGGGGTTGCTAAGGGATGAGGTAGGGAGGAGAGGAAATTAGTGTTTAATGGGTATGGAGTTTCTGTTTTGCAAGATGAAAAAGTTCTAGAGAACTGCTGCATAACAATGTGAATATACTTAACACTACTGAACTTAAAAATGGTTAAGATGATAAACTTAATGTTATGTGTTTTGTCTTAAAAAACAGATTATGTCACACTGAAATCTTCTAATGGTTTAGCTTTATATAAACAACTGACTGCAATTATTGGTCAAATCTTAGACTTCGTTATCTATGCTTATGGAATGTCTTAACAGCTTGAACTGTGTGATTTACAGCCTCCAATTATACTCTGACATTTCTTGATTACTTCTGAAAAAGTCTTTCATTTTCAAAGAGACACATGTCTACTAAGAATTAAGATTAGTGAATTTAATAATCCTGATAAGAAAACTGAAGACTATAAGCCATTTTTTTTCTTTGACTTTTAATCTTCCATTATCAGAACAAACCAATTCTCATTGTCCATTGGACACATCTACTCCTCCCATTCACCTACTTCCTAATGGTAGAAAATTTTCAGGATTTTTTAGTTGTACAGCTGTCCAACTTGGAGGGACTTCTCAATGTGTGAAGTCTTTTTTTTTTGAGATGGTGTCTCACTCTGTCACCCAGGCTGGAGTGCAGTGGTGTGATCTAGGCTCACTGCAACCTCTACCTCCCAGACTCAAGTGATCCTCTCACCTCAGTCTCCCAAGTAGCTAGGACCACAGGCATGCACCATCACGCCTGGCTAATTTTTCTATTTTTGGTAGCGATGGAGTTTCGCCATGTTGCCCAGGCTGGTCTCGAACTCCTGAGCTCAAGGGATCCACCTGCCTCAGCCTCCCAAAGTGCTAGGATTACAGGCGTGAGCCACTGTGCCCAGCCTCAATGTGTGAAGTCTTGGTAGGGCTTTTTATTATTTAGAAAACCTTGAAATATTGAAGTTCACAACAGGTCATAAAAAACTAACACTTCCTTTCAGCCAGCTACATTAATCTTAAATCCATAATTTATTTCATATATTAAACAATACATCAAATTCATAATATATAAAATATAATTTATCATGGTTACAAAATTTCATAGCGAAAATAAAAGCAACTGGGATTACAAGTGTGAGCCACCGCATCCGGCCCATTTGGGTTTTCTTTAACTTTTTATCCCTTTTTTTTGCTCCTACTACAGACATGGAAGGTCTTCTTTAATGACGTTAACGTATACATCTGATAAGTACAATATCAGGATTTCCTGGGCCTGTTTCTCTTGTCTTTTTTTGTTTTCCCTCTTGGTGTTTAGTCAAATCTTGTCAGTTTGCATAACTGGTTATTTTTTACTGAGTTTCAGTTATTGTATATGGAAAACTGTAGAAATAACCTGAGGCTCTGGAACACGTTACCTTCCTCCAAAAATTTACTCTTCTTATTTGACAGGCAATTAAGCTAAAGGAAGATTGCTTTAAGCAGGATCGAGATGATAAAAATTAGGTTTCAGCCCTTGTGAATACTAGTCTATTTTTGGCTCACCCCTACTCCTAGGGTATATATAATTCTTCAGGGTTCCAATAAAAAGCCTGGGGTGTTTACCAGGGGCTCTCCTCCTTAGCAGCTCTCCACATTTTGCCCTTCTAGCCCCATAAGACTGCTGAAAGCCCTATTCAGTTTCTCAGCCTCTTATCCTTGCTAATTTTGTAAACAGCAATCACCTTGAGTGGTCCTAAATGTTGGGCTCACCTCTCTTAGCTTCTCCCTTCTACCAGATCTTACCCTCACAAATTCTCATTGCCTTGGTACTTTCTGATGCCTTCAGATTTTTTTATTTTTTAGACACAGAGTCTCACTGTGTCGGCCAGGCTAGAGGGCAAAGGTGCAATCATAGCTCATTGAGGCCAAGTGATCCTCCTGCCTCAGCCTCCCAAGTAGCTGGAACTCCAAGCACACACCACCATGCCCAGCTAATTTTTTTAGGGTCTTGCTATGTTGCCCAGGCTAGTTTTGAACTCCTGGCTTCAAGTGATCCTCCTGCCGTGGCCTCCCAAAGCATTGGGATTGCAGGCATAAGCCACAGCATCTAATCCAAACAGATTTTTAAAAATATTTATCTAGCCCTTGTGGACCTTCTATTTTAGAAGAAAGGCAATAAACAAAAAATAAGTAAATTGCAGTATATTAGAAGACAACTGCTATAGAAAAAAAAAGTAGATCAAGGTTGGGTATAAAGGGCTAGAAGGTAAATTGTAAATTTAAATATGGTGGACAGGGTAGGCCTGCCTCACAAGAAGGTAAAAACTCAGCAAAAACTTGAAGAAGATGAGGGATTTGCCCATGTGAATATCTGAGTCAAAAACTTTACAAGCTGAGGCAATAGACAATATAAAGATCCAAAGACAGGAACATGCCTGGCATGTTCAAAGAATAGCAAGGAGGACATTATGATTGGTGCAGGATGAGCTAGTGGGACAGTAAAAGAGAAGTTAGAGCAGTAACACAGGGAAGGGTGACAGATTAGTTGGAGTCTTGTAAACTATTGTATGGAATTTGGCTTTCACTCTAAGTGAAATGAGGAACTTTTGCAGCATTCTAAGCAGACTACTATCATCCTGGCTGCTGTGTTGAGAACATACTATACTGAGGCAAGGGTAGGAACAAGGAGGCCAGTTACATGGCTACTGTAAAGAATTCACGGGAGAGATCACATTGGCCTGAATTAGGGTGATAACGGTGGAAAGGGTTGGAAGCAGTTCCTCCAATACTGGGGTTTACTTTCTTACCAATCTCATTTCTATGAAACTGCCTAAATATGTATCTCCATAAATAGAAAACATGCACAAGTGACCCCTAACAACATGGGATTGAACAACATGGGTCAACTTATACAAGGATTTTTTTTTCAACCAAATGTAAATAGAAAATACAGTATTGATGAAAATTTTTTAAAAATGAAAAGAAAGGCTGGGCACGGTGGCTCACACCTGTAATCCCAGCACTTTGGGAGGCCGAGGCAGGTGGATCACTTGAGGTCAGGAGTTCGAGACCAGCCTGGCCAACATGGCAAAATCCCCATGTCTACTAAAAATACAAAAATTAGCCGGGTATGGTGGTGTGTGCCTGTAGACCCAGCTACTCCGGAGGCTGAGGCAGGAGAATCGCCTGAACCCAGGAGAAGGAGGTTGCAGTGAGCCAAGACCACGCCATTGCACTCCAGCCTGGGAGACAAGAGTGAAACTCCATCTCAAAAAAAAAAAAAAAAAAAGAAAGGAAGAAAAACAAAATAGAGTATTCATGAGATTTGCAACCCACACATATGGAGGGTCAACTTTTCAAATAAGCAGGTTCCGCAGGGCTGACTATGGGACATGAGGATACAGGCTTCATTATACAGGCATGATTAATTAAATCATTGGCCACTGGTGATTAGCTCAAAATGCAGCCCCTCTCCCCTCCCCAGGGGAGATCAGGGGGTCAGGTAGAGTGAAGGTTCCAACCCACTAATCTCATGAGTGATTCTCCTGGCAACCAGCTCCTATCCTCACTAACATTAACTCACGTGTGGATGACAAGGACTTATGAAAAGCTGAAATAATTCATCAATAGTAGAAATTTCGTTTTTCTTTTTCTTTTTCTTTTTTTTTTTTTTTGAGACCGAGTCTTGCTCTATTGCCCAGGCTGGAGTGCAATGGAGTGATCTCAGCTCACTGCAACCTCCGCCTCCTGGGTTTAAGTGATTTTCCAGCCTCGTAGCTGGGATTACAGGCACCTGCCACCATGCCCGGCTAATTTTTGTATTTTTAGTAGAGACGGGGGTTCACCACACTGGCCAGGCTGGTCTCAAAATCCTGACCTCAAATGGTCCGCCTGCCTCGGCCTCCCAAAGTGCTGAGATTACAGGTGTGAGCCACCACACCGGCCCTTTTTTCCGTTTTTTAAGAGACAACAGTCTCACTCTGTTACCCAGGCTGTGGTGCCATGGCACAATCACAGTACATAGCAGCCTTGACCTCTGGGCTCAAGTGATCTTCCCACCTCAGCCTCCTTACTAGCTGGGACTACAGACGCCTGCTACCATGGTGGCTAATTTCTCTTTCTTTTCTTTTCTTTTTTTTTCTCTCTCTCTCTCCTCCTCCCTCCCTCTCTCTCTCTCTCTGCCCCTCTCCCTCTCTCCTTCCCTCCTCTCTCCCTCCCCTCTCCCTCCCTCTCTCTCTCTTTTTTTTTTTTTTTTGTAGAGACAGTCTCAAGCAATCTTCCCACCCAAAGTGCTGGGATTATGGTATGAGCCACCATGCCTGGCTTCAAACTCCTGGGCTCAGGCAATCCTCCCTCCTGTTTGAGCCTCCTGAGTAGCTGAGACTACAGGTATATGCCACCATGCCCAGCTAATTTTTTCTTTTCTTTTTCTTTTCTTTCCTTCTTTTGCTTTCTTCGATTTTTTTTTTTTTTTTTTTTTTTTGGTAGAGACAGGGTCTTGCTTTGTTGCCCAGGCTGGTCTCAAACTCCTGAACTCAAGTGATCCTCCCACCTCAGCCTCCCAAAATTCTAGGATTACAGGTGTGAGACATCCTGCCCAGCAACAGCAAAAATTTTAAATGAAGTCCTTCAGGCAGAAGGAAATAATACCAAATGAAAAATATGAATTTGCACATAAAAATGAAGAACACTGGAAACAGTAGCAATGTAGATAAATTCAAATGACTTCATTTATTATTTAAATCTCCTGAAAATACAACTATTAAAAGAAAAACAATAACAATGTATTTTAAGGTTTACATTTTGTATAAAAGTAAAATGTGTGAAAACATTAGCACAAAGGCTGGTAGAGGAGAATGGAAGTGTGCTGTGATAAGGTACTAATACTATTAGTGAAATAGTACAATATCACTTGAAAGTAGACGGTGCTAAAGGTACAACCAAAGGTTGGCAAACTACAGCCTGCAGGCCAGATCTGACCTGCCACCTGTTTCTGTGAATAAAGTTTTATTGGGATACAGCCACAGTTATTCATTTATCTATTGTCTATGGCTGCTTTTGTGCAACAATGGCAGAATTGTAGTTCCAACAGATAGTGTGATCTACAAAACCTAAAATATTTAGGCTATCTGAACATTTATAGAAAAAGTTTGCTGACCTCTGGTATATACTATACACTCTCAAATATGCACAAAAAGATACAGCTAATATGCCAACAAAGGAGATAAAATGGAATCACAAAAGATAATAAAAAAGGAGGCAGAAAAATAAGAAGAGAACAAAGAACAGATGACAAACAGGCAACAAATAGCAAGATGGTAGATTTAAACACAACCATATCAACAACCATGTTAAATGTAAGCAGCCTAAACAGCCCAATAAAAAAGGCAGAAATTATTACATTGGATAAAAAAGCAAGATCTGATCATACACTGCCTACAACAAACCCACTTAAAATATAAAGACATAAATAGGTTAAAAAGATTAAGCTTCTAGAGATGGATAAGATGGAGTAAGCACACTTTACTCTCTCCCACTGAAGGCAGCTTTCAAACTTGGAAAGAATGTATGCAGTAGTATTTGAAGATGCTGAAAAGTCATTAGTAGCAGACAGACTGGGAAAGGAGACCAGAATTTGAAGTACCACTGAACCAGCAGTGAGTTTATCCTTTTTTTTTCCCTCTAGTATACCCAGACTGAATTCAACACATTCAAAAGCCCAGTAGTGAGTATTGGGGTGCATACAGAGAAAGATCCAGGAAAAGCCTCTCAAAGGGTGGGAAAAAGAACTCCTAATACTCAGAGAGAGTGTGAAAAATCCCCCATTTTTTCCACTTTCTTTTCTCCATTTACTCATACCCCAACCTCCGGGCAATCCTGTCGTGATGGCAGTGAAAGCAGCAGCAGCTGCAGCACCAGTAGCAACGGGAATCATCAGAAGTCAAAATTCTGAAAAAGGGAGACTTTCCTCTCTTTTGGTAGAGCAGTAGTTCTAAGAGGATGAGACCAATTCTCACTCTGTCTTTTTCTGTTTTCCTGCTGCTTGGACCTAGATATGCAAGTATACATCAGAAAGGGGTAACTGTTCTAAGTTTCTGGTGAGAGAACAGAAAAGGGAAGCCTCAGGGAACCAGAAAGTACTAGGGAGATCACAGAGATGAAGAACTCAGGAGAGCAAGCCCATAAACTGGTTTATGAACTCCTGGCCCCAGCCCAAGTAGAGAACATGTAGATCTGTCCAATTCAGCATATAATAAACAGAAGTGACATTCATTGGAATTATAGGCCATAGCAGCCAGGTTGAAACTTGGGGTCTGAACCCAACCAGATAGACTGCCTACTAAAACAACAACTATCAACATAATCCGTAAGATTTATCAAAAACCAGCTGACTACAAAAACCTCACTTCAAATACAATGATATAGGTAGACTAAAACGATTAAAAGTTTAAACATGGAAAATATATTACCATGTAAACACTAATCAAAATAAAACTGGAATGGTTATAGTAGTATGAGACAAAGTAGACCTTGAACACGCACACAAAAAACAACACAGATAAAAAAGAATATCATGTAATAATAAAAGGGTCTGGCAGTAATCCCACGGTGGCTGGGATTACAGGCATGAGCCACTGTGGAATTACTAGCTGACCCTTTTATTATGACATAATATTCTTCTTTATCTGCATTGTTTTTTGTGTGTTCAAAGTCTGCTTTGTCTTATATTACTATATGAGAGGTGGGTGTATTGTTTGAGCCTAGCAGTTCTAAGCCAGCCAAGGCAACATGGTGAAACTTCATCTCTACAAAAACATGCAAAAATTAGCCAGCCATGGTTGTGCATGTCTGTGGTCCTAGCTACTCAGGAGAACAAGGTGAGAGGATCACTTGAGCCCAGGGAAGCTGAGGCTGCAGTGAGCCGAGATCACACCACTGCACTCCAGCCTAGGTGACAAAGTGAGGCCCTGTCTCAAAAAAATTAATAAATAAAAAGAATTATTAGAGATAACTACACATACAAATTGGACAACTTTAATGAAATCAACTAATTTCTCACAAACTCAAACTACCAACATTCACCAAAGATTAAACAGATATCTGAATAGTCTTTTTGTTTTTTGTTGTTATTTTGAGTTAAGGTCTTACTCTGTCACCCAGGCTAGAGTACAGTGGCACAATCATGGCTCACTGCAGTCTTGACCTCCCAGGCTCAGAAGATCCTCCCACCTTGGTCTCCCTAGTAGCTTGGACCACAGGTACATGCCACCATGCCTGGCTAATTTTTTGTATTTTTTGTAGAGATGGAGTTTTGCCACATTGCCCAGGCTGGTCTCAAACTCCTGGACTCAAGCAACTGGGATTACAGGTATGAGCCATGGTGCCTGGCCAATAGTTGTATATTTACAAGAGAAATTGAATAGGTGGCCAAAAACTTTCTGAAAAATAAATCTCCAGTGACAGATGGTTTCACAGGCAAATTCTTCCAAATATTTAAAAAAGAAATAATACCAATTTTATAAAATTTCATTCAGAAAAAAGAAAGAGGAATACTTCTAAACTCGTTTCATGATCCCAACACTGTTCTGTACTAAAGCCAGACAACAACAGTATTTAAAAAAAAAAGAAAACACAAGGAAGAAAACTATAGACTGCTGGACATGGTGGCTCATACCTATAATCCCAGCACTTTGGGAGGCCGAGGTGAGCGGGTCACACGAGCCCAGGAGTTTGAGACTAGCCTGGGCAACATGGTGAAACCCTGTCTCTACCAAAAAAAAAAAAAAAAATTAGCTGGGTGTGGTGCATGCCTATGGTCCCAGCTACTCAGGAGGCTGAAGTGGGAGGATCGCTTACACCTGGGAGGCAGAGGTTGCAGTGAGCTGAGATTGTGCTACTGCACTCCAGCCTGGGCGACAGAGTGAGACTCTGTCTCAAAAAAAAAAAAAAAAAAAGAAGAAGAAAAGAAAACACAGACCAATATTTTTCATGAACATAGACACAAAAACTCTCAACAAAATATTAGCATACCAAGTCCAGAAACATATACAAAGAATAATATACCACAACAAAGTGGGCTTTCTTCTGTGAATGCAAAGCTGTTTCAATATTTGAAAAGTAATTTATGTAATCCACCATATTAACAGTCTAAAGAATAAAAAACATGATCATACAATTTGACACAGAAGAAAGCATTTGACAAAATACAACAACTGTTCATGACTAAAAACAACAGCAACAACAAAACTCTTAGCAAACCTGGAATAGAAGTAAATTTCTTCAACCTGGTAAAGGGTATCTACAAAAATCCTCCATCTAACAAAATACTAAATGGTGAAAGACTCAATGCCTCCTTTCTAATATCGGGAATAAGGCAATGATGTACACTCTCCCCATTCCTATTGAACACTGTACTGAAAATCTTAGCTGGTGCAACACAAGAAGAAAATGTAATAAAAATATACAGATTGGAAAGGAAGATATAAAACTATCCTTATTCAAAGATAACATGATTGTCTACCTAGAAACTCCCAAGGAATTTACAAAAAAGTGCAGTTAGCAAGGACTCAGTTACAAGATCATCATAAAAAAACCAAACATATTTCTTTATGCTAGCAATATACAAATACAAACATAAATTAAAAAAAAAAACAATTATAATAACTTCAAAAAAGTAAAATATTTAGGTATAAGTCTAACAAAACATGTAGGCATCTATAGACTGAAAACTATAAAACAGTGATGAAAGAAATCCAGGAAGACCTAAATAAATAGAGAGATATACTGTGTTCACAGATTGAAGACTCAATATAGTGAAGATTTCAATTTTCCTAAACTTGATATATAGGTTTAATGCAATATCAGTCAAAATCTCAGATATTTTAAAATATAGACAAGCTAATTTTAAAATTTATACAGAAAGCCAAAGGAACTGGAAGAGCTAAAATAATTCTGAAAGGGAAGAATAAAGTTAGAGGAATCAAATGAACTTTAAGAAATACTATAAAGCAGCCAGGCATGGTGGTTCAAGCCTGTAATCCCAGCACTTTGGGAGGCTGAGGCAGGAGGATCATTTGAGGCCAGGAGTTCGAGACCAGCAAGGTCAGTATCACGAGATCTTGTCTCTAGAAAAAAAAAAAAAGAAAAAATTGCCAGCCATGATGGTGCACAACTGTTGTGTCCCAGCTCCTTGGGAGGTTGAGACAGGAGGTTTGCTTGAGCCCAGGAGTTTGAGGCTGCAAGTGAGCTATGATCGTGCTACTGGACTCTAGGCTGGACAACAGCGTGAGACCCTGTCTCCACACAAATATGGCCAATCGATTTTGCAAAAGAAATAAAATCAATTCAATGAAGCGAGGACAGTCTTTTCAATATATAGGACTGGACACTGAACACTAAACATTGAACATCAATAAGCAAAATGAATAAACAAACCTCAATCTAAACCTCACATTTTGTACAAAAATGTTTAAACTGTTTAGAATAAAACACAGCAGGATATCTTTGTGACCTGGGATTAGGCAAAGAGTTTTTATACATGTAACCAAAAGCAGACTCCATAAAAGAAGAAACTGGTAAGTTGGATTTCATTAACATTAAAAACTCTTGCTCTGACAAAGACACTATTAAAATATTGAAGAAACAAGCCACAGACTGGGAGAAAATATTTGCAAGACACATATCCAATAAAGGACTTGCATCTAGGATAGAAAACGAACTCTAAAAACTCAAAATAAGAATATGAACAAGTCAATTTAAAAATAGGCAAAAGATGTGGGTACTACTCTGAAGAGAATATACAAATGGCAAATAAGTACATGAAAAAATGTTCAGCATCATTAGCTCTTAGAAAAACGCAAATTAAAATCATTATGAAATATTACTACATACCAGTGAAAATGAGTAAAATAAAAAATATTGACAATACCAAGTGCTGATGAAGATGCAGAACCAGAACTCTCATGCTTTGCTGGCGTGAATACAAAATGGTACAGGCGCTCTGGAAAAGCATTTGTCAGTTTCTTAAGTTAAATATACACTTACTTACCATATTACCCAGCAATCCCACTCCTGGGATTTCTCCCTAGAGAAATGAAAAGTTACGTTAACAAAAAAAAAAAAAAACTGGTTATCAACATTTATAGCAGCTCCATTCATAACTGCCAAAAATTAGAAACAACCCAAATATCCTTTAACAGGATAAACAATTTGTAGTACATTTATATAACAGAATACTACCCAGCAAAAAGAAAGAATAAACTATAGATACAGGCAACAACTTAGAGGAATATATCAAAGCCATTATGCTGAGTAAAAAAAGCCATCTAGAAAGGTAACACACTATATATTTCCATTTATATAACATTCTTAAAAAAAAACCAAAACTATAATGATGGAGAACAGATCAGTGGCTGCCAAGTGTTAAGAGTGTAACTACAATGGGAGGGAGTTTTTTGGGGTGATGGAACTGTTCATATCCTGGCTATGGTATAGCTTACTTAAGTTTATACATCTGTTAAAATTCACAGAACTGTACATCAAAAGAAAAAAGTCACTTTTATTGTGTGATATTTTTAAAAATACTATCTATTTTTAGATTTCAAGGAAAAAAGAGAACAGGAAGAACAAGCAAAGGAGACTGAGATGGAGCTGCTAACAAGGTAGGAGAAAAACTAGGAGAGTGTGGTACCCTAAAAGCCTCATGAAGAAAATGAATCAAGGATGACAGTGATCAACTATACCAAAAACTGCTGATATTCAAGTAAGAAAAGGACTGAGAAGTGACAACTGGCAATGCAGAGGTGGCTCTGATGAGAATGGATCTGGCATAGTAAACACTTGTTGGAACAGATTTAAGAGAAAATGGGAGGACAGAAATTGGAGTTAACAAGTATAGATAACTCTTGAAATATTGCTACAAAAGACAGTAAAGAGATAGGACAATAGCTGGTAGAATTAAGAGAATATTTTTTACTAAGAAATAAAAGTATGTTTTTATGCTAATGGGAATATCCAATAGAGAATAAAAAGCTGATGATGTAGTCCAGCTTTTTTCAGCACTTATAACTATTCGTTTATACAGATACCTACCATGTTGTAACCATAGTCTGAAAACAAAAGCAAATATCATGTCATCAAAAACTTAACTGATTTGAAAAAAAAAAAAGTATAAAATACAAGTATCTGTTTCTAGACTTTTTTTTTTTTTTTTTTTTTTTTTTTTGAGACAGAGTCTTGCTCTCACCCAGGCTGGAGTGCAGTGGTGCAATCTTGGCTCACTGCAACCTCCGCTTCCCCGGTTCAAGCAATTCTCGTGCCTCAGCCTCCTGAGTAGCTGGGATTACAGGTGTACATTACCACGCCTGGCTAATTTTTGTATTTTTAGTAGAGACAGGGTTTCACCATGTTGGCCAGGCTGGTCTCGAACTCCTGGCCTCAAGTGATCCACCCGCCTCAGCCTTCCAAAGTTGTTTCCAGACTTTATAGACTACACACACACACACAATTGTATACGTACGTACTCATATTGACTATAAGCTCCATTGGCCAGCTCTATAAATCAACTTACTTTCCTATGAATATGCTTTATAGTACAGTCAAAGTAACTCCCTGATTACCCAGTCCACTCCTGACTCACCACATGACCATCCTTGGTCCTACATTACCCACATTTCTGTTATTAACTGTGAATCTAACTGAATTCTAAGTTTTCAAGGCTGAGAAATACAGTTCTGTTATTATAAATGCTCTATGGTTTCCCCACGTCCCAATGGACAAAAATGATATGTTCTGAATAACAAGTGACATCATCTTTAATAAAAGAAAAGATTAGCATTATCAACTTTTTTTTTTTTTTTAAACAGGGTCTCACTCTGTTGCCCAGGCTGGAGTGCGGTGGTACAATATTGGCTCACTGCAACCTCTGCCTCTCAGGCTCAGGAGAACTCCTGACTCAGCTTCCTGAGTAGCTGGGACCAACAGGCATTCACCATCATGCCCGGCTAGCACTATCAACTTTTAAAAGGGCTAAACATTATACCTAAAAATCTAAATTCTGAAAGTGGGAAATTCTAAATCAAAACATGGCTAAACTTCTACGTAGATACTAATTTAAATAAAATGTCATACTAATTCAAGAGACAATTTTCTATAAAATTCCCTCCAATTACCACAAAGGAAAAGAGATAGACAGACAGATATGTTTATCAACTTGCAGCTTCACTTGTAAATGTAGAATTACCATATAGAAAACGTTTTCTGCTTTGCAGAACACAACTGTACATTCAAATACAGTTCTAAGAAAGATCTCTTAATCTGTTCCATTGTTAGTTAAGTGGTTTACACATGCAAAAAAAAAAAAAAAAAAAAGGAAGAAACCAGTTGGACATATATAATATGGAAAGGAAAAAATGGGGATAGGAGAAATAATCTCAACATTTCTTATTTTTCCCCTTTCTAAAAATCCCTTCTTCTTACTCTTCCCTTTTCTCATCACCCACACCCCCAAAAAACACAAGATCCATGCCAAACCCCACAAAAGCCCTTAGGCCTCTCTCAAGCATGCAAATGTAATTTTCTACCCAGACAACACACTTCCTTTTTAATGAACTCCAAAAACAATCTGTGAATGCCCACAGAAAAGAGGAAAATTGCAATAAAAAAAATAAAAACAGAGAGATGTGGGGGAGGGTCAAGATGGATATGGCAAATCCAGAGTTTAAATAGACATAAAAGATAATGAAGGTGAAGGGATTGTAATCAAACAAAGTGGTTTGCAGTCTGTCATTTCATACAAATGAGACTCAGAGAAATATATGAATATTCACTTAAATCAAAATCATTCATTACAGGAGTGGTCCTTCAAGTGAAAGGATCTCTGTCAAGGCCCAATGTGGCTGTCATTCTTTGTTTCATTTTGTAATTTAAAAACACAAAAAAATTGTATATGGATAAAAAGAGAAAAAATAATGTTACATATGCACAAACCCATAAAGCCATCAAGAGAGGGAACACATTTATTCATGATATAACCAAATACTACATCAAAATTAGGCCTTCAAAGAGTGTTCATAAATGATGAGACACTTCAATCACATGATTCAGGATCCCTCCAGATGCACATTATGATTCAGATTTGAACACTAAATAAAGTAGGCCAAAGGGTAGGGTGGGAGGACTTGAAGAAAAACACAATGCAAAAAAGGTCATCAAAATGAAAACTGTCTTCTTGCCACACAATTTGAAGAGAAGTTTCATTGAAAAAAAAAAAAGCTGTAAACCAATTTAGGCTGAAATAATTGCTACATTTTATAATCTAACCTCTTAATAGTGAATAGAATTCTTCTCCCTGCTTAAGGATCAAATTGGTTGGGCTCTACACTTGTCTGGCACCATGCTGTGGGCTATTTCTTTTAATGTATAACCAATCAAAGATGTATTCAGGCTTTTGTGAGATCCAAAGCTTTGTAACTAACTGCATATTCTAGAGCATCATGAAGTTTCTCTAAAAGGAGCAGACAAAGCTATACACAGTGATAGCCTCCCTCGGATAGCTAATATTCATTCCTCAAAGGTAGACACTGAACCCTTTATAATATACCAAATACAGACACTTTTTCTTATAGTGCTTGTCCTATAATATTCATACTAATTTTTTTCTTCCTTCAATTTGTATCAACACACCATAAGATCACAGCTGCTTAAGGGAATAACAACAACAAAACTCTTCAAAATACATATTAATAATTGTGGCTGGGCATGGTGGCCCATGCCTTGTAAGCCCAGCACTTTAGAAAGCCAAGACGCAAGGACTTCTTGAGGCCAGGAGTTTGAGACCAGCCTGGGCAATATAGTAAGACTCCACCTCTACAATTTTTTTTTTTTTAATTAGCAGGGCATGGTGGCACATCTATAGTCCTAACTGATACTAAAGCAGGAGGGCTGCTTGAGTCTAGGAGTTTGAGGCTGCAGTGGGCTAGGATCGTACCACATCACGCTAGCCTGGTCAACAGAGCAAGACCTTGTCTCTAAAACTAAAAGAAAAACAAAAACATGATTGTCACATGTACAAACACAGTAAAATAATCTACCAATAGTAAGTACTAACTGAAAATCATACTACGTTTTCAGGCTTCATGATAAATGTCATCAACTGAATATACAATTTAGCACAAATCTTTATGGAATGATTATGCTCATATAAGGCATACATAAACACTATACCATTGTTAAATTTATAACTGATGGATGAAAGTAATTTCACATATTGGCATACATGTTACAAAGCACTATCAAGGGACTGATTTATAGCTTTTTAAAACCTTCCTAACAAAATACATTAAGGTAACCAAATCAAATCATGGAGATAAGGATGAAAGAACATACATAACTGTAGTATATGAGTTAAATCTTGCTTTCATTTATCTATAACAGGCTCATTACCCATTGCATCCACATGGAAGTACAGAACACAGAGTTAAATATTTGTTTATATTAAAACATAACATCTATCTTCATAATAAATCTATTTCAAGTTTATCACATTCTTTATAAAACAATACTTTGTTCATTTTTCCCTATAAATTACGTTGAAACAAAAATTAATCCATTAACTTTTAAACTACCATATAAAAGGGACAAGAAGGAACATATACTCTGGGCATGGTGGCTCACACCTATAACTCCAGCTTTGGGAGGCCAAAGTGGAAGGACCACTTGAGGCCAGGGTTCAAAGATCAGCCCAGGAAACATAGCAAGACCACATCTCTACAAAAAAATTTAAATATTAGCAGGGCATGGTGGTGTACACCTGTAGTCCTAGCTACTCAGGAGGCTAAGGCAGGAGGACTGTTTGAGCCCAGGAGTTCGAGGCTGCAATGAGCTCTGATCACACTACTGCATTCCAGCCTGGGTAACAAAGTGAGACTCTATCTCTTAAAAAAAAAAAAAAAAAAAAGAAAAAGAAAAGAAAAAAAGAAGATACATGAATAGGCAATAACCATTTTGAAAACATAGTTACATCAATCATTAAGAAAATGCAAATAACCACATTGAGATACCATTTCACATCCACTAGGATGGCTGTAATAAAAACACCAGAAACTATGAAGTATTGACGAGCATCAGGAGAAACAGGAACCCTTGTAACATTGCTAGTAGTATGTAAAATGGTGCAGGTGCTGTGGAAAACAGTTTGCCAGTTCCTTAAAAAGTTGAACACAATTACCATATGACCGAGCATGCTGAGTTTGAGGCAGAAGAAAGGCATCCAAATAGAGATGTTCATTTGCTTAGAATGCATTTACTACGATTTCTGCTCGTTGAAATTTTATCTTTCCTCTATCCACCTTCCAGCTCCCCTTTCTGCCCCTATACCCTTAACTCTTTGCAATTATTCTTTCCTTCTGTGATCCTTTAGCACATTTACATTTCTACTATTACTCTTATTACATTGTTTTATATCATAATTATTTTTCTACATGTTTGTCTTGTCGACCAGATAGTGAGTTTCTTGAGAGCAGCGAGAAAATGAAGTCTGGTATATTACTTTCATTTATCCCACAAGATCTTGCCCATGATCAGTACTTAATAAATCTATCAACAATAATCCAGGGAAAGACCCAGACCTTTATGTGACCTAGATAACATCACCTAAACTTCCACATTGCCATTTGCAAGATGAACAGAAGGAACCCAGGATTCTCTGTAATTCCAGCATGACTCCTGATCTTCCCCTTGCTCAACATTCACGGCTTCACTATGCCTTGAGACTTTCAGAACTAATTTCATAATGTCTTCTATGCCCTGTCACTCCAAGGAGTCCAGAGCTTCCAGGTCATCCCTCAGTGCCCAGGTTCTAATCCACATATGTCTCTATGGACAATGAGACAAATTCTCCATATGCCTCAGCACTACTTATTTCCCCCACTTCTCTGCCTTATTTTTCACCATAGTATTTACTACCATCTGATTATTGAGTTAATATATATATACTTAAAAGTTATATATTTATATATACTTAAAAATGGTCTATGTCAACCTTTAAGTATAAGTTCCATGAGGGCTGAGATAAAAGTCTGTTTTATTCACTGTGGTAACTCCAGAACCTACAATAATACCTGGTTCATGGTATGGCTTGATGGATGTTTGCAAAATAAATAAATGAATATATATTTCATTTGTTAATTTAGCCAACAAATATTAAGTGCCTATAATATACCCCTAGGATACATTAATGAAGAAGAAAGGCACATTTTCTATAATTATGAAGGATTATAAGGAAAGAGAAGACATTAAACATTACATAATTGCATATAATTATTATATATAATTATGACAAATGTTCTCAAGGAAAGTATAGGACATATAACAGGGATACCTAACCTAGTGGGATTAGGAAGGCCCGACAAAATACACTGAAGCAAAAACTGAAGGATAAGCAGGAATTAGGTAAGCAAAGAAGGGTAAAAAAGACAAGACAAAAAGAATGTGCCAAGACTCGAAAAAGGAACATGTTTTCTGTTTAGCAGCTTTACTGAGAAAAAATTGACATGCAATAAATTGTACCTATTTAAAGCATATAATTGTTAAGTTTTGACACATGTTAAGTTTGACGTGAGTTTTGACATACATGAAACCATCACCACTATTGAGATAATGAACATATCCATCTCCACCTTGGCACATAATTTTTATTTACTCAACTGGTACTTATTGGTATCTACCATGTGTCAGGTCTTGAGTATGCATTGGTGTATGATCCCTGCCCTTTTACAGTTCAATAGATGTCTAATTCAAGGAAGCAAAAGAAAGGCAGGGCAACAATGTCTGGGGAGGTAGGTAAGGGCTATATTCTGCAGGGCCATGTAGACCATACTTGGATTTTTATACAAAGACCAGTGAGAGGCAAGCAGGGCCAAGCCATGCTGAACTTGAACAGGACCTCATTAGAAGGCATTCAGCAGGGCAGTGATATAATCATATTTCTTTTCAGAAAGATCTGACCAAAAAAAAAGTGAAGAACAGAGAAGAGAAAGTCAAGAGTGGTTTCTGGGGGAACCAGTTACGCAAGTGCAATAATCCTGGCAAGAGACGATGGTAGTTTGGCCAAGGTGGTGGTGGCAGATAAGTTTTACATTGGTTCAAGAGATAATTAGAAAGCAGAACCATCAGGAGTTGGTGATGGGTTAAATATGATGAGTAAAGAAAATGGAGCACGTCTATAGCCATCTGATCTTTGACAAAGTCAACAAAAATAAGCAATGGGGAAAGGACTCCCTATTCAATAAATGGTGCTGGGTAGCTGGTTAGAGATATGCAGAAAAATGAAACTGGACCACTACCTTTCACCATATGCAAAAATAACTCAAGATGGATTAAAGATTTAAATATAACATCTCAAACTATAAGAATCATCTATAAGAAAACCTAGAAAACACCATTCTGGATGCTGGCCTTGGGAAAGAATTTATGACTAAGTCCTCAAAAATATTTGCAACAAAAACAAAAATTGGCAAGTGAGACCTAATTAAGCTAGAGGGCTTTTACACAGCAAAAGAAACTATCAACTGAATAAACAGACAACCTACAGAATGGGAGTAAATATTCTCAATCTACGCATCTGACAAAGGGCTAATATCCAGAATCTATAAAGAACTTAAACAATTCAACAAACAAAAAACAAATAACCCCATTAAAAAATGGGCAAAAATGCAAACAGACACTTCTCAAAAGAAGACATACAAACAGCCAGCAAACATGAAAAAATACTCAACATCACTAATCATCAGAGAAATGCAAACCAAAACTACAATGAAGTGCCATTTCACACCAATCAGAATGGCTACTATTAAAAAGTTAAAAAAAAAAAAAAAAAGAAAAAAGAAAAAACAGATGCTGGTGAGACTGCAGAGAAAAAAAAAACACACTTGCACACTACTGGTGGTAATTTAATTCAGCCACTGTGGAAAGCAGCTTGGAGATTTCTCAAAGAATTAAAAATAGAGGCCGGGCTCAGTGGTTTACGCCTGCAATCCCAGCACTTTGGGAGGCCGAGGTGGGCAGATTACCCGAGGTCAGAAGTTCGAGACCAGCCTGGCCAACATTGCGAAAAATATAAAAATTAGCCAGATGTGGTGGTGTGTGCCTGTAGTCACCACTACTCAGGAGGCTGAGACATGAGAATCGCTTGAACCTGGAAGGCAGAGGTTGTGGTGAGCCAAAATTGTGCCACTGCCCTCCAATCTGGGCAACAGAGTGAGACTCTGTCTCAAAAAAAAAAAAAAGAATTAAAAATAGAATTACTATTAGACTCCCCAACATTACCAGGTATATATCCAAAAGAAAATAAATCATTCCACCAAAAACACACATGCACTCATATGTTTACTGCAGCACTATTCACAATAGCAAAGACATGGGATCAATCTAGGCACTGATCAACAGTGGACTGGATAAAGAAAATGTGGTAGATAACTTCTATTCAAAATAGTACTGGAAGTCCTAGCTAGAGCAATCAGACGAGACAAAGAAATAAAAGGTATCTAAATTGGTAAAGAGGAAGTCAAACTGTCGCTGTTTGCATCTGATGATATGACTGTATACCTAGAAAACCCTAAAGACTCCTCCAAAAAGCTCCTAGAACTGATTAATGAATTCAGCTAAGCTTTAGGATACAAAATTAATGTACACAAATCAATAGCTCTACTATACACCAACAGTGACCAAGGTGAGAATCAAATCAAGAACTCAGCCGCTTTTACAATAGCTGGGAAAACAATAAAATACTTAGGAATATACCTAACCAAGGAGGTGAAAGACCCCTGCAAGGAAAACTACAAAACACTGGCGAAAGAAATCATAGATGACACAAACAAATGGAAACACATCCCATGTTCATGGATGGGTAGAATCAATATTGTGAAAATGACCATACTGCCAAAAGCAAGCTATAAATTCAATGCAATTCCCATCAAAATACCACCATCATTCTTTACAAAACTAGAAAAAAAAACCCTAAAATTCATATGGAACCAAAAAAGAGCCCACATAGCCAAAGCTGGACTAAGCAAAAAGTACAAATTTGGAGGCACCACATTACCTGATTTCAAACATAAGGTCACAGTCACCAAAACAGCATGGTGCTGGTATAAAAATAGGCACAAAGACTAATGGAACAGAATAGAGAACCCAGAAATAAACCCAAATACTTACAGCCAACTAATCTTCGACGAAACAAACAAAAACATAAAGTGAGGAAAGGACACCCTACTCAACAAATGGTGCTGGGATAATTGACAAGCCACATGTAGGAGAATGAAACTGGATCCTCATCTCTCACCTTACACAAAAGTCAGCTCAAGATTGACCAGGTGTGGTGGCTCACGCCTGTAATCCCAACACTTTGGGAGACCGAGGTGGGTGGATCACCTGAGATCAGGAGTTCGAGACCAGCCTGGCCAACAATGATGAAACCCCATTTCTACTAAAAATTAAAAATTAGCCAGGCATGATGGCAGGCACCTGTAATACCAGCTACTTGGGAGGCTGAGGCAGGAGAATCACTTGCATCCAGGAAGGGGAGGCTGCAGTGAATGGAGATTGTGCCATTGCACTCCAGCCTGAGTGACAAGAGTGAAACTCCAGCTAAAAAAATACAAAAAACCTCAAGATGGATTAAGGACTTAAATCTAAGACCTAAAACTATAAAAATTCTAGAAGACAACATTGGAAAAACCCTTCCAGGCAAAGATTTCATGACCAACAACCCAAAAGCAAATGCAACAAAAACAAAGATAAATAGGTGGAACTTAATTAAACTAAAGAGCTTTTGCACAGCAAAAGAAACAGCAGAGTAAACAGACAACCCACAGAGTGGGAGAAAATCTTCACGATCTATACATCCGACAAAGGACTAATATCCAGAGTCTACGAGGAACTCAAACAAATTAGCAAGAAAAAAAAATCCCATCAAAAAGTGGGCTAAGGACATGAATAGACAATTCTCAAAAGAAGATATACAAATGACAAACAAACATGAAAAAATGCTCACCATAAATTATCAGAAAAATGCAAATCAAAACCACAATGCAATACCACCTTACTCCTGCAAGAATGGCCATTATCAAAAAATAATAATACAAAAATAGATGTTGGCATCAATGCAGTGAAAAGGGAACATTTCTACATTGCTGGTGGGAATGTAAACTAGTACAGCCACTATGAAAAACAGTGTGGAGACTCCTTAAAGAACAAAAGTAGAACTACCATTTCAGCAATCCCACTGCTGGGTATCTACCCAGAGGTAAAGAAGTCATTACACAAAAAAGAAACTTGCACATGCATGTTTACGGCAGCGCTATAAACCTGCAACTGCAAAAATGTGGAACCAGCCCAAATGCCCTGCCCATCAATCAATGAGTGGATAAAGAAACTGTAGTATATACATAAGATGGAATACACGCAGCCATAAAAAGGAATGAATTAATGGCACTCGCAGCAACCTGGATGGGATTGGACACTAGTATTCTAACCGAATTAACTCAGGAATGGAAAACCAAACATCGTTATGTTCTCACTCATAAGCGGGAGCTAAACTATGAGGATGCAAAGGGATAAGAAGGATTCGATGAACTTTGGGGACTTGGGGGGAAAGAGTGGGAAGTGGGTGAGGAATACAAGACTACAAATTGGGTTCAGTGTATACTGCTCAGGTGATGGGTACACCAACATCTCACAAATCACCACTAAGGAACTTACCCATGTAATCAAATACCATCTGTTCCCCAAAAACCTATGGAAATAAAAATTTGTTAAAAGAAGGAAAAAAAATTAAAACTCAGAAAAAAAGAAAACATGGTATATATACACCATGGAATACTACACAGCCATAAAAAAAGAATGAAATCATGGATGCACCTGGAGACCACTATCCTAAGTGAATTAATGCAGAAACAGAAAACCAAACACCACATGTTCTCACTTACAAGTGGGAACTAAACACTGGATACACATGGACACAAAGATGGCAATATTAGACACTGGGGATTACCAGAGAGAGAAAGGAGGGAGGGGGCAAAGACTGAAAAACTAACTATTGAGTACTATCCTCACTATATGGGTGACAGGATCAATCATACCCCAAACATCAGCACCACACAATATACCCATGTAACAAGTCTACATATGTACCCCTGAATCTAAAATAAAAGTTGAAATTATTTAAAAAAAAAAAAGAAACAAAGAAAATGGAGAAGTCAAAGATAATTCTCAGTTTTCTGGCTGTACAATTAGTTGAATGTGATGTCATTTCCAAGACAGGGGACTCTGGAGGAGGAGGACTTTGATGGGAAAAGAGTTCAGTCTTGGACATGCTGAGTTTGATGGGCTAAAAAGATATGTAAATGGACATACCCAGAAGGCACTTAACTATACCTAATTTGGGTAGAGTAGGAACGTACTGCATATGTCGGGGTAGTGTGGGAAGTTAAAAAAAAAAAAAAAAAGAACACACTGCACAGGTGATTGAGAAAGGCCAGTTGGGCAAATAAAACAAATGGCATCTAGATTGGAAAGGAGTAAGTAAAACTATTCTCTCTATTCACAGATAGCATGATCTTGTATGTAGAAAATCTTTAAGAATCTACACAAAAATTAACAGAGACAATAAGAGAGTTCAGCAAAGTTAAAGCCTCAAAGCACAACCTCAGTTGAACTTTACACACTTCCAATGAACAATTCAAAACTGAAAATAAGAAAATAATCAAAATAGAACCTTACCATTATCCCAGAAAGTTCCCTCATGCCCTTGTCAATCCCCTCTATAGGCAACCATTGTTCTGATTTTTTTAACCATTAACAAATTTTGCCTATTTTAGAACTTCATACAATGAAATTATACAATATGTACTTTTCAGTAAGGTTTTTTTTTTCACTCAGCATATTATTATGGTTATGATTACTTTTGAGACAGGGTCTTCCTCTATTGCCCAGGCAGTCGCACACAATCTTGGCTCACTGCAGCCTCGACCTCCTGGGCTCAGGTGATCCTCCTGCCTCAGCCTCCCAAGTAGCTGGGACTACAGGCGCATGCCACCACATTTGGCTAATTTTTGTTGTTGCTGGTAGAGACAAGGTCTCCCATGGTGGCCAGGCTGGTTTCGAACTCCTGGGCTCAAGTGATCCTCCCACCTTGGCCTCCCAAAGTGCTGGGATTATAGGCATGAGCCACCATGCCTGGCCAACGAATTATTTTTGAGATACATTCATGTTCTTTTTATGTATCAATAGTTTATTGCTATTGCTGAATAGTAGTCCATTGTATGAATATACCAGTTTGTTTAGCCATTCTCCTATCCGTGTACAACTAGGATGTTTCTAGTTTGGGACTATTATGACCAAAACTGCTTTGAATATTTTTATACAGGTTTTTTTGTTGACATTGTTGAAATGCACTTTCATTTGGCTTGCATAAATACTTAGGAGAATTTCTCGGTCATAGGGTAAGTGTATGTATGGACCTTTTTCCAAAGTGGTTATACCATTTATATTCCCAATGACAATGTATGTCTGAGACTTCTGAATGCTCTATGTCTTGATGGACATTGGCTTCTAAATTTTAGTAATTATGGTGGGAATGTAGTATTATCTCGTTGTGGTTTTAATTTACATTTCCCTGATGACTAATGATTGAATGTTTTTTCATGTGTTTAATATCCATTTGTATATAATCTTTTGTGATGTGTTTGTTCACATCTTTTGTCCATATCTTATTGAGTTTTCTTTTTATAATTGAGTTGTTAGCATTCTTTAGCTATCTTAAATACCAATTTCTTGTCAACTATAAGTTTGGTGAATATCATCTCCCAAGGGACAAGTATTTATTGACTGAACTACATATATTTTGTATGTATACTACTATACATATATTTTTTTAATTTATTTTTATTTTTGAGACAGTCTTGCTCTGTCGCCCAGGCTGGAGTGCTGTGGCATGATCTCGGCTTGCTCACTGCAACCTCCACCTCCCAGGTTTAAGCAATTCTCATGCCTTGGCCTCCAGAGTAGCTGGGATTACAGGTGTGTGCCACCATGCCTGGCTAATTTTTGTATTTTTAGTAGAGGCAGGGTTTTGCCACGTTGCCCAGGCTGGTCTCAAACTCCTGGCCTCAAGTGATCCACCTGCCTTGGCCTCCCAAAGTGCTGGGATTACAGATGTGAGCCATCGTGCCTGGTCTGAACTACTTATAGATTTTAAATAATGTTACAGAACTCCTCTCCTTAAAATCAAATAGCCTTGAATTTAAAACCTGGCTCTGCATATAACTAGCTGTAAGAATTTGAGCAAGTTATTTAACTTTTCTGGGCATCTTTTTGCATCTGTAAAATAGATATAATAATTACCTTTATAGGTTTGTTGTGATGATTTAGACAATGGATTTCAACATGTCTGGTACATAAAAGATCCTTAATAAATGTCAGTTCTATAATGTGGCAGTTGCTGCCTTAAATAGCTGAACTGCAAATCTTAGACTGCAAAACTCTAAAAATTTACATTTTCACAATAGTACAAATCATTACAATAGAGAAGATATAAAGAATTAGGGCTCCTGGGAAGAGATTAATATGTCTTTCTTTTATTCTAGCTCACTAACATATGCAAAATAAAGCTAAATCTAAAAATACTCAAATCAAATGAAATTCAGCTGGAGGTGAAATTGGAAAGAAAAAGGTGAATAATTTATATTAGGCTACCAGTTATCTCCTATAGCCTAGTGGAAAATTTAAATGACATGCTACTGCAAATACAACTGTACTGAATCCTATCCATACCAGAATTTCACCTCCTATAGAGATTCACATTTTAAAAAGCTTAACCTAAAAGCATTTTTAAGACAATAACTTCAGCATGTTAATATTTTAAGCAACTAAGTTATACTAATAACTTCATATAAGTTAGTGTAAGTTATAGTAATCACTATAAATAAGAGCTATATTATATAATATAGAACTTGCTTTATTGCTTTCTGTTCCCATATTTATTTATTGCTATAAAAATTTCAAGTTCTGGATCCAAATTCTGCCCACTTAACTAGTCAAGTTAATTAGCTCTTCTAAATGTCACTTCTTTCATTTGTAAAATGAGGATAATAATATCATCTTATGTCACTATAATGAGGATTAAATAAGTTTATAAACCTCTTACTTAACACAGAATACTTTTAGCATACAGTAACTACCAAATAAATATTATTTATTATTATTGTTAAAGAATGTTAATCAAAGTTTTTTAGATTTTCTATGACTAGTTTGGACTTCACATTTTCCAATCTGGAGAGGTTATTGAGATATGATTATGATTCAATTTTTTTTTTCAGACTGAGTCTTACTCTGTTGGCCAGGCTGGAGTGCAGTGGCACGATCTAGGCTCACTGCAACCTCTGCCTCCTGGGTTCAAGCGCTTCTCCTGCCTCAGCCTCCCGAGTAGCTGGGATTACAGGTGCCCAATACCACACCCAGCTGATTTTTGTATTTTTAGAAGAGATGGGGTTTCACCATGTTGGCCAGGCTAGTCTCGAACTCCTGACCTCAAGTGATCTGCTCACCTTGGCCTCCCAAAGTGCTGGGATTACAGGTGTGAGCCACCGTGCCCGGCCTCTCAATTGTTAAACTGACTAAAAATCACTGATAGAAAGAATATACTTTGCAAACTTCAGATCTCAATTTAAATGTCACTTTTTTGATGAACTCTACTCACCAAAGGCCCTTCATTTAAGTTTTAATTTCTAATACAGTAAATATGAATAGGTGTGACTCAAATAAACAAATGCTCTTTAAGGGTCTGCTGTAATTTTTAAAAATAGAAAAGGGTCCTGAAACCAAAGTATTTGAGACTGATAACAATGCATTGATTAGAAAATATATATACTTTTTTTGTTGATCCAAAATATTTTACATATTTATTGGGTACATGTGAATATTTGTCACATGCATAGAATGTGTAATGATCAAGTCAGGGTATTTGAGGTGCTCATCATCCTGAGTATTTATCATTTCTATGTGTTGGTAACATTTCAAGTCCTCTCTTATAGCTAATTTGAAATATACAATACATTGTTGCTAACTATCATCACCCCACTCTGCTATGGAATATTAAGGTTTATTTCTTCTATCATCAACCTCTCTTTACCCCACCTTCCTACTCATGTACTCCTCCCAGCCTCTGGTATCCATCATTTTACTATTTCCATGAGATCAACTTTTTTAGCTTCTACCTTTGAGTGAGAACATGTGGTATCTGTCTTTCTGTGCTTGGCTTATCTTGCTTAATACGATGACCTCCAGCTGCACCCATGTTGCTGCAAGTGACAAGATTTCATTCATTCTTATGGCCGAATAGTATTTCATTGTGTATATATGTACCACTTTTTTTTTTTTTTGAGAAGTAGTTTCGTTCTTGTTGCCCAGGCTGGACGGTAATGGCATGATCTCTGCTAACTGCAACCTCTTCTTCCCAGGGTTCAAGCGATTCTCCTGCCTCAAACTCCTGGGTAGCTGGGACTACAAGTGCACGCCACCATGCCTGGGTAATTTTTTTTTTTTTTTTTTAGACGGAGTCTCTCTTTGTCGCCCAGGCTGGAGTGCAGTGGCAAGATCTCAGCTCACTGCAAGCTCCGCCTCCCGGGTTCACGCCATTCTCCTGCCTCAGCCTCCCAAGTAGCTGGGACTACAAGCGCCTGCCACCATGCCCGGCTAAATTTTTTTTTTTTTTTTTAGTAGAGACGGTGTTTCACCATGTTGGCCAGGCTGGTCAACCCCTGACCTCAGGTGATCCTCCTTCCTCGGCCTCCCAAAGTGCTGGGAGTAAAGGCATGAGCCACCGTGCCTGGCCTATATACCACATTTTAAAAATCCATTTGTCTGTAGGTGGACACTTGGGTTGATTCCATATTTTTGCTATTGTAAATAGTGCTAATGATAAACATCCAAGTGCAGGATCCCTTTGACATAGAGATTTATTTTCCTGTGGATAAACACCTAGTAGTGAGATTGCTGGATCAAATGGTAGTTCTATTTTAGTTTTTTGAGAAATCTCCATACTGTTTTCAATAGTGGTTGTACTAATTTACATTCCCATTATTAGTGTGTAAGAGTTACCTTCTCTCTGCATCCTTGCAAGCATCTGTTATTTTTTGTATTTTTAATAACAGCCATTCTATGTGGGGTAAGATGGTATCTCACTGTGGATTTGATGTGCACTTCCCTGATAATTGGTGACGCTGAACACTTGGAAAATATGTGTTCTCTTGATTCAAAGTATACTATGGTCTGTCAAACTTCTAGGTGAGTTATTCCCTCCCCCCACATTTTTTTTGGCTAGATTGATTTTGAGTGGTAACTAAGAAGTGTGCACGTTCACTTTTCCCTATTGTAGTTATAATTACAATAAAGTTGCAAAGGCTAACTACAACTTCAGGATTTTCTTTATATTTCTTTTTACCATGAACTAGAATTTCATCAAGTCAATAAGGGTTACACTAGTTACCTTATGCCTATAGGAACTTATAACTGACAATTACATTTTTATGGTAATATGATTACTAATAAACACAGCTTACTTGTAAGATAAAAATATTTCCAAACAGTAAATCCACACTGCTCCATGAAAGTGAAAATATTAGGAATCACTGCACTGAAATTATCTATTCAATCCATCTCCCACTTCCAGCTCTAATGCCACTTTTTAGGTTAGTCACTCCTCTGCTCTCGCTTTTTCTATTACAACAGCCATCCTATGTTCATTCTTTAATTTCACCATCCAATCTCTACACTGAGACCAGTATGATCCATATGAAAATTAAATCTGGCAAGCCATGTCACCATACTTGTTATTAAAAAGATTTTATGGCTCCCAGTTATGTACAACAGATATCATAAACTGATAACTTATAGGCTAAATAAAGAATAAAGATTAAAGCTGGGCATGGTGGCTCACGCCTGTAATCCCAGCACTATGGGAGGAGGCTGAGGCGGGCAATCACCTGAGGTCAGGAGTTGGAGACCAGCCTGGCCAACATAGTGAAATGCCACCTCTACTAAAAATACAAAAATTGGGAGAGGAGGTTCCAAGATGGCCGAATAGGAACAGCTCCAGTCTACAGCTCCCAGGGTGAGCAATGCAGAAGACGGGTGATTTCTGCATTTCCAACTGAGGTACCGGGTTCATTTCACTGGGGCTTGTCAGACAGTGGGTGCAGCCCATGGACCATAAGCCAAAGCAGGGCGAGGCATCGCCTCACCCAGGAAGTGCAAGAGGTCAGGGAATTCCCTTTCCTAGCCAAGGGAAGCGGAGACAGATGGCACCTGGAAAATCAGGTCACTCCCACCCTAATACTGTGCTTTTCCAACGATCTTAGCAAACAGCACACCAGGAGATTATATCCCGTGCCTGGCTTGGAGGGTTCCACGCCCACGGAGCCTTGCTCACTGCCAGCACAGCACTCTGAGATCGAACTGCAAGGCAGCAGCCAGGCTGGGGGAGGGGCACCCGCCATTGCTGAGGCTTGAGCAGGTAAGCAAAGCTGCCAGGAAGCTCAAACTGGGTGGAGCCCACCACAGCTCAAGGAGGCCTGCCTGCCTCTGTAGATTCCACCTCTGGGGGCAGGGCATAGTTGAACAAAAGGCAGCAGAAACTTCTGCAGACTTAAACATCCCTGTCTGACAGCTTTGAAGAGAGTAGTGGTTCTCCCAGCATGGAGTTTGAGATCTCAGAACAGACAGACTGCCTCCTCAAGTGGGTCCTTGACCCCCAAGTAGCCTAACTGGGAGGCACCTCCCAGTAAGGGCCGACTGACACCTCATATGGCCAGATGCCCCTCTGAGATGAAGCTTCCAGAGGGAGGATCAGGCAGCAACATTTGCCATTCTGCAATATTTGCAGTTCTGCAGCCTCTGCTGGTGATACCCAGGTAAACAGGGTCTGGAGTGGACCTCCAGCAAACTCCAACAGACCTGCAGCTGAGGGTCCTGACTGTTAAAAGGAAAAGAAACAAACAGAAAGGACATCCACACCAAAACCCCATCTGTACGTCATCATCATCAAAGACCAAAGGTAGATAAAACCACAAAGATGGGCAGAAACCAGGGCAGAAAAGCTGAAAATTCTAAAAATCAGAGTGCCTCTTCTCCTTCAAAGGAACACAGCTCCTTGCCAGCAACAGAACAAAGCTAGACAGAGAATGACTTTGACGAGTTGAGAGAAGGCTTCAGAAGATCGGTAATAACAAACTTCTCCGAGCTAAAGGAGGATGTTCGAACCCATCGCAAAGAAGTTGAAAACCTTGAAAAAAGATTGGACGAATTGCTAACTAGAATAAACAGCATAGAGAAGACCTTAAATGACCTGATGGAGCTGAAAACCATGGCACGAGAACTATGTGACGCATGCATAAGCTTCAGTAGCTGATTCAATCAACTGGAAGAAACGGTATCAGTGATGGAAGATCAAATGAATGAAGTCAGAAGAGAAGCTTAGAGAAAAAAGAGTAAAAAGAAATGAACAAAGCCTCCAAGAAATATGGGACAATGTGAAAAGACCAAATCTACGTCTGATTGGCGTACCTGAAAGTGACAGGGAGAATGGAACCAAGTTGGAAAACACTCTTCAGGATGTTATCCAGGAGAACTTCCCCAACCTAGCAAGGCAGGCCAACATTCAAATTCAGGAAATACATAGAACGCCACAAAGATAGTCCTCCAGAAGAGCAACTCCAAGACACATAATTGTCAGATTCACCAAAGTTGAAATGAAGGAAAAAATGTTGAGGGCAGCCAGAGAGAAAGGTTGGGTTACCCATAAAGGGAAGCCCATCAGACTAACAGTGGATCTCTCGGCAGAAACTCTAAAAGCCAGAAGAGAGTGGGGGCCAATATTCAGCATTCTTAAAGAAAAGAATTTTCAACCCAGAATTTCATAACCAGCCAAACTAAGCTTCACAGGTGAAGGAGAAATAAAATCCTTTACAGACAAGCAAATGCTGAGAGATTTTGTCACCACCAGGCCTGCCCTACAAGAGCTCCTGAAGGAAGCACTAAACATGGAAAGGAACAACCGGTACCAGCCACTGCAAAAACATGACAAATTGTAAAAACCATTGATGCTAGGAAGAAACTACATCAACCAACAAGCAAAATAACCAGCTAACATCATAATGACAGGATCAAATTCACACATAACAATATTAACATTAAATGTAAATGGGCTAAATGCTCCAATTAAAAGACACAGACTGGCAAATTGGATAAAGAGTCAAGACCCATCAGTGTGCTGTATTCAGGAGACCCATCTCACGTGCAGAGACACACATAGGCTCAAAATAAAGGGATGGAGGAAGATCTACCAAGCAAATGGAAAACAAAAGCAGGAGTTGCAATCCTAGTCTCTGATAAAACAGACTTTAAACCAACAAAGATCAGAAGAGACAAAGAAGGCCATTACATAATGGTAAAGGGATCAATCCAACAAGAAGAGCTAACTATCCTAAATATATATGCACCCAATACAGGAGCACCCAGATTCATAAAGCAAATCCTTAGAGACCTACGAAGAGACTTAGACTCCCACACAATAATAAGGGAGACTTTAACACCCCACTGTCAACATTAGACAGATCAACGAGACAGAAAGTTAACAAGGTTACCCAGGAATTGAACTCAGCTCTGCACCAAGCAGACCTAATAGACATCTACAGAACTCTCCACCCCAAATCAACAGAATATACATTCTTCTCAGCACCACATCACACTTATTCCAAAATTGACCACATAGTTGGAAGTAAAGCACTCCTCAGCAAATGTAAAAGAACAGAAATTATAACAAACTGTCTCTCAGACCACAGTGCAATCAAACTAGAACTCAGGATTAACAAACTCACTCAAAACCGCTCGAGTACATGGAAACTAAACAACCTGCTCCTGAATGACTACTGGGTACATAATGAAATGAAGGCAGAAATAAAGATGTTCTTTGAAACCAATGAGAACAAGGACACAACATACCAGAATCTCTGGGACACATTTAAAGCAGTGTGTAGAGGGAAATTTACAGCACTAAATGCCTACAAGAGAAAGCAGGAAAGATCTAAAATTGACACCCTAACATAACAATTAAAAGAACTAGAGAAGCAAGAGCAAACACATTCAAAAGCTAGCAGAAGGTAAGAAATAACTAAGGTCAGAGCAGAACTGAAGGAGATAGAGACACAAAAAACCCTTCAAAAAATCAATGAATCCAGGAGCTGGTTTTTTGAAAAGATCAACAAAATTGATAGACCACTAGCAAGACTAATAAAGAAGCAAAGAGGGAAGAATCAAATAGATGCAATAAAAAATGATAAAGGGGTTATCACCACCGATCCCACAGAAATACAAAGTACCATCAGAGAACACTATAAACATCTCTGCACAAATAAACTAGAAAATCTAGAAAAAATGGATAAATTCCTGAACACATACACCCTCCCAAGACTAAACCAGGAAGAAGTTGAATCCCTGAATAGACCAATAACAGGCTCTGAAATTGAGGCAATAATTAATAGCCTACCAACCAAAAAAAGTCCAGGACCAGATGGATTCACAGCCGAATTCTATCAGAGGTACAATGAGGAGCTGGTACCATTCCTTCTGAAACTATTCCAATCAATAGAAAAAGAGGGAATCCTCCCTAACTCATTTTATGAGGCCAGCATCATCCTGATACCAAAGCCTGGCAGAGACACAACAAAAAAAGAGAATTTTAGACCAATATCCCTGATGAACATCGATGCGAAAATCCTCAATAAAATACTGGCAAACTGAATCCAGCAGCACATCAAAAAGCTTATCCGCCATGATCAAGTGGGCTTCATCCCTGGGATGCAAAGCTGGTTCAACATATGCAAATCAATAAACGTAATCCATCATATAAACAGAACCAAAGATAAAAACCACATGATTATCTCAATAGATGCAGAAAAGGCCTTCAACAAACTTCAACAGCCCTTCATGCTAAAAACTCTCAATAAACTAGGTATTGATGGGATGTATCTCAAAATAATAAGAGCTATTTATGACAAAACCCACAACCAATATAATACTGAATGGGTAAAAACTGGAAGCATTCCCTTTGAAAACTGGCACAAGACAGGGATGCCCTCTCTCACCACTCCTATTCAACATAGTGTTGGAAGTTCTGGCCAGGGCAATCAGGCAGGAGAAAGAAATAAAGGGTACTCAATTAGGAAAAGAGGAAGTCAAATTGTCCCTGTTTGCAGACATGACATGATCGTATATTTAGAACACCCCATCATCTCAGCCCAAAATCTCCTTAAGCTGATACGCAACTTCAGCAAAGTGTCAGGAAACAAAAGCAATGTGCAAAAATCACAAGCATTCCTATACACCAATAACAGACAAACAGAGAGCCAAATCATGAGTGAACTCCCATTCACAATTGCTTCAAAGAGAATAAAATACCTAGGAATCCAACTTACAAGGGATGTGAAGGACCTCTTCAAGGAGAACTACAAACCACTGCTCAACAAAATAAAAAAGGACACAAACAAATGGAAGAACATTCCATGCTCATGGATAGGAAGAATAAATATTGTGAAAATGGCCATACTGCCCAAGGTAATTTATAGATTCAATGCCATCACCATCAAGCTACCAATGACTTTCTTCACAGAATTGGAAAAAACTACTTTAAAGTTCAGACGGAACCAAAAAAAGAGCCCGCATTGCCAAGTCAATCCTAAGCCAAAAGAACAAAGCTGGAGGCATCATGCTACCTGACTTCAAACTATACTACAAGGCTACAGTAACCAAAATAGCATGGTACTGGTACCAAAACAGAGATATAGACCCATGGAACAGAACAGAGCCCTCGGAAATAATACCACACATCTACAACCATCTGATCTTTGACAAACCTGACAAAAACAAGCAATGGGGAAAGGATTCCCTATTTAATAAACGGTGCTGGGAAAACTGGCTAGCCATATGTAGAAAGCTGAAACTGGATCCCTTCCTTACACCTTATACAAAAACTAATTCAAGATGGATTAAAGACTTAAATGTTAGACCCAAAACCATAAAAACCCTAGAAGAAAACCTAGGCAATACCATTCAGGACATAGGCATGGGCAAGGACTTCATGTCTAAAACACCAAAAGCAATGGCAACAAAAGCCAAAATTGACAAATGGGATCTAATTAAACTAAAGAGCTTCTGCACAGCAAAAGAAACTACCATCAGGGTGAACAGGCAACCTACAGAATGAGAGAAAATTTTTGCAATCTACCCATCTGACAAAGGGCTAATATCCAGAATCTACAAAGAACTCAAACAAATTTACAAGAAAAAAAACAAACAACCCCATCAAAAAGTGGGCGAAGGATATGAACTGACACTTCTCAAAAGAAGACATTTATGCAGCCAACAGACACATGAAAAAATGCTCATCATCACTGGCCATCAGAGAAATGCAAATCAAAACCACAATGAGATACCATCTCACACCAGTTAGAATGGTGATCATTAGAAGTCAGGAAACAACAGGTGCTGGAGAGGATGTGGAGAAACAGGAACACTTTTCCACTGTTGGTGGGACTATAAACTAGTTCAACCATTGTGGAAGACAGTGTGGCAATTCCTCAAGGATCTAGAACTAGAAATACCATTTGACCCAGCCATCCCATTACTGGGTATATACCCAAAGGATTATAAATCATGCTTCTATAAAGACACATGCACACGTATGTTTACTGTGGCACTATTCACAATAGCAAAGACTTGGAAGCAACCCAAATGCCCATCAATGATAGACTGGATTAAGAAAATGTGGCACATATACAGCATGGAATACTATGCAGCCATAAAAAAGGGTGAGTTCATGTCCTTTGTAGGGACATGGATGAAGCTGGAAACCATCATTCTGAGCAAACTATCGCAAGGACAGAAAACCAAACACCCCGTGTTCTCGCTCACAGGTGGGAATCGAACAATGAGAACACTTGGACACAGGGTTGGGAACACCACACACCAGGGCCTGTCGTGGGCTGGGGCAAGTGGGGAGGCGGGAGGGATAACATTAGGAGATATACCTAATGTAAATGACGAGTTAATGGCTGCAGCACACCAACATGGCACATGTATACATATGTAACAAACTTGCATGTTGTGCACATGTACCCTAGAACTTAAAGTATAATAAATATATATATATTTTTTTTAAAAAATACAAAAATTAACTGGGTGTGGTGGCGCATGCCTGTAATCCCAGCTACTCGGGAGGCTGAGGCAGGACAATCGCTTGAACCCAGAAGACAGAAGTTGCAGTGAGCTGAGATCGCGCCACTGCACTCCAGCCTGGGCGACAGAGTGAGACTCCATCTCAAAAAAAAAAAAAAAAAAAAAGAATAAAGATTGAATTTTTTTTCCTACATGGGAGTTTTTAATTTTTTTAAGTTAGTTTTGAAAATAGGAAAATTTCACATTTAAAAATATCTGGTTTCACTTTTAAAAATTAGAAAATGTGGCAACACTGGGCCCAAATTTCTACATAGCAAAACTCAGCTAGAACAGAGGAAAGGACATCTAGGTAAAATGGCATATGTGATTTGCAATTTTCAGTTTATCACAGTCTTTACCAAGTCCAATTCATTCATTTTATCTTACCTGCCTGGTTCCCCATAAACAACTGAATTTGTGCTATCTGCTTTACAAAGTAATACCCAAACTCTTCAGAAAGATATACAAAACTCTTGATAATCTGGCTCAAGCTAACTTTCCACTATCAATGCCCATCTCTTACGCACTCTCTCATAAACAGGCTCATCTTTCTTCCAACACATCATGTTCCTTTATACGTTCTTTTACACTTCCAATCTGTATATCTAGTTTCTTCTGCTTGGAATACCCTCCCACATTCATTTCCCTATGTATCTAAGCATCTGAAAAACTCTTCTAATCCTTCCTCCTTTAAAACTCAACCATACCAGAAGGTGGGAAAACAGACAATCTTATATAAATGAGATAATGCATGTAAACATTTAGCACAGAGATTGGCATATAGTAAGTTCTCATTAAATATCTTTACAACAGCTCTAAGAGGTAGGAATTATTATACCATAAAAGAGACAAAGATATCATTACTTAAAAAAGATATGTAACTTAATCAAGACCAACTTAATCAAGACTAAGGAGCTAGTGACACAGTTGGAATATGAATCCTAACCTCTCTAATTCTAAAGCCCATGTAATCATCATCAGACCATACTGTCTCTTCCTACTTCAATTTAAATGACACAGAACTGCCAGATTAAATTTCCTAATATATTTCATCATGTCACTTTTCTATTCAGGTACCTCCAACAGTTGCCTACTATAAACAAATCCAAACCATTCTATCTTTGTATTCCTAACTCAGCAATACAAGCTTAATACATAGTCTCAACTAATTCAACTCATATTATTAAAGGAACAAATAAATAAGAAAACTTCTATTGTACTAGTGTTCTGTATTAGATGGTAGAATCTGAATACTTTCGTTAGCATTTCTTACATCACTTAATACACAGCATGCACTAAAAAAAGTATTAAAACCTATATTATACACATATATACTAGTTATGAAACATCATCCTCCTTTTAAAAAAAAATTCCACACGGTTAACATTTTACCTCTAAGCTAGTGAAATACTAAAACTCAGCAACATTTCTGTGTGTGTGTGTAAATTGCTATTTTATTTCATTTTAAAGGAAAGTTCTAAAACATTTTAAAAGTTGCAGAATAATGCCTTATTATAGCCTATTTATATAACATTGTATGGATACACTGCTGTACCTACATTCCGAAAAAGCCATCTGAAAGCTAGAATAATGTCAAGGTGGACTTTTACCTTTTTTCTCTGAATTTTTATATATTGTTTGATTTATAAATAAGTATGTAATTTTTGAAAAACAATAAAGCTATTTAAGAAACAATTATTTTGAATCCTCAACAGTAATGAGATATTCCCTCCCACTTTACTCAAAAACATACTGAGTCACACTGGCAAAGTAAATATTAAAGCCCTAAGAAGAGGTAACTACATAAATCAGAAGACAGTTTTAATTTTAGGAGGAAATGTTATACAAACAAAGGCTATAAAATCACTTTTTTTTTTTTTTTTGAGACAGGGTCTTGCTCTGTCACCCCAGGTGGAGTGCGGTGGCAGGATCATGACTCACTGCAACTTTGAACTTTTGGGTTCAAGTGATCCTCCTGCCTCAGCCTCCCAAATAGCTGGGATTACAGGCACGTACCACCATGCCTGGCTAATTTTTTTACTTTCCTTTTGTAGAGACAGAGTCTCGCTATGTTGACTAGGCTGGCTTTGAACTCCTTGCCTCAAGCGATCCTCTTGCCTTGGCCTTCCAAAGTGCTGGGATTACAGGTGCACAGGTGCATGCCACCACACAAGGTTAATTTAAAAATTATTGGTTTCTGTTGAGATGGGGTCTTGCTTTGTTGCCCAGGCTGCCAGGCTAGTCTCAAACTCTTGGCCTCAAGTGATCCTCCTGCCTCAGCCTCCCAAAGGGCTGGGAAAATAGGAATGAGGCACCACACTTGGCTGAAATGACTTTTTATTAAATTAAAAATGACTAGAATATTACCAATATTTGGCACAGCACTGAATTTACACATAATTATTGTAATAAATAGTAATAGTAAAAATGTAATAAATAGTAATTACATTTATTTCACAATGCAGAAATCTTTTCAAAAATAAATCATACATTTTCACATCTACTTTAGAAGATGCAACTTTTGGAAAAACTACATTTAACAGTGCAGAACTAAGAAAATTCAACATGAGGATTTATTCAAATAATTAACTGCCTGATCAGTTACTGAAAAATTCTACCACTGGAATAACTACTCTTTGTTGGTTTCCAGAATAGCATATATTCCTCCAGGTACATTTTCAATTCTCTAAAATCAAGCTTATTTCAAAAAAGTAATACAAACGCCAAATACATTCCTCTGTTGTCTTTTCAAAAAGTTCTAGCACTATACCACAGTAGCTAAGACTCAAAAAATTAATTTTATATTGAAAAAACTAGTGTATGGTATTTCTTTGTTACAAGGTCAGAAAATCAATTGAATTTGAATTACCTACAGTGGTAGGTAACTGACAAAGATTAATCTAAAATAGACATTGTCTCTGAAACGAAAGTCTACTAACAGTTTTACAGCCTATCAAAATCATGTGAAAGATTCTTGCTACAGCTCTGTTATCATACTTCTTTCAGCTATAGTTCAGCCTATTTTCATAAGATAGGACATCATACTATTATAATTCCATAACCTCATCAGAACCACAAAAGTGCAAAGGTATAATTATAAAGAAATAAAGCACTATCAAAGGGGCTTTGTAAGAGTGAACATTAACCAATACTATCAAAAAATTCTGAGGGAATACTGTAGAGAACATTACATCACCATAACCAATTTTTACTAATAATGAATAACTCAACGAATACACTTTAACAGAAATTTAACCAACTTAACACAAGTTATTTAAATTTAACCAACTAACCAGAAGTTATTTTAGCAAAATTTTTAGATAATTATTTGGAACTACAATTGTTTCTATAACATAAAAAGTGTAACAAAATTTGAGATTTGAATGAGACTATTCAAGTTATACTTCATATTTATTCAGTCTCTGCTTTAAAGAATCATAAGTTCATTATATGAATTTTTCAGTCCCAAATTTTTTTCTAAAATCTTCTCAAATTCACCGTCCAAAATGCAGAGGAAAATCTAATAATATTGTAAGAATGCTCAGAGGTGTGAACTCAGATGTAATGTTCAAAAAAAAAGGAAAGATAATCCATTTAGTGTTAGAACCAAAATGTGACTCACGGTTGCGAAACTAAACAAACATGATTCTGGTTGGCGGCTTCCCTATACTTTGTTTTGACCGTATTTGCTGAGCAAATATTAATAGTTGTACTCGTCTCTCAAAAAGTTAACTTGTCCAAAAAGGAAGATAAAATATCAACTTCAATTGGTAATAAACAGCAAATATATTGGTTAAAGGCAATATTATAATAACTGAAGAACGCAGAACCAAATTAGCAGTGCAGATATATTCTTAGTGAAGTGAACTGAAAAGAACAAAATATTTTTAAAAATATTTTACTACGTAAAAAAGCTGAAAAAGTGCTAATTTATATTTTTGAACTGTTTTATTTTGCAACATGATAATGAATGGCTGTTGTAATTGGTAGTTCTGCAGCAAACAAGCTACATAAGACCTTAGACAAGACAATAACATCAACAATACAGAGCTTTATATTTTAATAGGTGCCTCAGATACACTACCTCTTGCAGCTGAACTCTTTGGGGAAAAATATCCTCCCCCAAAAGGAACTACAAAGATTGCTATATATCTTTTTCTCCCACAGCATGTCCTTGTAGTCTTATCTGGACCTACAGGATCACAGTTTAGAGCAGTTAAACAAAGGAATCATATATTTAGTTTATAATTATTATGCAAATCATTCTTAAAATCACTCTTCAGAATGTTGTGCCTCTTTTCTTCCTTTGTTAAAACTTACTGCTGCTAGGCATTGTGCTCATGCCTATAATCCCAATGCTTTCGGAAGCCAAGGTGGGAAGATTGCTTAAGACCAGGAATTCGAGACCAGCCTGGGAAACACAGTGAGACCCAGTCTCTACAAAAAATAAAAAAAATTAGCCGGGCATGGTGGTGTGTGCCTGTGGTCCCAACTTCTTGGGAGGCTGAGGCAGGAGGATTGCTTAAGCCCAAGAGTTCAAGGCTGCAGTACACTATGATCATACCACTGTACTCCAGCCTGGGTGACATAGCAAGACCTTGTCTCAAAAATTATAATCATCACCAATTTAAACAATTTGGTACTACTAGAGGAAACGTTACTTTTGCATGAATACATAATAGGTCCACAACATATGAACTGAATATATTAGTCTCAATAACGGAGCTACTGCTCTGGTACAGCACCAACTAAATAATTTCTCTTTAAGTCTGTACATTAAAAGTGTGATATTACATAAAAGGCAAGAATGGATGTTACTAAGGCAATAAATATTAGTGTCACACACCAAATACAAAACCTATGTCTGAATTTTCTTATAGACAGAAAAGGAAACAATTTCAGTATATAATTCCTAAATTTAACTGAGTTTTTTTCATTCTTTTCAATCTCTATAGGACTTAAGTTATCCATGCATTTTTCACTGTGCATAACTGAACAGTGATTAAGATTTTGAACACAGGAGCCGGGCTCTAACCCCAGCTGCCCCACATAACTATATAAATTTGGACTAGTTTCTTATCAGGGCCTCATTTCCTCATATGTAAAATTGGGATAATAATAGTACATACCTCAAAAGAATATTATATGGATTACATAAATTATAACATGTTAAATATTTGGCAAAGCGCCCAGCACTTTGTGTTAGCTTTTAATATTGTTATTATTGTTATGCAAATAAAAAGTGAAACTATATTAAGTGGCAATATTTACACAGCTTTAAAAGACTGTAAATTTATATAACCAATAAAGACATAATTGCTTAAAAAACTTTAGCTTATAATCTGAGTAGGAACCAAATATCATTTAAAATGAAATTAGATGAGTTACGTATGTTTGTACTGATTATAATTTAACCTTTAAAATGAACATGAAGGCTGGGTGCAGTGGCTCACGACTGTAATGCCAGCACTTTGGGAGGCCAAGGTGGGTGGATCACTTGAGGTCAGGAATTTGAGACCAGCCTGGCCAACAAGGTAAAACCCCATTTCTACAAAAAATATAAAAATTAGCCAAGTATGGTGTCATACACCTGTATTCCCAGCTACTCAGGAGGCTGAGGCAGGAGAATTGCTTGAACCCGGAGACAGAGGTTGCAGTGAGCCAAGATCAGGCCACTGCATTCCAGCCTGGGTGAGAAAGCGAGACCTTGTCTCAAAAAAACAAAACAAAATATGAAATAAAACTAAAACATTCAAAAGTGATCTTTTAATAAAAATAATTGGAGATTTTTAATGTAAGCTAAGAAAAACATATTCTCTTAAACAATTCAAAATAAATAGGTAATTGGAGGAGTACTCACTATTAATCAAAGTTCATTCAAGTTCATTATCAGCTCAGTGAGGTGGCTCACACCTGTAATCCCAGGACTTTGGGAAGCCGAGGTGGGCGGATCACTTTAGGCCAGGAGTTTGAGACCTGCCTGGCCAACATGGTGAAACCCCAACTCTACTAAAAAAAAAAAAAAAAAAATTAGCTGGGCATGACACACCCAATACAAAATACTCTCCTACTCGGGGAGCTGGGACAGGAGAATTGCTTGAACCTGCAAGGTGGAGTTTGCAGTGAGCTGAGATCGCGCCACTGCACTACAGCCTGGGCCACAGAGCAAGATTCTGTCTCAAAAAAAAGAAAAAGATTATCATATTTATCCCTTTTTATTTTGAAACAATCTCAAACTTACAGAAAAGTTGCAAGTACAGTTCAAATAATTTTTAAATGAGTTATTGGAGAGTAAGTTGTCAACGTACTGCCTTATCACCCCAGAATACTTTTTTTGTGTATTTCCTTCAAAGATATTCTCCTACAGAACTATAAAAATCATGAAAATCAGAAATCAATACCATAACATTATCATATAATGCACAGGCCCCATTCAACTGTTGCCAATTGCCCCAAAAATGTCCCCATAAGGATCCAGTCCAAAGTCATACAATGCATTTAGTTTTTATGTCTCCTTATTCTCCTTCAATCTGGAACCACCTGTAGTCTTAACTTTCTGACTTCTGATACTTACGAAGACTTCAGGCTAGCTATTTTGAAGAATGTCCCTCAGTAGTGCCTGTTATTTCATCATGATTAGATTCAGGTTATCTATCTTTGGCAGTAATATCATAGAAGTGGAGCCATGTTCTTATTGTTTCCTATCAAATGGCACACAATTTTGATTTCTCCCATCACTGGTGAGGTTAACTTTGCTCATTTGATCACAGTAGTGTTTGCCTGGATTCCTCACTTTAAAGTTACCTTTTTCCCCTTATAATTAAAGTATCTCATGGGAACCATATTGACATTATGCCAATATACTCATCAAATTTTCAACTTACTCTTTCTAAAAATATTTTATTTTGGAGACAGGGTTTCATTCTGTCGCCCAAGCTGCAGTGCAGTGGAGCAATCCCAGCTCACTGCAGCCTTAACCTTCTGGGCCCAAGCGATCCTCCCACCTCAGCCTCCTAAAGTAGCTGAGACCACAGGCATGCACCACCATGCCCGGCTAATTTTTTAAAATTTTTGTAGAGACGGTGTTTTGCCATGTTGCCCAGGCTGGTCTCAAACTCCTGGGCTCATGTGATCTTCCCTCCTCAGCCTCCCGAAGTGCTGGGATTATAGGCATGAACCATGGCACCTGGCCTTTAAAAAAAAAAAACCATTGACACAATGAACTCATGGGTTTCTATTTCATTCAATGGGTTGGTTATATCCATTATTATCATTATTTTGACACTCAATTCATCCCATATTTGGCTAATGGGAATCTCTTCAAAGCTGGCTTTTGTATCCTTTTTGATGTGTTGCTATAATTCTTTAAGAACCTCCCTGCTTTCTGGCACAAGAACATGTTCAAGGCTCATTTGATACTTTCTCTGCCTCACCCCTAAATTCAGCCATTTCTCCAAGGAGGCTTTGTTCCTTTTATCGGAGAAAAGTACTTGGAAACCAAGATATGGGCATTAGGTGTGCTTATTGCTATTGGGATATTACTGCTCTAAGGCCCTCTCAGTTAACTGAATGCCATATATATATATAATATATATTATATATATATTCCAATATATACTAAAAACCATGAGTTCACGTGGGTATCTCCAATTACAATCCAAAACCCAGAGTTCATTCACCTTTTCTCCCTGGTCTTTATCTTTTCTTATCTTATTTTATTTTTCAGACGGAGTCTTGCTTGTTGCCCAGGCTGGAGTGCTATGGCACAATCTTGGCTCACTGCCACCCCCACCTCCTGGGTTCAAGCGATTCTCCTGCCTCAGTCTCCTGAGTAGCTG
Source organism: Homo sapiens (assembly GCF_000001405.40). NCBI lineage: Eukaryota > Metazoa > Chordata > Mammalia > Primates > Hominidae > Homo > Homo sapiens. Next base: position 45,176,398 of record NC_000001.11, read on the forward strand.
AGACTACAGGTGCATGCCACCACACCGAGCTAATTTTTCTATTTTTTAGTAGAGACGGGGTTTCGTCATGTTGGCCAGGCTGGTCTTGAACTCATGACCTCAGGTGATCCACCCGCCTTGGCCTCCCAAAGTGTTGGGATTACAGGCATGAGCCACCGCGCCCGGCCTGGTCTACATTTTAGCTACTTTTTCTGATAGTGAGAAATTTGGCTCCTGTTATCCTTAATTGATTTACTTAGTTGATCAATATCTATAAATAACCAATCTTTCATTGCCACCACAGCTCCTCCCTGCCAATAAGGACATTCTTCTCACTGTGCTCAAGCTCAAAAAACCTGCACCTACTGCTGCCACCCCCTGCTATGCCCACTTCACCCCATCTGAACACTAACACCCTATGGCTCTACACTCCCCTTCACCCCTATACAAAAGTCATCCTCAACCCTTTCAGACTCTGACATCTCAAATTATATCCCCCTTCATGTGGATACCCTCCTCACCCCACTTTGGCTCTAGCACCCCATGCTAGGCCACTGCTCCAGTTGGGCTCCAATATACCCTTTCAGGCCACTGCTACTATCCCTTCTTCCCATCTCACTTCCTTTTCTCTTGCTTCTCCCAGGTTTGGACTAAAGTTTTCAGGAAGGGAAGTCAGAAGAAAAGGGAATGATTAAGGATTCAGGAACTAGAGAGAGGAGGGAAGAGAAGAGCAGTATCATTGTATGACACCTCATAATTAGCTATTTTGCTATACAGTGATTATGTTTCTAAAACGTATGCAGAAAATAAGGAATAAACACTAAAGAAAATAATAGGAAAGAAGAAAAGAATATGACACTGAAAAAGAAAAAAATTTCTTAAATGTACTGAATGCTTGTTCTTATTTATTTTACACTTCCAATCATTAAGAGTTGTTATAGACTCTAACAAGGCTATGAACTATGGCCAACCCCCTTTTCCACATTGGAACTGAAAAACCTACACCATATACACAGGGAATTTAAGGTACTTAAGTTTGCAGGTTATACAGAGTGGTAACAGCAATAGAGCAATTTCTACAATTCCTACAACCCAAACTGTGAAATCAATAATGGTGAAAGTTACAGAGGGGTATGCAAAATATACCTTTAATAGCAAAATATTTCCCAGGTCTGAATCTCATGAAATGAAAGATGGGCATAAAAGGGGATTCTCTCTGCTGCTTTATAAGACAATTCGGGGAGATTGAGCAATCAGTTGCTACTTGATACCAAGCAGTAACCAGCTCTATGACACATCCTTATGTTGCCTTACCCTCCTTCCCTGTCTCATTTCATTTTCTCTCACTCTTGCTTCCCTGGGATCATATTCTTTAATAACACAATAGCACATTAAAAAGCATTTCCCAGTCTAATGCAAGCAGAAAAATCCCTTAATACAATGCATTCTATGGCACAAACAACACTGAGTTTTGTGACTTGATAAGGACCAAGGATTCCAGATTGGAAAGGAAGATAAAAGTTTATCTCTATTTGAGTAATAAATTCATTCCACAAGGGTGTTGGCCAGGCTGGTCTCAAACTCCTGATCTCAGGTGATCTGCCTGCCTTGGCCTCACAAAGTGCTGGGATTACAGGCGTGAACCACTACACCCGGCCTTATGTGATTTTATCTAAGGGACTTAAGCATCCTCAGGTCCTAGGGGGTTGTGAAACCAAAACCCCACGGATAGCAAGGGACAACTGTATCTTCAAATTAGACAAATGGCGCCGGGCACAGTGGCTCACACCTGTAATCCCAGCACTTTCGGAGGCTGAGGCAAGCGGATCACCTGAGGTCAGCAGTTGGAGACCAGCCTGGCCAACAGGCTGAAACCCTGTCTTTGCAGAAATGAAGGGATAGCTGGGTGTGGTGGCGCATGCCTGTGGTACCACCTACTCGACCGACTGAGGCTGGAGAGTCGCTTGAACCTGGGAGGTGGAGGATGCAGTGGGCCAGGATGGCGCCACCACACTCCACCCTGGGTGATAGAGTGAGACTCCGTCTCAGAAACAAAACAAAACAAAAATTAGACAAATGCTACATTAATGTTTGGGTGGTCAGATTCTACTTTGAAGTCTGAAGTTTGCAGATATGCCTATAGATTTTTGGAGTTTACCACTTTCCTATTCTGTATCATTAATGTAATATCTTAAATTACTATATATTTGACCATTTTTCTGTATTTAGTAAGAAATTTGCATTTCTGATTTGATATAACAAAAGTTTTAATGTAATTTATATTAGATTTTGCATTTTTTATCACTGTTATACTTTAACGTAAATGACTGATTTAATTGTATTAGTATTGTGAACAATCATGTGGAATGTTTTGAGACAGAGTACTCTATTGGTGAATATAATTTTATGGCTTTTTTCACTTAGTAAGAACCTTTCTATCAGTGTGGAAAACTAAGAAAACTGCTCTCTGCTGTATAATCTGGCATTCATTGTAGATTAAAGCTTATTTTTCTGTGAATAAAACATTCAATAAGATACTATTTAAAATTAAAATAAATAAATAAATGAATGAATTCCACAAGGTTAGGGGTACAAGATCAACATACAAAAATCAGTTATATTTCTATCTATATACACTAGCAACAAACAATTAAAAAATGAAATAAAGGAAACAATTCCATTTATGATAGCATGAAAAAGAAAAAAATATCTTAGGAGTAAATCCAACCAAGGAAAATAAGTCATTCTACCAAAAAGACACATACGTGTACCTGTATATTCATTACAGCACTATTCAAATTAGCAAAAACATAGAATCAGCTCAGGTGCCCACCAACAGTGGGTTGAATAAAGAAAATGAGGTACATCCCATGGTACATATACACCATGGAATACTACACAGCCATGTACTTCACAAAAACATGGATGCACCTGGAAACCATTATGCTATGTTAATTAATGCAGAAACAGAAATTCAAAGACTAAATGTTCTCACTTACAAGAAGGTGCTAAACACTGGGCATATGTGGTTGTAAAAATGGGAACAACAGACACTGATGAATACAACATAGGGAAGGGAGAGGGTTAGGGTTGAAAAAAAATACCTATTGGGTACTATGCTCACTACCTGGGTAACAGATTCATTCGTACGTACTCCAAACTTCAGCACCGTGAAATATTCCTTTGTAGCAAACCTGCACATGTGCCCCCCCAATTCTAAAATAAAAGTTGAAAAAAGATAAAACTTCAACAAAACATTGTTGAAAGAAATTAAGATCCAATAAATGGGGAGACATCCCATGTTCATGGATCAGAAGATGAGATGTTGTTATGATGGCATGGTAAACAGAATAATGCCCCTCACCAAATATGTCCACACCCTAACATCCAGAACCTGACAAAAGGGACTTTACAGATGTGATTAAGATTCTTCAGATGTAGCAATTATCCTGGATTATCTGAGTGGGTTCAATGTAATCACATAGTCCTTATAAGAGGGAGGCAAGAGGCTTAAAGTCAGAGACAGGAAATGTGACAATGGAAGCAGAGGTTAAAATGATATGGTATAGGGAGGAGCCAAGATGGCCGAATAGGAACAGCTCTGGTCTACAGCTCCCAGTGTGAGCGACACAGAAGACGGGTGATTTCTGCATTTCCATCTGAGGTACCGGGTTCATCTCACTAGGGAGTGCCAGATAGTGGGCACAGGACAGTGGGTGCAGCGCACTGTGCGCCAGCCGAAGCAGGGCGAGGCACTGACTCACTCGGGAAGCCCAAGGGATCAGGGAGTTCCCTTTCCTGGTCAAGGACAGGGGTGACAGACGGCACCTGGAAAATCGGGCCACTCCCACCCGAATACTGCGCTTTTCCGACGGGCTTAGGAAACGGCACACCAGGAGATTATATCCTGCACCTGGCTCGGAGGGTCCTACCCACGGAGTCTCACTGATTGCTAGCACAGCAGTCTGAGATCAAACTGCAAGGCAGCAGCGAGGCTGGGGGAGGGGCGCCTGCCATTGCCCAGGCTTGCTTAGGTAAACAAAGCAGCCGGGAAGCTCCAACTGGGTGGAGCCCACCACAGCTCAAGGAGGCCTGCCTGCCTCTGTAGGCTCCACCTCTGGGGGCAGGGCACAGACAAACAAAAAGACAGCAGTAACCTCTGCAGACTTAAATGTCCCTGTCTGACAGCTTTAAGGAGAGCAGTGGTTCTCCCAGCACGCAGCTGGAGATCTGAGAACGGGCAGACTGCCTCCTCAAGTGGGTCCCTGATCCCTGACCCCCGAGCAGCCTAACTGGGAGGCACCCCCCAGTAGGGGCAGACTGACACCTCACACGGCTGGGTACTCCCCTGAGACAAAGCTTCCAGAGGAACGATCAGACAGCAGCATTCACGGATCACGAAAATCTGCGGTTCTGCAGACACCGCTGCTGATACCCAGGCAAACAGGGTCTGGAGTGGACCTCTAGCAAACTCCAACAGACCTGCAGCTGAGGGTCCTGTCTGTTAGAAGGAAAACTAACAAACAGAAAGGACATCCACACCAAAAACCCATCTGTACATCACCATCATCAAAGACCAAAAGTACATAAAACCACAAAGATGGGGGAAAAACAGAGCAGAAAAACTGGAAACTCTAAAAAGCAGAGCGCCTCTCCTCCTCCAAAGGAACACAGCTCCTCACCAGCAACAGAACAAAGCTGGACGGAGAATGACTTTGACGAGTTGAGAAAAGAAGGCTTCAGATGATCAAACTACTCCGAGCTAAAGGAGGAAATTCAAACCAAAGGCAAAGAAGTTGAAAACCTTGAAAAAAATTTAGACGAATGAATAACTAGAATAACCAATACAGAGAAGTGCTTAAAGGAGCTGATGGAGCTGAAAGCCAAGGCTCAAGAACTACGTGAAGAATGCAGAAGCCTCAGGAGCCGATGCGATCAACTGGAAGAAAGGGTATCAGTGATGGAAGATGAAATGAATGAAATGAAGCGAGAAGGGAAGTTTAGAGAAAAAAGAATAAAAAGAAACAAACAAAGCCTCCAAGAAATATGGGACTATGTGAAAAGACCAAATCTGCATCTGATTGGTATACCTGAAAGGGACAGGGAGAATGGAACCAAGTTGGAAAACACTGTGCAGGATATTATCCAGAACTTCCCCAATCTAGCAAGGCAGGCCAACATTCAGATTCTGGAAATACAGAGAACGCCACAAAGATACTCCTCGAGAAGAGCAACTCCAAGACACATAATTGTCAGATTCACCAAAGTTGAAATGAAGGAAAAAATGTTGAGGGCAGCCAGAGAGAAAGGTCAGGTTACCCACAAAGGGAAGCCCATCAGACTAACAGCTGATTTCTCTGCAGAAACTCTACAAGCCAGAAGAGAGTGGGGGCCAATATTCAACATTCTTAAAGAAAAGAATTTTCAACCCAGAATTTCACATCCAGCCAAACTAAGCTTCATAAGTGAAGGACAAATAAAATACTTTACAGACAAGCAAATGCTGAGAGATTTTGTCACCACCAGGCCTGCCCTACAAGAGCTCCTGAAGGAAGCACTAAACATGGAAAGGCACAACTGGTACCAGCCGCTGCAAAAACATGCCAAAATGTAAAGACCATCGAGACTAGGAAGAAGCTGCATCAACTAATGAGCAAAATAACCAGCTAACATCATAATGACAGGATCAAATTCACACATAACAATATTAACTTTAAATGTAAATGGACTAAATGCTCCAATTAAAAGACACAGACTGGGCCGGGCGCGGTGGCTCACGCCTGTAATCCCAGCACTTTGGGAGGCCGAGGCGGGCGGATCACGAGGTCAGGAGATCGAGACCACGGTGAAACCCCGTCTCTACTAAAAATACAAAAAATTAGCCGGGCGCAGTGGCTGGCGCCTGTAGTCCCAGCTACTCGGGAGGCTGAGGCAGGAGAATGGCGTGAACCCAGAAGGCGGAGCTTGCAGTGAGCGGAGATCGCGCCACAGCACTCCCGCCTGGGCGACAGAACGAGACTCCGTCTCAAAAAAACAAACAAACAAACAAACAAACAAACAAAAAGACACAGACTGGCAAATTGGATAAAGAGTCAAGACCCATCAGTGTGCTGTATTCAGGAAACCCATCTCACGTGCAGAGACACACATAGGCTCAAAATAAAAGGATGGAGGAAGATCTGCCAAGCAAATGGAAAACAAAAAAAGGCAGGGGTTGCAATCCTAGTCTCGGATAAAACAGACTTTAAACCAACAAAGATCAAAAGAGACAAAGAAGTCCATTACATAATGGTAAAGGGATCAATTCAACAAGAAGAGCTAACTATCCTAAATATATATGCACCCAATACAGGAGCACCCAGATTCATAAAGCAAGTCCTGAGTGACCTACAAAGAGACTTAGACTCCCACACAATAATAAGGGAGACTTTAACACCCCACTGTCAACATTAGACAGATCAACAAGACAGAAAGTTAACAAGGATACCCAGGAATTGAACTCAGCTCTGCACCAAGCAGACCTAATAGACATCTACAGAACTCTCCACCCCAAATCAACAGAATATACATTTTTTTCAGCACCACACCACACCTATTCCAAAATTGACCACATAGTTGGAAGTAAAGCTCTCCTCAGCAAATGTAAAAGAACAGAAATTATAACAAACTGTCTCTCAGACCACAGTGCAATCAAACTAGAACTCAGGATTAAGAAACTCACTCAAGTCCGCTCAACTACATGGAAACTGAACAACCTGCTCCTGAATGACTACTGGGTACATAACGAAATGAAGGCAGAAATAAAGATGTTCTTTGAAACCAACGAGAACAAAGACACAACATACCAGAATCTCTGGGACACATTCAAAGCAGTGTGTAGAGGGAAATTTATAGCACTAAATGCCCACAAGAGAAAGCAGGAAAGATCCAAAATTGACACCCTAACATCACAATTAAAAGAACTAGAAAAGCAAGAGCAAACACATTCAAAAACTAGCAGAAGGCAAGAAATAACTAAAATCAGAGCAGACCTGAAGGAAATAGAGACCAAAAAAACCCTTCAAAAAATTAATGAATCCAGGAGCTGGTTTTTTGAAAGGATCAACAAAATTGATACACCGCTAGCAAGACTAATAAAGAAAAAAAGAGAGAAGAATCAAATAGGCACAATAAAAAATGATAAAGGGGATATCATCACCGATCCCACAGAAATACAACCTACCATCAGAGAATACTACAAACACCTCTATGCAAATAAACTAGAAAATCTAGAAGAAATGGATAAATTCCTGGAAACATATACTCTCCCAAGACTAAACCAGGAAGAAGTTGAATCTCTGAATAGACCAATAACAGGAGCTGAAATTGTGGCAATAATCAATAGCTTACCAACCAAAAAGAGTCCAGGACCAGATGGATTCACAGCTGAATTCTACCAGAGGTACAAGGATAAACTGGTACCATTCCTTCTGAAACTATTCCAATCAATAGAAAAAGAGGGAATCCTCCCTAACTCATTTTATGAGGCCAGCATCATCCTGATACCAAAGCCGGGCAGAGACACAACCAAAAAAGAAATTTTAGACCAATATCCTTGATGAACATTGATGCAAAAATCCTCAATAAAATACTGGCAAACCGAATCCAGCAGCACATCAAAAAGCTTATCCACCATGATCAAGTGGGCTTCATCCCTGGGATGCAAGGCTGGTTCAATATACACAAATCAATAAATGTAATCCAGCATATAAACAGAACCAAAGATAAAAACCACATGATTATCTCAACAGATGCAGAAAAGGCCTTTGACAAAATTCAACAACCCTTCATGCTAAAAACTCTCAATAAATTAGGTATTGATGGGATGTATCTCAAAATAATAAGAGCTATCTATGACAAACCCACAGCCAATATCATACTGAATGGGCAAAAACTGGAAGCATTCCCTTTGAAAACTGGCACAAGACAGGGATGCCCTCTCTCACCACTCCTATTCAACACAGTGCTGGAAGTTCTGGCCAGGGCAATTAGGCAGGAGAAGGAAATAAAGGGTATTCAATTAGGAAAAGAGGAAGTCAAATTGTCCCTGTTTGCAGATGTCATGATTGTATATCTAGGAAACCCCATTGTCTCAGCCCAAAATCTCCTTAAGCTGATAAGCAACTCCAGCAAAGTCTCAGGATACAAAATCAATGTACAAAAATCACAAGCATTCTTACACACCAATAACAGACAAACAGAGAGCCAAATCATGAGTGAACTCCCATTCACAATTGCTTCAAAGAGAATAAAATACTTAGGTATCCAACTTACAAGGGATGTGAAGGACTTCTTCAAGGAGAACTACCAACCACTGCTCAATGAAATAAAAGAGGATACAAACAAATGGAAGAACATTCCATGCTCATGGGTAGGAAGAATCAATATCATGAAAATGGCCATACTGCCCAAGGTAATTTATAGATTCAATGCCATCCCCATCAAGCTACCAATGACTTTCTTCACAGAATTGGAAAAAACTACTTTAAAGTTCATATGGAACCAAAAAAGAGCCCTCATTGCCAAGTCAATCCTAAGCCAAAAGAACAAAGCTGGAGGCATCATGCTACCTGACTTCAAACTATACTACAAGGCTACAGTAACCAAAACAGAATGGTACTGGTACCAAAACAGAGATATAGATCAATGGAACAGAACAGAGGCCTCAGAAATAACGCCGCATATCTACAACTATCTGATCTTTGACAAACCTGAGAAAAACAAGCAATGGGGAAAGGATTCCCTATTTAATAAACGATGCTGGGAAAACTGGCTAGCCATATGTAGAAAGCTGAAACTGGATCCCTTCCTTACACCTTATACAAAAATTAATTCAAGATGGATTAAAGACTTAAATGTTAGACCTAAAACCATAAAAACCCTAGAAGAAAACCTAGGCATTACCATTCAGGACATAGGCATGGGCAAGGACTTCATGTCTAAAACACCAAAAGCAATGGCAACAAAAGCCAAAATTGACAAATGGGATCTAATTAAACGAAAGAGCTTCTGCACAGCAAAAGAAACTACGATCAGAGTGAACAGGCAACCTACAGAATGGGAGAAAATTTTTGCAACCTACTCATCTGACAAAGGGCTAATATCCAGAATCTACAAAGAACTCAAACAAATTTACAAGAAAAAAAACAAACAACCCCATCAAAAAGTGGGCAAAGGATATGAACAGACACTTCTCAAAAGAAGACATTTATGCAGCCAAAAAACACATGAAAAAATGCTCATCATCACTGGCCATCAGAGAAATGCAAATCAAAACCACAATGAGATACCATCTCACACCAGTTAGAATGGTGATCATTAGAAGTCAGGAAACAACGGGTGCTGGAGAGGATGTGGAGAAATAGGAACACTTTTACACTGTTGGTGGGACTGTAAACTAGTTCAACCATTGTGGAAGACAGTGCGGCAATTCCTCAGGGATCTAGAACTATCAATACCATTTGACCCAGCCATCCCATTACTGGGTATATACCCAAAGGATTGTAAATCATGCTGCTATAAAGACACATGCACACGTATGTTTATTGCGGCATTATTCACAATAGCAAACACTTGGAACCAACCCAAATGTCCAACAATGATAGACTGGATTAAGAAAATGTGGCACATATACACCATGGAATACTATGCAGCCATAAAAAATGATGAGTTCATGTCCTTTGTAGGGACATGGATGAAATTGGAAATCATCATTCTCAGTAAACTATCACAAGGACAAAAAACCAAACACCGCATGTTCTCACTCATAGATGGGAATTGAACAATGAGAACACATGGACACAGGAAGGGGAACATCACACTCTGGGGACTGTTGTGCAGTGGGGGGAGGGGGGAGGGAGAGCATTAGGAGATATACCTAATGCTAAATGACGAGTTAATGGGTGCAGCACACCAGCATGGCACATGTATACATATGTAACTAACCTGCACATTGTGCACATGTACCCTAAAACTTAAAGTATAATAATAATAAAAAAAGAAAAAATAATAATAAAATCCCTTGAACCTCAGGAAAAAAAAAAATGATACGGTATAAAAAAGGAAGAGGCTGTGAGCCACAGAATGCAGATAGCTTCTAGAAATTGGAAAAAGACATGGAAAGAGATTCTTTCCAAGAAAAGCCTCTAGATGGAATACAGCTCTGCCAACAACTTGGTTTTATTTATTTATTTATTTATTTATTTTTTGAGACAGTGTCTCGCTCTGTCACCGAGGCTAGAGTGCAGTGGCATGATCTCGGCTCACTGCAACCTCTGCCTCCCGGGTGCTTCTGCCACCAAGTAGCTGGGATTACAGGCGTGCACCACCATGCCTGGCTAAATTTTTGTATTTTTAGTCAAGACCGGGTTTTGCCATGTTGGCCAGGCTGGTCTCGAACTCCTGGCTTCAAGTGATCTACCTGCCCTAGTCCTCCCAAAGTGTTGGGATTACAGATGTGAGCCATCATACCTGCCCTCAATAACTTGATTTTAGCCCAGAAAACCCCCAGACCTGTAAAATATTAAATATGTGTTGTTTTAAACCACTAAGTTCATGGTAATTTGTTACAGTAGTAGTTTCCTTATAGAACACTAATAGAGATGCCAAAACTTCCAAACTGATCTACGGATTCGATACAATCGCTTTCAAAATCCCAACTAGATTTTTTTTTGCAAAAAATAAACTGATACTAAAATTCATAGGGAAACTCAAGGGAATGAGAATAGCCAAAACAATCTTGAAAAAGAAGAATAAAGTTGGAGGACTCACACTTTGCAATTTCAAAACTTACTAGAGCAAGAGTAATAAAGACAATGTGATACTAACATAAGGATAGACATAAAGATCAATGGAATAGAATTGAGAGTCCTGAAATAAACTCATTTATGGTTAACTGGCTTTCAACAGCATGTCAAGATCATTCAATGGAGAAAGACTAGTCATTTCACCAAATAATGCTGGAAAAAATGGATATCCATATTAAAAAAAAGTTGAAGCCCCTTCTGACATCACAAAAGTCAACTCAAAATGAAACATAAAACAAAATATAAGAGCTAAAACTAGAAAACACTTAGAAGAAAACATGGTAGTAAATCTTCTTGATCTTGGGTTAGGCAATGGTTTCTTAGCTATACTATCAAAAGAAAGAAAGAAAGAAAAAAGCAACCGAGAAAAAAAATAAATTGTACTTCATCAAAATTTAACACTTTTGTGCTTCAAAGGACACTATCAAGAGAGTTAAGACACCTCACAAAATGGGAAAATATATTTGCAAATCACATATCTGATAACGGACTAGTATCTAGAATGAATAAGGAACTGTCACAACTTAAGAATAAAAAAATCCAATTTAAAAATGGGCAAAGGATCTGAATAAACATTTTTTTCCAAAGAAGTTATACAAATGACCAATACACACATGAAAAGATCTCAACATCATTAGTCACCAGAGAAATGCAAATCCAAACCAACCACAATGAGATACTACTTCCGGGCCTCCACCAGGATGGAAATAATAAATAAGATAGATAATAACAAGTATTGGCAAAGATGTGGAGAAATCAGAACACTCATACATTGATAGTAGAATTATAAAATGATGCACTTTGGAAAATAGTTTGGCAGTTCCTCAAAATGTTATACATAGTTACTGCATGATCCAACAATTCTACTCTTAGATGTATACCCAAGAGAAATGAAAACACGTATCCACACAAAAGCTTGTATGCAAATATTCACAGCAGCATTATTCACAATAACCAAAAGGAAAACAACCCAAACATGCAACAACCAATTAATGGATAAACAAAATGTGGTATATCCATACAATGTAATATTATTCACCATTAAAAAGGAATAAAGTACAGATATATGTTACACATTTATGGACCTTTAAAACATTATGCTAAGTGAAAGAAGCCAGTCACAAAAGACTACATATTCTTACTCAATTTATATAAAATGGCTAGAATAAGCAAATCCATAGAGACAGAAAGTAGACTGGTAATTGCTTAGGACTATATGGGATTGGATTGGGGAGTGACAGCTAAAGGATGCAAGGTTCTTCTGAGGTGAGGAAAATCTTCTAAAATTGACTGTGGTGAAGGCAGCCCCTACCTGTGAATATAGTAAAAGCCACTGAATTGTACACTTTAAATGGATGAGTTATACAGTACATGAAGTATATCTCACTAAAGATATTAGGTGGGGAAAACCTGCTGTAAGGTCCCCTCATTCCAGACTACAAAGTCTTCAGGGACACTGCTGGAGACTGGTTTTCAAGGCCTCATTAGGCAGCCTAGACGTCAAAACAGAGAGAAGATAGCCTCCCTAATAAAAACAAAACAAACAAAAACCCTAGCAAGGCTAACCTGTTTTGATGGTGTGCTAGACAGCATATTTATCACACAGATATATAACTGAGGAAAGTTAAAATCCAACTCCTTTTCAATTCTAATCTCCAAGGGAATAGATAAAAGGGAATAGGTACTGAAAAACCATTCACTACTAAATAAAGTTCTAAATAAAACTACACTAACATACTGGATAACATTCTGGTTGAGTGACTTCTTTTGTTGCTAATTACCTTGATGCTATATTAGTAATATTTGCAAGGGACCGGGCACGGTGGCTCACGCCTGTAATCCCAGAAATTTTGAGAGGTTGAGGTGGGCAGATCACCTGAGGTCAGGAGTTCAAGACCAGCCTGACCAACATGGAAAAACTCTGTCTCTACTAATAATACAAAAATTAGCCAGGGATGGTAGTGCACACCTACAATCCCAGCTACTTGGGAGGCTGAGGCAGGAGAATCACTTCAACCCGGGAGGCAGAGGCTGCATTGAGCTGAGATCATGCCACTGCACTCTAGCCTGGTCAACAGACAGAGACTCTGTCTCAAAGAAAATAATAATAATAATAATAATAATATTTGCAAGGGACAACACACAAAGTAATAATCTGAAAACTTTTGCAATTAGTACTTTAATAATATATCAAAGAACCATTAATAAAGCATATTCAACAATACTATATTTGATCTTTAAAACCTACATAATAGGCCAGGCTGGTGACTCACACCTGCAATCCCAGCACTTTGGGAGGCCGAGGTAGGTGGATCACTTGAGCCCAGGAGTTCAGGACCAGTGGGGCAACATGGCAAAACCTTATCTCTACAAAAAACACAAAAAGTTAGCCAGGCATGGCGGCGTGCACCTGCAGTCCCAGCCACTCGGGAGGCTGAGGTGAGGGAATTACCTGAGCCTAGAAGGTAGGGGCTGCAGTAAGCCATGATCTTGTCGCTGCATTCCAGCCTGGGTGACAGAGCTGGATTTCGTCTCAAAAAACAAAACAAAACAAAAACAACCTACATAATTACCTGATTTTAATGTCACATTATGTGCTATCTCAGCAACAGATGGTGTTTACAAAATAAAGCAGATTTATCAACACAAAGTAAAGTAACATCAGGGAGTAGAGGACATTTAGCATCTAATTTACCACTGGGGCATCTCTTGATACTTCCCAGCCCAATGTTGACAGTAAATGAACAAACGCAGTGGGCAAGGCCTGAGAAACGTCACAGTAACTAGGCTCAGGCTTTTCTGTAAAACAGTTGCTGGGTACAGTGGCTCACACCTGTAATCCCAGCACTATGGGAGGCTGAAGCAGGCAGACTGCTTGAACTCAGGAGTTCAAGACCAGCTTGGGCAACATGGAAAAACCCTGTCTCCACAGAAAAAATATAAAAATTAGCCAAATTAGCCAGGCATAGTGGTGCGTGCCTATAGTCCCAGCTACTCGGGAGGCTGAAGTAGGAGGATCACCTGGGCCAGGAAGCTGGAGATTGCAGTGAGCTGAGATCATACCACTGTATTCCAGCCTGGGTGACAGAGCCAGACCCTGTCTCAAAAAAAAACAGTCACCACCCATTCCCAGGTAAACCACTTAGACCACCAGAGATTCTGGCTAAGAATCCATAATGGAGATTAGAGGAGCGGGACAAGATCAGCTGTGTTCTGGGGACTACTTTCAGTGACAGAAGTTGTGATTTGCCTCCTAATTTTACTCTTGTAAGCATCCCCAAAAAAAGAGACCAAACAATCCTGGAGGAGCGGTTCCCTTATAGGGTGAATTTACTCTACGAAATGAATCCAAGAGTCAGAGGAAATGTAGCGCTCGGATCCTTCCGTCAGGACCAAGGCATTTATTCCTCTAACTGCCAGGAGAGTTGGCTGCTGAGAGGTTACAGCTATGTCCTCCTCCATGAGCTGCCCTCAACCAAAGTATCACAGATTGAGTTCTCTGAAAGGAAACACCAAGATAGAATGAGAAATGCAACACACTTACTAGGGATCAACATCTGTGAAAGAACGGCAACAGAAGCAGGACTGGGAAGAGGAAGAAATCAAACTGCAATGCAGGCCTGATAAAAGCTCAGCCAACCAGATTTGGCTCTCTGGAGCAGGTATTGCCTGTCGGAGAGTTCCATGTTCGACTGAAATAGCTGGAATTTTTTTTTTTTTTTTTTTTTTTTTTTTTTTTTTTTTGAGACGGAGTCTCGCTCTTTCGCCCAGGCCGGAGTGCAGTGGCGCTATCTCCTCTCACTGCAAGCTGCGCCTCCCAGGTTCACGCCATTCTCCTGCCTCAGCCTCCCGAGTAGCTGGGACTACAGACGCCCGCCACCGCGCCCGGCTAATTTTTTGTATTTTTAGTAGAGACCTCGTGATCCGCCCGCTCCTTATCCTGACCTCGTGATCCGCCCGCCTCGGCCTCCCAAAGTGCTGGGATTACAGGCGTGAGCCACCGCGCCCGGCCGAAATAGCTGGAGCTTTACGCTCCTACCTTGCTCAGTCATTTGCAGGCTGCCCTTAGAAAAGTATGACCTCAGATGAAGCAGATCTCTGCTGCTGAGACAGCCCGTGAATCAGCTGACAGTTGGAAGCTGTCTGATGAAAGCACTTCCGGCAGCTGGGCAGCAAGTAGTTCCCTGAAGAGAAACAGTGTAGTTCACCTTCATCTCTACCACATAAAGAAAAATACCCCACCCAGGGTTATGCCTCTTCTCCCTCAGGTCAGCCAGCCCACATCTATTTCCAGATAATTCTCAAGTGCCATCCCAGCTGCAGAGCTCCCCATAGGATTGACTGAAGTCTCCGTTGTGATTGCATCAATTCGACTTCTCTGCCCTCCTAATTGTGCTTTCCTCACTCCTTTATAAGTGTCCTGAAAGTACACAGAGAATTGAGGCTCAGAGAGGTTAAGTAACTTGTCCAAGGTTACACAGCTAGAAAGTGGCAGAACTGGGATTTGGGCCCAGGTCTCCAAACACGGCACTTAGGAATTTAGAGCTCATTCTCTACGAAACATAATGTTTGAAGGTTTTCCTTTCCTTTTTGTTTTATTGGAATATTTGCTTTTCTAATGATAGCTTTATTATATAATTCATACATAATAGAGCTCACCCTTGAGAGGTACACAACTTTGAAAAGTACACAATTTGGTTATTTAGTGTATTCAAAGATTTGTGCAACCATTGCCACTATCTAATTTTGGAACATTTTCACCCCAGAAGGAAATCCCATACCCATTAGTAATCACTCCCCTTACTCACAGGCCCTAGAAACCACTAACCTACTTTCTGTCTCTAGGATTTGCCTATTCTGGACATTTTGTATAAATAAAATAATATATGTGGCTTTTAACTTTTTTATTGTGGTAAAATATACTAAGATTTATCATTTTTAAGTGGACAGTTCAGTGGTATTAAGCACATTCACTTGGTTGTACAACCATCACTCCTACCTATCTCCAGAATTTTTCATCCTCCCATACTAAAATTCTAGTTCAACAGAACAGTAACTCTTCATTTCTCTCTCCCCTCAGCCCCTGACAACCTCTATTCTACTTCTATCTCTATGAATTTGCCTACCTAAATACTGCATGTAAGTGGAATCATATAATGTTTGTCCTTTGGTGTCTGGCTTATTCACTTAGCATAATCTTTAACATTCATCCATGTTGTAGCATGTATTAGGATTTCCTTCCTTTTCAGGGCTAAATAACATTTCCTGTAGATAGAAAGACAGAGAAAGGAAGGAAGGAAGGAAGGAAAATAGACCTTTTGTTTATCCATTCATCTGTCGATGGACACTTGGGTTGTTTCCATCTTCTGCCTATTGTGAATAATGCTGCTATAAAACATGGTTGTATAAATATCTATTCAATTCCCTGCTTTCAATTATTTTGGTTATACAACCAGAAGCAGAATTTCTGGTTCATATGGTTATTCTGTGTTTAATTTTTTTAGGAACTGCCATACTGTTTTCTACAAAAGCTACACCATTTTATATTTCCAAATGGTTCCAACTTCTCCACATCCTTGCCAACATTTGTTATTTTCTGGCTTTTTAAAAAAATAATAACCATCCTAATGGGTGTGAAGTAGTATTTCATTGTGGTTTTGATTTTCATTACTCTAATAATTAGTGCTGTTGAGCATCTTTTCTTGTGCTTATTGGTCATCTGTACATTGTCTCTGGAGAAATGTTTATTCAAGTCCTTTCCCATTTTTGAATTAGGTTTTTTCTTGTGGCTGAGTTGTAGTTCTTTAATATATTCTGGATATTAATCCCCTTATCAAGCAGTTCGGTTTTGAGTGGCTATTAAGATATCCACTTAGAAATATCTGGCAGGCAAATATATATGCTGATCTTTGGATTATTTGGAAGTGCTTCAGAGTTTCAAAGGGAAGAAGTAGCTGGCCATACTGATTAAGTTCTGGTCTCCACCCCAATCCCCAACACAGCTCAGATTTTATCTGCTGCAAAAGCTGGAATTCCAGCATAAGATTTCCTTTGAAAGTTAGAGTACAGTTGCTTTAAACAAATTTTAAACCACTACATCATATCATGCTATCTTATGTTCATAAAATTGTAGTTGAAACTGTAGAAATAAATTAGATTGTAAATTAGAAGACTTGATATAAGAAGGCGCATCCTACTATTGTGGGGTAAGAGAATAAAAGAAAACAGAAAGAAAGCCAGAATGGTGAAGTAAAACAAAAATCTAGGAAGAAGCATTTCAAGAGAAATGTATAGTAGACTACAGAAAATTCTATACAGAGGTCATGAAGAATGAGGACTAGAAAAAAGATACTGTGTTTGGCAATCATGAGGTCACTAGCGACCTTTAAGAGATCAATTTTAATTTAGTGAATGAAAGCATAAGTCAGACTACAAAACCTTTAGAAGGTGGAGTGAAGGTTGAGGGAGGGAAGATAAATACAGAATACTCTCAATTTTGGTAAAAGCTGTAATAATAATAGTGAATATTTACATAGCACTTAATATGTGTTCAGCCTCATTCTAAGTGCTTTACATATTAACTAATTTAATTCTCAAAACAACCTATGAAGTAGGTACCATCATTTTGCCCTTTTACAGTTGAAAAAACTGAGACTTTGAAGGAGCCAGAATTACATATTTGTGATAGTACGTATGTGTACATATGTGTGCATATGTGTATATATATATATATATACATACATGCACATATGGTAGATAAATCCAAATACATGTGATGGTAAAGACTACAATAATATAATATTCAGTGAGACAAAAATAAGAGTTTTTCACAATAGGGAGCCATAATGTGGGGAAGGATTTTATATTACTAATAACATCAATGTATGTTGGTGATGTTGGCTACTCATATCAGTTAGCAGGTATTGACAGATTTAAACAAAATAAGAACAAGCTGGCTTTTCCAGAATCTATCAGTGCTACAGGCCTCTATTCAATAAAACCATGAATGAATAGGGGGAAAAATGTAATTATCTCCAAGGCTTTCAAAGACACAATAGATTTTCCTGTTGCTCACAGACCAAAAGATAATGGAAGCACAAAAAGCTATTTTCCTGATTAGTTCCATTGTATGTTTATACCTAAAAGAAGCAACAATTTTTTTTAACAAAAAAGGTAAGGATTATCTGAAGATAACAAAAAGCTATTTTAAAGCCAGAAATCTGTAAAGTTTACTCTCAGAAAAAAGGATTAATATTTGGTAACATCTTGTCATCTTCCTTCCTACTAATATTACCCCTTTGGATCAACTATGCACCAAAGTATTACGGGGCATAAAAAATGTTAATACAGAAAGAATTTTATTAAAGCTTAATCTGGCCAGGCGCGGTGGCTCACACCTGTAATCCCAGCACTTTGGGAGGCCGAGGTGGGCGGATCACGAGGTCAGGAGATCGAGACCATCCTGGCTAACACAGTGAAACCCTGTTTCTACTAAAAATACAAAAAATCAGCCAGGCGTGGTGGCGGGCATCTGTAGTCCCAGCTACTCGGGAGGCTGAGGCAGGAGAATGGTGTGAACCCAGGAGGCGGAGCTTGCAGTGAGCCGAGATTGCACCACTGCACACCAGCCTGGGCAACAGAGCAAGACTCCGTCTCAAAAAAAAAAAAAGAGGTTAATCTAACTTGTAAGCAGTAAAGTGTTTTCAATCTTTATTGCAATATTAGACATAATTCTAAAATTTCTTATAATTGGAATTATATTAAAATAGAGCAATGTATCCTGTAGTCCCCACTTCCCAAGTTAATCACTTCCTACTCTCTTCCCCCATAGTAACTTCTTCTATTATTACAGAACATTGTGGTAAATGCCATTTTATCTATTCAGACCCTTAACTGATTTAATAGAAAATTTTTAAACGCCATTTTTATATGTACATTCCATAGTAAACTGTGTGCCTCTTAAATATAGAAATTATGTTCTGTTTTGCACAGATCATACTAAAAAATTTAAAGTTTTTGTTTTTTTGTTTTTGAGACAGGGTCTTGCTCTGTTGCCCAGGCTGCAGTGCAATGGCCTGTGATCACAGCTCACTGCAGCCCCAACCTCCCAGGCTCAAGCATTCCTCCCACCTCAGCACCCCCAAGTAGCTGGGACTCTAAGTGTGTGCCAACATGCCTGGCTAATTTTTTTTAATAGGGACAGGGTCTCCCTATGTTGCCCAGGCTGTTCTTGAACTCCTGGGGTCAAGTGATCCTCCCACCTAAGCATCCCAAAGTGCTGGGATTACAAGCGTAAGCCACTGTGCCCAGTTAAAAAAAAAATAGGTTTTATAAATAAATAAATGGGTGAACAAACATGAAGAAAATTATAGCTTGGCATTACATTAAATACAAATGTCTTTTGATGATAGTAACAATGACAATTTTTACTTTGGAATAAGGCCTCTCCAAAATACAGAGAGACATTCTTTGAGTAGTTAAGAGAATGATTTTCCTTCACATCCATTAATAAAGATAGGTGAAACAATAAATAGAAAAGAAAGTTGACATGGTCCATAGCATTTGTAGAATAAAGATTACATAATGTTTTGACTGCCAACAACAGGTTCAGAAACAATGATAACACTAATAAAGGTGTTAATTTTTCTTTTTCTTTTTTTTTTTTTTAGACAGGTCTCGCTCTGTCACCTACGCTGGAGAGCAGTGACGCCATCATGGCTCACTGCAGCCTTAACCTCCCAGGCTCAAGCAATCCTCCCACCTCAGCCTCCCAAGTAGCCGGGACTACAGGTGAGCACCGTTACACCCAGCTAGTTTTTTTTTTTTTTTTTTTTTTTTAAAGATGAGGTCTCAATATGCTGCCCAGGCTGGTCTCAAACCCCTGGGCTCAAGTGATCCTCCTGTCTTGCCTCCCAAAGTGCTGGGATTTCAGGTGTGAGCCACCAAGCCTGGCCAGGTGATCATTTTTCTACAACGGCATTTCTCAACCTCGGCTGCATATAAAATTACCTGGGAGCTTTCTAAAAATTCTGAAATTTGGTCCTAATTCTCAGCAGATTCTGACGTGATTAATTTGGGGTGAGTGCCAGGTACTGTTTTTTTGGTTTTTTTTTAATCTCCCTAGGTGATTTTAATGTGAAACCAAGATTGAAGCCCACAATTCCTTTTTTTTTTTTTTTTTTTTTTTGAGGCGGAAGTCTTGCTCTGTTGCTCAGGCTGGAGTGCAGTGGCACGATATCGGCTCACTGCAAGTTCCGCCTCCTGGGCTTATGCCATTCTCCTGCCTCAGCCTCCCGAGTAGCTGGGACTACAGGTGCCTGCCACCACGCCCGGCTAATTTTTTGTATTTTTAGTAGAGGCGGGATTTCACCATGTTAGCTAGGATGGTCTCGAGCTCCTGACCTCGTGATCTGACCGCCTCAGCCTCCCAAAGTGCTGGGATTACAGACGTGAGCCACCACGCCCGGCTGAAGCCCACAATTCTTTTCTTTAAAATCAAATTTTTGAGGTACAATTTACAATCAGTAAAATTTGCCAATTTAAGCATACAATTTAATAAGTTTTGACAAAAGAATATAGTCATGTAACCACTACAGTCATTAACATTTCCATCACCCAGAAGTTTTCTCACACCTACAAACCTGAGCCAATCTCCCAAGATGAATCCTGAGTGGTTAACTGGGCCTACATTTAAAATAGAGCCCAAGAGCCATTTACTGACTAGAGGTTACACACTTACTCTGAGTTCCTGGAGAACCCACACCTCTGCTTAACTTTGAGACTTTCATAGCTGACTATTCCTATTCACATTGCCCAAAACAACCAATAGGCTGTGGCTTGCATCAACCAATCAGAACTCAGCTGTGTTGACCAATCAGAACTAAGAAAGTTTGACTCCTTTATTTGCATACATGAACCTGTTTGGGAACCTGGACAGGAACTTTCAGTATAAAAGCCAAATCCCTTGTTCTCTGGAATGCACCTTTGTTTTACACCAACAGCTGCATCTTCCTGGTTTTCAAGCTGTTCTGTGGAATAGTCTCTTTCCTCTAAATTCCATTTCAGAGAACTTTTATTCACAAACTCCATTCCCTTCTACTTTGATCTACTGATCAAACCACTGATCTACTTTGTCATTATATCTCGGCTTTCTAGAATTTCATACATATGAAATTGTATATAGTCTTTTGGGTATGGTTTCTTTTATTTAGCATAATACTTTTGAGATTCATCCGTGTTGCTAGCCTATCAGTAAGTTTGTTCTTTTTTATTGCTGAACAGTATTCCATCTGTATGGATATACAACAATTTCCTTATCCATTCCCCCATTTGGTAAGCATTTGGGTCATTTCTAGTTTCGGGCTATTATGAATAAAACTACTATAAATATTCAAGTACAAGTCTTTATGTGAACATATGAGGGTCTTCAAAAAGTTTGTGAAGTTTGTGGAAAATGAGTATTATAAAAAAACTGCACATGGATTTCACTTTGTTTTGCACTAAGATAAACTCATACTAACTTGCTATAACATATCTGGATAGGATCTAGTTTAAGGCACTAAAAAGGATAAGACATTAGTTTGAAAAGAGCCCCTATCAGAGAAACATGAATACTGCTAAAATTGAAGCAAGAACAAATACCAAATTTATGGTGAAGCTTGGGAGAAAGAATGGTGAAACCACTGATGCTTTATAAAATGTATATGGGGCAATGCCCCAAATAAACCAGCAGTTTACAAATGGATAACTCATTTTAAAAGGATCCATCACGATGCTGAACATGAAGCCTGCAGCAGCAGACCATCCACATCAATTTGTGAGGAAAAACATTCATCTTGTTTGTGCTCTAATCGAGGACAGACAATTACAGCAGAAACAACAGACAATATCATAGACATCTCAATTTGTACAGCTTACACAATTCTGCTGAGAAATTAAAGTTGAACAAACTTTCCACTTGACAGGTGCCAAAACCACAGCATCCAGATCAGCTAATAAGAGCAGGGCTTTCACTGGAAATTTTAAACAAGTAGGATCAAGATCCGGAGGCATTTCACTGAAGAATTGTGACAGGAGATGAAACATTACTTTACCAGTATGATCCTGAAGACAAAGCACAATCAAAGCAATGGCTACCAAGAGGTGGCAGTGGTCCAATCAAAGCAAGACCAGACTGATCAAGAGCAAAGGTCATGGCAACAGTTTTTTAGGATATTCAAGTCATGTTACTTGCTGACTTTCCGGAGGGACAAAGAATGATAACATTTGATTTATTATGTGAGTGTTTTCAGAAAGTTAGCCAAAGCATTAGCAGAAAAATGCCCAGGAAAGCTTTACCAGAGTTTTTCTCCACCACAACAATGTTCCTGCTCATTCCTCTCATCAAACAAGGGCAATTCTATAAGAGTTTTGATGAGAAATCATTAGGCATCCACCTAACAGTCCTGATTTGGCTCCTTCTGACTTCTTTTTGTTCCCTAATCTTTAAAAAAATCTTCAAAAGGCACCAATTTTTCTTCAGTCAATAATGTAAAGAAGACTGCATTGACATGGTTGAATTCCTAGGACCTTCATTTCTTTAGGGATGTGCTAAGTGGCTTGTATCATTGCTTACAAAAGTTCTTGAACTTGATGGAGTTTATGTTGAGAAATAAAGTTTATACTTTTAATTTTTATCCTTTAATTCCATTTTTCCATGAGCTTTTGAAATCCCCTTATACACTTTCATTTATCTCAGGTAAATACCTAAGAGTAGGATTGCTGAATCTTTTGCTTAAGTATATGATTAGCTATAAAGGACATTGTTTTCCAATGTAGCTGCACCATTTTGCATTCATGCCATACATTACATACCAGCAATGTATGAGAGTTCCAGTTACTCCATATACTTGTCAGCATTTGGTACAGTCTTTTTTTTTTCTTTAACCATTTTAGTGTGTGTGTAATGTAGGTATTTCCTTGAATTTTAATTTGTATTTCTCTAAGGACTAAAGTATACAAAGTATGCAAACAACTGCTGTTAAGGCAAGAAAACCACTAGGCAGAAGGGTACTTCAGCTTTTGCTTCAATAGTCTTTTTTTTTTTTTTTTCTTTTTGAGACGGAGTCTCACTCTGTCGCCCAGGCTGGAGTGCAGTGGCACGATCTTGGCTCACTGCAACCTCTGCCTCCCGGCTTCAAGCAATTCTCCTGCCTCAACCTCCTGAGTAGCTGGGACTACAGGCATACGCCACCACACCTGGCTAATATTTTTGTATTTTTAGTAGAGACGTGGTTTCACCATGTTGGCCAGGATGGTCTTGATCTCCTGACCTCATGATCCACCCGCCTCGGCCTACCAAAGTGCTGGGAGTGAGCCACCACGCCTGGCCTCAATAGTCTACTTTTAAATAAGGTAACTATGTTATACTCCCCTAAATACCACATTCATCACTCCATTATAAGGAACAGGCAAATGACCAAAAAACATGTATCCAAGGAACTTTTCAAAAACAGGCTTCAGAAACTCTCAGAGTCAAATATTCACTGTTTATAACTTCCTCCCTACCTAAGGAAGGCAACGTAATGTAGTCCTTAGTTTAGGCTTTGATGCCCAACCTAACTTTGTACTCTAAGATAGGAAAATGCAAAGTACTACAGAAAGACTTCCACCAAAAACAGGTAAACAATTATTTACTGAGCCTTACACGTAATAAGTGACTAAACGTTAATTCAATGACTGAACCAAGAACAAGTTAATAATAAGCTTCAAGGATAATTTTTATCTATGTAATGCTTTAAAAATCAGAAGCATCCAGAAATTGAGCCACAAATGCCAATACATCTTTTAGGCTTCAGTTACATATAAATCAATTAAGAGAGATGTCATACTACACAAATATAAAAAATGATATGACAATGTACTCATTCATTCAATAAACATTTACTGAGCACCAACTTAGGACAAACCACATTATACATCCTAAGGGGGAGAACAATTACACTGAAAACCAAAAATTAATCAGTTGACTATATATGATTACAAAAACTATCGCAGAGTAATTTAGCGTATAATCACATAATACTACAGCTAATATTTAAATAAGTATGATTTTCTTAGTCTACTAGCTCCATGATAGGCTAAAAGTGTCCAAGAAGCATGCTGCCTATGTTAGAAAGAAATAAGCCTATAAATAAACCACAAGGTAAAAAAATTCACATAAAAATTATCTGGAATAAATTATTATCTATTTCTAATATCAAGCACTAATTGTAAACCATAGTAATTTAGGGTTTGGAAACAGACATTAAAACACTGTTCATATGCTTTCAAGGTTATCCATTTCTAAAGCTGAGTTATAAATGGTGTGCATGAAAAAAAACCCACAGTAATCTATTCATTCATATATGTATACCATGAGTGCTATATCACACAGTCATCATTTTTTATCAAGAATGACAATTTTAACCTTTAAATAACCACTTATTTGTCAAAAATATTCCACATGTATTAAGATTAAATAATCATGCAAATTGAATCAAGCAAGTCTAAATAATGCTTACCTAATAAAATTAATGTGGTGATTTCCTAACTTAAGCCATACTTAATGTAATAAAGTTTAAAATTCACATGAAACTCAGATATGCAACAAGAAACAAGTATGAGAAGCTGTTATGGGCTGAATTATGTCACCCCCCAAAAAATATGCTGAAGTCCTAACCCCCAATACCTCAGAACATAACCTCAGTCCCTCATGATGTGACTTTGGGAATAGGGTTGTTGTGTATGTGATTGAGATGAGGTCATACTGGAGTAGGGTGAGCCCCTAATCCAATATGACCGGTGTCCTTATAAGAAGGCCATGTGAAAACAGACACACACAGGGAGAATGCCACGTGACCACAAAATCAGAGATTGGAATTTTGCAGCTCCAAGTCAAAGAATGCCAAAGACAGCCAACAAACCACCAGAAGCTAGCAAGAGGCAACAAAGGATTCCCCTGTAGGTTGCAGAAGGAGCATAGCACTGCCAACACCTTGATTTTGGATTTCTAGCCTCCAGAACTCTGAGACAATACATTTGTGTGGTTTTAAGCCAATCCAGTTTGTGATACTTTGTTACAGCAGCCATAGGAAACTAATACAGCATTTTTACAGTAATATATATGTTTCTCTTGTACATTATATCAATGCATTGATTTTTAAAAATTTTATTTTCTACGGTATCATATAGTAAACTTGACTTTTTTGGTGTATAGTTCCATACATTTTAACACATGTATATATTCATATAACCCTCACCATAATAGATTACTGACAGTTAATGTCTTGTTTTTTAATTGCTATTATTGAAACAAGAGAAATAAAATTGTCTCCCATAGGCATAAATTTCCAGCCTTTTCTATAATATATTTTTAAAATTCCTAAAATAAAGATAACCTCTAAAATAAAATTCACTCTCTTTAGTTTATCCATCATCTTTAAAATCCAAAGCTCTATCCTTGAGAAAGTCACCTTTAGAAAAATTCATTTAAAGCTTTCATTTGAAGAAATTGATAAATCACCATTCGTCACACAAAATAGATGGTTAAACACAGAAGATACACCTAAGTTGTAACACTCATACTACTTAATGCTATCAGTTTATTATATGCACAAATCTGGAGTTTTCCCCATATATTCCAATACCACTCATACTCAAAATTCAGGTCTCTCTCTGTTTTACAACACTGAGAAATCCATTCTTAACGTTCAGTCATTCAACAAGCACTTATTGAACATTAAAATGTGTGCATATGTGATGTGTTAGGGTGGAGGGAGAGAACTCATTGATCAGAAAAAAAAAAGATAATGTGATTTAAAACTTGAAAAATTTCTATGCTAAAAAGCACACCCGCTTAAAGGAATGCAGCTGCCTTCTGTGATGGAATACCTTAAATATCAATAAAGTTATTTTTCTCCACATGAAATTTTATTATAATTTTATTCATTCTAACTCACATATGCCACAGTTTTTTCAATGTAGATATCTTTTGTTCCCCCAAACAATATAGATTAAAACAAATTACATATAAAAATCAACAAACTGTAATACTTGTTACTGATAAATTTCATAAAAGTTATACTACAGAAAAATTTCACAGACCTGTTTATTGATGATATACAAGTGTACACAATTTTAAACTTACTACTTGATGTTTAAGTTATAGATAACTTCCTGAAATGGGCCACTTTTTATATTTCCATTATTGACTTTGTAATTGTACCTCTTCCACATAAGGTAATACTTAGCATTCTGGTTCTAGTCTTGAAGACTTCAAGAACAAATCATGTACTTATTAAAAAATGTGTAGACTAAAACTATGGGGTTTTGTTGAAGTCACCTGTCAAAATCTACTTAAAATTTCTGGATAAATACGTACATAACTAAGATGTACCAGGCGCAGAAGGCCCCTGCATGCCTTTAGCCAATTTTTAAAACTAAATATCCAAGTAAATATAACATTTCTGTGTTTAAGTGAGAAAAACTGTTAATTTTTTTTCCTTCAATCAATTCAGATTTTCCTGAGAAAAAGCAAAGCTTCTTTAAGTTTTACCAAATACAAAGAAATCAATTTAAAATACAGTGGATAGCAAAAGGGTCAAAATGTTAAAACCGTTAGTAAATTATAGGTGTCTTATTCTTATGCCATCTGCAGACTCCTGAATAAGTATTTTCCCAAAGTTTATACTACTACTATATCCATGGGCTTCTGAAACAAGTTAAAAATGCAGATGCTGAAAACATTCATATGTTTTCAATAGAGTTCATACTCTAACCTTTACAATACTGAGATCAGACTGTAAGTCTATTGACATAGCTTTAAACTTACAGACATCCCTGAAGAGACTAATTTGCAATTTTCCCCTTTTAAAAGGAATACTACTTCTGATGCAGTACTTACATAAAAGAAATGTATCCTTTGAGCATAGCTGGAAAAGTTTTAGTTTTGATTTAAAATCTGAAGTATCCAATTTTTAACCAGAATTCATGACTTCCCATTACCAGATTTTGTGTGGAAAGTAATTAGAAATTACAGAATTTAATCTACCTACTCTTTCCACAAGTTTTTGTTTGTTTTTAATTTATTTGCCTTGAAGGCTTTTTTGTTTGTGCTTTCTTTTTTCATTTAAATTCCCTTTTTCATTAAATTCCCTTATGACTCTTTTTCTTAAAAAGATGTTGTCACAGAAATACCCCAACTTTCTGTTCTTCCTAAAGCATCGGCCTTCAGTAACTTCCCAAATCTGAGGTTCTATCGTTTAGAAACAGTAAGGAAATATGTAGAATTCTTAATTAGCATCACTTAGTAATTAATTGAGTTTGAAGTGCAGTTATAAACTGAAAAACACGATTACTATCTTGGTATATACGAATCACTTCCTTACTCATCTCTTGGCAATACTTTTAGAAAGCCTACTCTCTAGATTAAGTCATTTACTTATAACTTTAAGTTTAGGAGATGGGGGATGAGTCTCTATTAAAGGTGGTTCATACCAAAATACAGAACTCAAAAAGATGCAGAACAGGCTATCCTTCTCTCCTATACTTATTAACCTAAATTAAGGTCAGAA
Organism: Homo sapiens; assembly: GCF_000001405.40. Lineage (NCBI taxonomy): Eukaryota > Metazoa > Chordata > Mammalia > Primates > Hominidae > Homo > Homo sapiens. The sequence continues at coordinate 45,203,813 of NC_000001.11, forward strand.
TAATAAAAATTACACAGCTCGTGGTTCTCAAGTAGCATAAACTTAAAGTGATAAATTTATTCACCGGTCTTCGTCTTTGAAATCCAAAGTCAATCAGAAAACATGTTTGTTTATATGTGTCTTTTCTCAAGTCAATCAGAAAACATGTTTGTTTATATGTGTCTTCTGAAACTACCATAAGAGAGCCTATAACTCCAGAACCACATTAACTTTCATATTATAAAGGGGAAATATCTGATTTAAACATGATCTAGATTACCCAAAATATCCTATTTCATTTGGAAAGTGACACTTTAGTTACTTTAAAAATAGACACCTCTTTAAAACTCTTCCTCTCTTTTATTTGTTCCCTCAAGTTTGAAAATTCTTCCTCATCCATCTCTTACTATAAAATGACCACTTAAATTGATCCTTTTCCATTTAAAATATTTGAAACAAGAATCTTAAAAGTTAAATAAATGATCGAAACTCAGAAAAATTAAAATTTACAGACTAATAGGAAAATGATTGTATTTATTTTCATGTTTTCAGTGTTTCAGTATTAAAGCTGTACACCTTAATTACATATTTATTCAAGTCACTCTTTCAAAAATATACACAAATAAAGGACTAACCTCTTTCAAATAAACAAAACTTGCTCAAGCCACTGTCACTATATTCTGGCACAGGATAAATTTACATTTCACATTTGCAAAACAAGTTGTGGTATGCTGTTGTTTTGGTTAGAAACACAGGAATCAATGATTCTCAATAACCAGAAGCAGATTACTTTATATGAAACAGCACGATTCAAAGAAAAACATTTTTCAAATGTTTTCTCCAGGTTTTACCTGGAGAGCTAGATGTCTGGGGTTTGTGTCTTTCTGTGCTTGTTTAATTCTAAAAACAACCTCCCTTCAACTCCTTTCAAAAATCAGTATTTTCTTCAATTAATACGAGCATATAGTGTACAATAAAACGCATAAAGATATGTACTTCCAGAATGCCATAATAATCCAAATAGAAAAAAATTCGTGTTTTAATTTTCCACATAGCAAAGTCAATGTTAATCATTTTTTTATCCTTCTCCTTAACCATTCCACAAATCAGAAGCACTGTATTTATATATTTAATAAGATTAACAAACTGACTAGAAGCTCCGGAGGAGTAAAGGAAGAAATCATTTGTATAATATATTTTTCCATAACAAAAAGATAAAAGCAAATAGGACTTGTTAAATGAGAAGCTTTTGAAAAACCCAGCGTGACCAGCTTTTGATTTACCCCAGTCTGACAAGGAAGAGAGACCCCACCCCCACTCCAGATTGTATGGCTTTTTTTTTTTTTTTCCTTGGGTGGGGGTGTGGAGGAGAAGCTGTCACATTTCCATCTTCGGTTATTGTTAGTCCGCAGCCTAGATTCCCAAGCATCACCGGTCCAGGGGAAAAATCCTAACGCAGACAATTAAAACTGTCTGAAACATGCAGTATTTTGTTGGGGCTTTTTTCCCAGTGTTAATTTCATCGAGACTCAATCGGCTAGGGCTATAGATTGCCTCTGACAGTCTGTCCCTCAAACGCTCCCTCTAAAACCGCTTGTTCCAGATTTACTAACAATCCTCTCCTCTCCAAACTTAAATTAGGACAACACATTTCTGAAATTATTACATCCAAAAAGTCATACCTCCCCATTCTCTTTGCCTTGGTGTGGGGAATAGAAAGAGTGAAGAAGAGAGATCTATTCACTCTTCAAACAAAAAGAAATTGGGGTAGAGGGTCAGTGGAGGAAAGAGCAGTGGTGGACCTGAGTGAAAGGTTGAAAAAAGTTTTTGTGACTTGTTCGTCCTTCGGCAGGGGTACAGGAGTTGGGCAGAAGGCCGGGGTCTCGGCCCCAGGGCTCGGGCCGAGAAGAGGCACCCGCGGAAGAGGAGGCTGAGGACCCGAGAACGCCTGGACGAGCACATACCGACTTGCAGCACGTTCTCCACGGAGCCGCTGTCCAGCAGACGGATGCCCCGGCGGAACGGGAGCCCCTCGCCACCGCAGCCGGCCGCGCCGGCCCCTGCGCCCAGCCCGGGGGATGCCCCAGCCGCGACGCCCCCGGGGGCGGAGCCGGCCGGAGCGGCGGCCCCGGGGGGTGGCTGCGGCCCCTCCTCGGCCGGCGAAGCCCCCGCGGCGCCGCCAGCAGCGCCGGCGCCGGGGCCGCCCCGGTACTGGAAGCTGGAGTACATGCAGATCTCCCGCTCATTCCGCGGGAAGGACCAGTAGACGATGCGGCGCTGCACGGGCTCCGGGATCCGCTCGAAGCGCTCCTCCACCCGTTCGTATGCCCACTTTTCCGCCACCGTCTTGGCGGCGCAGTCCAGTAAGGAATCCGGCTGCAGGTGGGGGCGGGCCCCGAGGACCAGGCAGCTGCTGCCGACGCCCCCTGCCCCTCCGCCGGCTGCCCCAGGCGAACCGCGAGGGTGATGAGCCTGCGGGCTGGGCCACGAACACTGCCGCTTAGCCGGAGAGACCGGTGACGGCGAGAGCAGCTCCTCTCGCTCACCTCCGTCCGCCATTGCTGGGGACTGACTGACTGACTGAGGCGGCGGCGGCTGCTCGGGCTGCGGCGGAGACCCTGGCCACGGCCACGCGCCCCGCGCAAGCGCCCAGCGGTGGCGCCGAGGGGGGCGGGGCGAGAGAACCCGCGAGCCAGCCGGCCCGAGTGGGGAACCGCGGCCGGGCCCGGGAGCGCGCCGCGAGGGCAGACGCGGGCGGCCTGCAGGGTAGCGTGAGGCGGCGCGCGGTGTCCTGGCCGCCGCGGACGCGAAGACAGGCGGGAGCGAGCGCGGGCCCGCGGCGCGCTCCAGGCGCAAACAGCCTAGAACGCGAGCCGAGCGCTCTCGCGGATCCGGCGACCGCGGAGGGGAGAGGAGCGCCGGACGCTCTCGCACGCCCGCCCGCCCGCCCGCGCACCTCCAACCCACCTGCCGCCGGCCAGACAGGAATGGACTGTGTGACTGAATGAAATGGCGGGGCCATAAGCCATCCAAGGAGCCGCCTCCGTGAAGTTATAGGCTCGCGGGGTACAAGGAGAAAAAAACAATCCAGCTCCAACGGTACTGATGTGACAGGAGGTTGTCACAGCAGAGCGGAAGATCTGGCAGAAAGACGCTGGGAAAGAAGACACTAGGGGAAAACATCAGAAAGTTCGGATGATGAAAACTCACCTCACGCCACAACAATGTAGGATAAAGCCGGCGGTCACCCCACCCCAGAGTGGGACAAAGTCGCACCACCCCTTGACAATGGGGCATCAAGATCTTATCGCCACGGGGGTTGCATCCTGGTGGGGTCTTTTGGAGGGTTTAGCACCTTGCATCCTAGAATACAAAACACTTTTGCGTGTTTTTTGGTAGAATTCTCTGATCCCCTACCTCCAATCTGAATTAGGTCTTTCATGTTTTCCTCACTTGGCTCAGTCTTCTACACCTTTACATAGTTGTATTTTTATATATTTGTTTAATGTCTGACTGTCAACTCCATGAGAGTGAGAATCATGTCTATTTCCTTCACTATAATTTATCCTCTGCCTGGCACATAGTGGGTGCTCAAGAATGGCAGCTTCATCACTAACTCCATAAACAACACGCAATTGTAAGTTACTGTTTCTTGCTCGATCAAGAAAGCTCAGATTATTTCAGAATTTGCTGACAAACTAATCTCTACAACTTTAAAACGTTCCAAGAACTGTATTAAAAGAGTTTCTATAGTTGAGTTTGCCCTTCAAAGTAAGAGAGATTTAGAGTGTAGGATAAAATAAGAGTAAGAAGAGAGTAAATGATTGGAGACAGGCTGGAGCCACAGTTTGGTTTTGCTGTAATCTCAGAATTAAAGAGCACAGGCAGAATTGGGTGTGAATCACACTTGCTGTGTGTGATGCTATTCATGATTCTATTAAATCATTTGCAAAAGGGAGCTAGTAATAATGCTTCTACACATAAATGTTGTAAGAATTAGAAATAATTCACTTTAAAAAAAGTTTTTTTAGAGACAGGATCTCACTCTGATGTCCAGCCCGGAGTGCAGTGGGGTGATCACTGCAACCTCAAACTCTTGGACTCAAACTATCCTTCCATCTCAGCCTCCAGAATAACTAGGACAACAGATGCACAGCACCACACCCAGCTAATTCTAAATTTTTGTAGAGGGGCGGTCTCCCTATGTTGCCCAGGCTGGCTGGAATTAGAAGTAATTCAAATTGTTTGCTTATTCAGTGTAGTAGGTACTCAATAAGTATCTGTTTAGGCCAGATGCAGTGGCGCATGCCTGTAATCCCAAGGCTTTGGGAGGCCAAAGTGGAGGATCCCTTGAGGCCAGGAGTTCTAGACCAGCCTGGGCAACAGAGCAGACTGGAGACCCCATCTCTACACAAGAAATAAAAAATAGCAGGGATTAGTGGCCTACACCCTGTAGTCCTAGCTACCCTGAAGGCTGATGTAGGAGGATTGATTGAGCCCAGGAGTTCAAGGTTACAGTAAGCTATGATCATGCCACTGCACTCTAGCCCAGGCAACAGAGCAAGACCCTCTCTAAAAAAACAAAAAAAGAAAGAAAAAGAAATCTGTTTATATTGGTAAATGGATTTATATCTGTAAATAACTATAAATAGATTACTGCAAAATAGCATAATCCCTACTCCACCTTGAATCTGGTACCACATTTACAGGCTTCCATAACACACACTATTTTCTTTCCTATAATTTATCAGAGTTTTTTGGGAGAACGAATATTCCTTTAATGCCTGTCCCCCTAACTAGACTATGAGCTGTGGAAGGGCAGGAACCATTTCCATGTAAGGGCCTATTTCTACCACCTGCCAAAATGCCTACACATAGAAGATGTTCAGAAAATATTTGCACTTTGAATCAATGAATATGTTATTCTGATTTAATCAGTTACTGTCTTTTTTTTTTTTTTTTTTTTTTTTGAGATGCAGTCTCACTCTGTCACACCCAGGTTGGAGTGCAGTGGCACAATCTTGGCTCACTGCAACTTCCGCCTCCTGGGTTCAAGTGATTCTCTTGCCTCAGCCTCCCAAGTAGCTGGGTCTACAGGCGTGTATGCCACCATGCCCAGCTAATTTTTGTATTTTTAGTAGAGATGGGGTTTTACCACATTGACCAGGCTGGTCTCAAACTCCGGCTTCAAGTGATCTGCCCGCTTCAGCCTCCCAAAGTGCTGGGATTACAAGTGTGAGCCATGGCGCCTAGCCTATATTTATGTGTTTATTTGCTTAATGTCTGTTTCCCAAAATAGACTATAAGCTCCATGTTAGGCGGGCGTGGTGGCTCACACCTGTAATTCCAACACTTTGGGAGGCTGAGGTGGGTGGATCACTTGAGGCCAGGAGTTCGAGACAAGCCTGGTCAACATGGTGAAACTCCACCTCTACCAAAAATACAAAAATTAGCTGGGCATGATGGTGGGCATCTGTAATCCCAGCTACTCGGGAGGCTGAGGCAGGAGAATTGCTTGAACCTAGGAGGCGGAGTTGCACTGAGCCGAGATTATACCACTGCCAGCCTGGGAGACAGAGTGAGACTGTGTCTCAAAAACATAAATAAAAAATAAAAAATAAGCACATAAATATATAAATACAGATGGTAATAACACAGCAAATAAGACATTTGGGAATATGCAATATGTGGTTGTGAATAACAAGAATGCTAGATTAATTGGACCATAAGTTTGTGGTGAGAAATAGTGGGAAAAGACTGCAAGAGAGACAGGAGACATTGTGAAAAGCTTTTAAAAGCATTGTAAAATGCTAACTTGAGGAATCTGCATTTTCTTAGGTTGGTGGAGGGAAGCTAATAAAGGTATTTTGAGCAGGACAGTTATATGATAAAAGGCAGTGTTTTAGGAATATTAACCAGACAGAAATATGTAGGATGAATCAGGAGAAAGATAAAGTCTGGAGGCAAAAGATGAGTTTGGAGATAAACCAACAGTGTGGGAAGGAGGTAATAAAGGCTTGTAGAAGGCATTGGACGAAAAGATATCTAGACATCGGGCAAAAAGGGGCTGAAATCTGGCCTGCACTCCATTTGCCCATCCCTGCACCAACCAGGTTGCATCTGGGTGCCTCTTTCTCATTCTCACCAAGTGACCATATGGGCTAGCAATGGCTCTGGGCCTGTGTTACCTCTCTCTGTTTGATCCCTCTTCTCTGATGAGAGAATTGACATATTTCAAGGAGACTGTGGGAGTCTAAAGATACTTATTTTACAGCATTGCAATCCCCAGGGTGAAAACACAAATACCAAAAATCAATAACCAGGAAGAATACCTCACATCTTAATACAACTCTTTTGATGTCAGGAAAATTTTGATCCAACCTTAGAAATAAATCTTTAAATTTGCATTTGTGAAACATCCTCAACCCCTTTGCATGGAATGAAATGATGAGATGAAGGTGAAGGATAGAGTGAGACTCAGAGATGAGGATTTAGGTATCATTTGACAAGCAAACTGTATGCAACCCAGTCATTTATTTAATAAAATTTATTTTGGCTTCTATTTCAAAATGTAGAAGATAGACACCTGTGCTTCCTGATAACACTTTGTTTGGGTATATCATAAACACTGAATGAAGTGGGAATGAGAAATATTTAGGAATTAGAAAGGAAGATCATGATTTTTTTTTTCTTTTTTTTCAGACAGTGTCTGGCTCTGTTATTCAGGCTGGAGTGCAGTGGTACAATCTTGGCTCACTAAAACCTCTGCTTCCTAGGCTCAAGCGATCCTACCACCTCAGCCTCCCAAGTAGCTGGAACCACAGGCATTCGCCACCACACTTGTAGAGACAAGGTCTTCCTATATTGCCCAGGCTGGTCTCAAACTCCTGGGCTCAAGCAGTCCTCCCATCTTGGCCTCCCAAAGTGCTGGGATTACAGATATGAGCTACCATGCCTGGCTAGAAGACCATGATTTGAATTGATTGGACCTATTACCCAACTCTGGTTTTTTTTTTTTTTTTTTTTTTGATACAGAGTTTCACTCTTGTTGCCCAGGCTGGAGTGCAGTGATGCAATCTCAGCTCACTGCAACCCCCACCCCTTGAGTTCAAGCAATTCTCCTGCCTCAGCCTCCTGAGTAGCTGGGATTACAGGTGCCCGCCACCATGCCTGGCTAATTTTTGTATTTTTAGTAGAGACAGGGTTTCACCATGTTGGCCAGGCTGGTCTTGAACTCCAGACCTTGGGTGATCCACCCACCTCAGCCTCCCAAAGTATTGGGATTACAGGTGTAAGCCACTGTGTCCAGTCAACTGCTATTTTTCTTGTGGTAGACTTCGTGGTTCTCTTCCTTCAGTTATGGAGCAGCCATAAAATTAGAGGACTTTAGCTCCAAGGGTAAGTGCTAACTTGTCTGATCAACTGGCATAATTCCATATCTCATTCTAAAGTGATTCATTCAGGGATAGGCAGAGATAAGTCAATCAGTGTATGGCATTTCCCTGGTCGTAGGGATTGGTTCAGGAATGAGCATAACCTATTGGGCCAATAAGATATGTGGTTTGCTAGCAACTTCCAGGAAAGAAGAAAGTTCTTACTCTTTTAAGAGAGCTTACAAAAGCAATTCTCTTAGTGCCTCGACCCAGAAAAGGAGGTTGTTGGTAGCATGCTGTGAATACAAAGGTAAGCCAGGCTTGGGTTGAAGCTGACATACCAAAAGACTTATGGGAAAGATGAAAAAAAAATGAGATTTCTGATGGCATTGCTAAACAGCTGAATCAAAACCTGAAGCCCTCTATCAACATCCAGTTACATGAACCAATAAATCTCCTTTATTATTTTTTCAATACTTTATTGAGGCGGAATTTTCATGCATTAAAATGCACAAATCGCCGGGGGCGGTGGCTCACACCTGTAATCCCAGCACTTTGGGAGGCCGAGGTGGACAGATCATGAGGTCAGTAGTTCGAGACCAGCCTGGCCAGCATGGTGAAACCCCGTCTCTACTAAAAATACAAAAGTTAGCTGGGCATGGTGGCATGCGCCTGTAATCCCAGCTACTCAGGAGAATCGCTTGAACCCAGGAGGCGGAGGTTATAGTGAGTCGAGATCGTGCCACTGCACTCCAGCCTGGGCGACAGACAGACTCCGTCTCAAAAAAAAAAAAAAAAAAAAAAGCACCAATCTTTTTTTTTTTGAGTACTTTTAATTAAAAGGCACAATTCTCAGGTGTACAGCTTGATGATGTTTTCCCCCTGAGTCTGCTTTCTAGGAAGACTTTTTACAAATGTATACACCCATGAGGTCTTTACATAGAAAAAATGTAGAATGTTTCTGTCATTCCAGAAAAGTCCCTTATGTCCCTTTCAGCTTGATACCCACCTCCCAGAGATACCAATTATTCATTTAAATGGAATAATATGGCATAAATTATTTTATGTCTGGTTTATTATTAAGCATAATAATAATTGAGAGTCACCTATGTTATTCTCATGACAGTTTGTTCTGTTTTTATACTTAGTAGTATTCCACTATATAAATGTACCACATGTTGTCTATTCTCCCTCTAATGGACATTTAGGGTGTGAATTAGTCAAGATGGGATTAGATGTGCAAGAGATTTATTAGACGTTATGCTTAATAGGGAACATGGAGAGGAAGCTAGAAGCTAGGGAAGACTGTAAGAGACATCAGATCTCAATGCAGATGAAAGAGAAAAGAAAGGAAGGAAGGTTGAATGGGGGGGTCTTAGAGTGCAGTATAGTTCTAAGAAAGTTAGGCAAGACCAAATGTGCCCATCAGAGGAGTCCTGCGCCTTCTAGGAATGGACCTGTCTTAGTACTCCTTCTCATTGTACTAAATCACTGGGTGGCAGCAGCCTGTGGAAAGCATTTATCCAGAGGTAAATGCAGGGATAGATTTTGGAGCACAGCAGCTAAAGTGGTCAGTAAAGTATGCCTCCCACAGCCAGAAATCTGAGAAGAGCATTTTCATGGCTGCCACAGTTCACTTCTTTTACCTCACCAATTTACTTCTTCATGCAAATCAGGGAGCAGATCTTCCACAGTTCTCTTCCTGAGGGGAAACTCAGAAGAGGATAGTTAATGGGATGAGCTCTATTCCCTATTGTTACAACTGGTCTTGGGGCCACAACTGGAACTCATCTTTTTCTTCTTCCACTATCCATTCTGAATTCCCCTCACCCTCCGTTATCACCTCAGCGGGTCTTGGAACTTGCTTAGAGATGTGATCCAAACCCTCAGTCCTTAGAGTTCTGAGCTCTCAGCAATCATACCTTTATAGGCCAGGATTATTCCATGTGTCTGTTCACAGTTACATTGGGGCAGGGAGGCAATCAGGAAGATCTCTTCAGTTCTACACGTATTCCTTCCTGCTCACACTGTGTAAGAGGAATACTGCCTCCTGCTTAAGGGTCAATGACTCCTGCCAGTATGCTAACTCCTTTTCTCACCTGCTAGCCCCTGGGCACAAGGAGTCTCTGATGCCCTGGCAGCAGCCGTAAGTTAGGGTGCAATGGATTCGAACCTTTAGTCCTGTAGAACCTAGAGTTGTGGGGACAGGAAGCACAGAATCTCCCAGAAGTTCATTGTAAATGATGATAAATAATGAGGCCACTCTTGTCTCTACTCCTTGGTTTCTCATTTCTGTTGGAGCCACAACACTATATAGAGGTGCCTAATTCATTGCATACTCATCATCTTGAAGGATGCCACCCCATCCCTTCAAAATGTGGTCTCTGAACTAGGCATATCAAATGTGTCTATAGAAGGGCATTTAAGCATTTTATAAGGCTGGTTGCTTCTATGCCTGTAGAAGGTCTTTCCAGCATTTTATGAGGCTGGCTGGATATTGTGTTATATGATATGACTAGGGTATTCAATGGTGATGCCAGATATCTTAATCCATTTTGTGCTGCAATAACAGAATACCACAGACTGGGTAATTTACAAAGAATGTAAGTTTATTCAACACATGATTTGGAGGCTGGTAAGTCCAAGAGCATGGCACCAACATCTAGTGAGGGCCTTTGTGCTGTGTTTTCCCACAATGGAAGAAAGTGAGCCTGTGAGACAGAGGATGGGAGCCAAACATCATCCTTTTATCAGGAACCCACTCCTGTGATAACTAACCTACTCTCATGATAATGACGGCAGGACCCTCATGACCTAATCACCTCTTAAAGGTCCTGACTGTCAATGCTGTTATAATGGCAATTAAATTTCAACATGAGTTTTAGAAGGGACATTCACACTATAGTACCAGATGACTCTCAAACACCTGTTGCTGTGAAGTGGGTTCCCTGGTTGGATGCTATTCCTTGTTGAATTCTATGCCTGTGGATCAGGCATTTCATAAGTCCTTGGGTACTGGGGCTATTTGAGGTCTGTAGGCAGGAAAGGCAAACTCATATGCAGGTATCTCTCCTTTTGAAAACAAACTCTTGACCCTTTTAGAATGAAAGGGACTGGTGTGCTGTGTGATACAGTTGGCCTGTAGCAGGAACAATGCTATATCAGGAGGTTAGTTGTTCATTTTGGTTGCCAACAGGTTGGACATTCAAGGCAGCAATAGCTAGATAAATCTTGATAGATGGGAATGCCTGCTGTTGAGCCTATATGTAATTTCCACTTATGCCACCATGAGTTCTCTGTCATGTCCCCATCATACCAGTCCTGGGGCAGCCAGCTAGTTAGCACCAGGCTAGTTAGCAATACCTGGCCAAGTCATTTTTGTCTGCTTGACTGTTCAATGCCTCTTTCATGTTGGATGCTTTTAGGTGGCCATTAATATGTGACACAAAAATCCTTTCCCTTCCAGGTCCCTGACCAGAGGGCCCAAGCCCTCTGGTCATTGCCTTCTGGTCACTGCCCAGGAATCTATATATATATATTCACCTCTCTAGCCACTTTCACCTGCTCACAAAGCAGCTAGCCAGATGCACTGCTCCCAGCTCTACTCATTTGGAAAAGTTTTCCTTTCCGCCATTTTTCAGGGCCACTGCTGAATATGACTATAATGCCATTACTGTCCATTTTTGGCTTGTATCCACATTCCAAACAGGCCTACCCATAAACCAAGCTCAGGCTTTTTCTTCCTTTTTCAGCGCTCACATCAGACTTACCTTCTCTCATATAGATATAAGCACAAGCTTAGGGAAGAGCAATAATGCAAATATAGCAGGTGGTATAGGAGGCCTAGACTTCCTGCTCATGCTCTCTATTCCTCCTAAGGCTGTTATAGTCCTGGATGTAATGTCTCTATCTAATGACAGATGCTGGTATGGCTGAATTTATGACTTGGCAGGTCTAACAGAACCCAGCTCATAATGGAAAGTTTCATACTCAAAGTAACTTAGTGCCCCAGAGTCAAGCGTCCTGTCTCTACCAGGGCCCAGTAAGGCACCAGGAGCTATTTCTCTTAGGGTATATAATCCTCTCCTGTGACTAACATGACCTTGTTCCAAATTCCCAGGACCTGCACTGTGATTCCTCCACTGGGGCTTCCCATAAACTCCATATTGCATCTTTTCCCACCACAGATACCTTCAACTGGGCCTGCTGGCTTATACAGCCCAAGCATCAAGGCTGCTTCCCCTACTGCTTGGCCCTGCTTCAGAGCCCCTTCCTACTCCAAGCACCACAAAGGATGATAGCGTTCTGTGTTACCTCAGTATAGGGGCTAGAACAGTATTCCTAGGTGTGCAGTCCCTCTTACCTTCAGAACCTGAAGAGGCCTATCTGGCTCTGTGCTTCTTTCTATGTACTTGGGATGCAAGATGAAACAATTTTATCTTTCACTTTGAAGGGGATATCCTAACATGCCCTGAAACTGGGCCCCTAAGCGTTTTACCAAAATGACTGTCTCCAATTCACTGTAGTTTTCTCCCACCCTGCACAGCACATATGTGTCTTAATAAGGCCACTAGCATCCTAGCAAACTTTTGCTTATGCTTTTCAGTCAACTTGATGTCATCAATATAATGAATCAACAAGATGTTCTTTGAGATGGTCTGGATCATACTACATTATGACAAAGGGCAAGAAATGTAATATAACCCCAAGGCAAAACTATAAATAACTGTAATGGTTAATTTTATGTGTCAACTTGACTAGGCTACGAGATGCCCAGATATTTGGTCTAGGTGTTTCTCTGAGGGTATTTTTGAATGAAATTAGCATTTAAATCAGTAGACTGAGTTAAGCAGATTGCCCTCCTGGATGTGGGTGGGCCTCATCCAACTAGCTGAAGGTCTGAATAGAACAAAAAGGCTGACCTTCCCCTTACTAAGACGGAGTTTTTCCTGCTTGACTGCCTTTGAACTGGGACATCAGCTTTTTTCCTGCCTTCAGACTCAAACTGAAATATTGGTTTTTCCTGGGTCTCAAGCCTCACACAATTCACACAGGAACTATACTCTCAGCTTTCCCGGTTCTTACACCTTCAGACTCAGACTAGAACTAAGCCATTGGCTCTCCTGAGTCTCCAGGCAAGGTAAGCTTGCCAACTTACCTTGTAGATCTTCTCTGGAAAACCCTGACTAATACAATAACTATGTTTCATATGAATGTATGTCATTCTGATTCTTTCTTGATTAGGACAGAAAAGAAATGCATTTGCCAACAAAATGGCTACATGCTATGTACCTGAGGCCATATTAATCTAATCTAGTGATGATACCATGTCCAGTATGGCAGTTGCTACTGCCATACAATCAGGGCTGCTACTTGGTTGAGATTGTGGTAATCTACAGGCATCCTTTGGAAACTTTCTAGATTCTACAGGGGCCATATTGGCAAGTTAAATGGGGTTACAGTAGGGATCACAACCCCTCGCATCCTTTGCACCCTCTCAATCTTTAAACATGGCACTAATCTCCTCCACTGTCCCCACCCCAACTCTGAGGGTTCATAGGGATGGGGCATTTTCAGAGGCATGGTGGGATCAGACAGGCAGAATGGTCAGACCATGGTGCCAACCTTTGCAGCCGAATAGAGGGCTTCAGGGCAAAGATTTCCCATTAAAAGAGTCCTGCATTAAGCACAAATGGCAAGGCACATGTACAGTCATTGGCTAGAGCCTCCCTGAGAAAAGCATGCCTTCAGCTCACAAACTGAGGTAGAACCTGATGAAGCTAACAGCTGGAAACTATTAGCTAAACACATTCCTTGCAGTGGAGCAAATAGTCCTTCTCAAAAGGGGATATCAGTGACCCAGTTGTGTGTCTACCACTTTTTCCTTTCTTCCTATACACCCACCCTTATCAACTTTTCCAGGCACCTGGTATCTCCAAGCCCTGAGTTTTTCTAAGGGATGTAATCTAAACAAACCTTCTTTGTGGATTTCACCCCATGAAGATTCCTGGGTTTCTTCTTACTCCATTCAGCAAAGACAATTTGTCCATCTGCTTTTCATCTTCCAGATTGTTTAAAAATGTTGGTCCTCTGTTGTTATCGCATTTGTTCTTTCCATGGGTTTATACTTTTCTCATTCTCTTTTTGCCATCTAGATCAGGGGCTGGCAAAACTTTTTCTATATAGAGCCAGATAGTATATATTTTAGGCTTTACAGGCCATGCAAAAAACAGGCTGTGGCTGTAGTTCATCAGCCCCTGATCCAGAGCCTTACTATCCAAAATGTGATCCACAGATCAGCAACACTGGCATCACCTAGAAGCTTGATAGAAATGTAGAATCAAGCCTCACCCCAGAATTTTTGGATGCATTGCATGTTAATGAGCTCCTCAGTTGATTCATATGCATGTTGAAGTTTGGGAAGTACTGATCTAGAGAGATTTAGCGGAAGGAGCAGAAATAAATGCAAATGTTCAACCCATTATAGTTAACCAGAAGTCTTTTTCATTAAAGCTATTCTGATGTGGGGTTTCTAATATTTGCAATTGAGGGTGTGCTAATTCACATCTCCTTGGTGATGGAGCCTCATGCAAATCATTTCACTTTTCTGGATCTTATTCTCTTTTCCATAATTAAATGTTTAAATCAGATGATCTTTTATGGTCTCTTCTAGCTCTCAGATTCCATGACCCTGTGTCTCTAGTCCTGAAGAAGAAAGAGAAACTGACGACCTGGGCAGAAAACAAAAATAAAATGAACTCAGACACAGAGACGCAAAGACCCAGTTACTGGACTTTAAATAAGAGGAGAAGGTTTGATCTCTGAATAAAAATAGATATAACATGATTATAATGAAGCATAAGTTTCAAAACCCCTCACTTGCACTGGCTGCTTTTTTTTTCTTTTTTTGTTTTTTTTTTTTTGGTAGAGACAGAGACTTGCTCTGTCATCCAAGCTGGAGTGCATTGGTGCGATCTCGGCTCACTGTAATCTCCCCATCCCAGGTTCAAGCAATTCTTCTGCCTCAGGCTCCCAAGTAGCAGCTGGAATTACAGGTGTGCGCCACCATGCCCAGCTAATTTTTGTATTTTTAGTAGAGACGAGGGTTCACCATGTTGGCCAGGCTGGTCTTGAACTCCTGACCTCAGGTAATCCACCTGCCTCAGCCTCCCAAAGTGCTAGAATTACAGGCATGAGCCACTGCGTCCAGCCGCACTGGCTGCTGGCTGCTTTTAAACCGCACCTTTTTGTTTGTTTGTTTTTAGACAGAGTCTCACTCTGTCACCCAGGCTGGAGTACAGTGGTGTGATCTCGGCTCACTGTAACCTCTGCCTCCTGGGTTCAAGAAATTCCTCTTCTTTGGCCTCCCAAGTAGCCAGAATTACAGGCACATGCCACCAAGCCTGGCTAATTTTCCTGTTTTTGTGGAGACAGGATTTCACCATGTTGGCCAGGCTGGTCTCGAACTCCTGACCTCAAGAGATCTGCCCGTCTAGGCCTCCCAAAGTGCTGGGATTACAGGCGTGAGCCACCACACCTGGCCCCATTTAAACTCTTGTAACTAATTTGCTTTTGTGCTTAATCTTATATTCATAATTGTGTTCCTTTTCTTAAAGACAACACCTAGATTGCATAGGCTCCTGGTCCCACAAAACTTGGACCTGCCTCAATTTCTGAAAAGTAATAAGGAATAATTACCAGAATCATATATAAGACGAGAACGACCGGGTGCAGTGGCTCACGCCTGTAATCCCAGCACTTTGGGAGGCCGAGGCGGGTGGATCACAAGGTCAGGAGTTCAAGACCAGCCTGGCCAAGATGGTGAAACCCCATCTCTACTAAAAACGACAAAAATTAGCCCGGCGCAAAGGCAGTCTCCTGTAGTCCCAGCTACTCGGGAGGCTGAGGCAGGAGAATCGCTTAAACTGGGAGGCAGAAGTTGCAGTGAGCCGAGATCACGCCACTGCACTCCATCTCCATCCTGGGCGACAGGCCGAGACTCCGTCTCAAAAAAAAAAAAAAAAGCTCTGAATTTATTATCCTCAGAAGATGAGTTATCCACTTATTCTACAAAAAACAATAGGCCATTGCACTGACTTCTTCTTTTCTTTCTCTAAAGATCACAGCATCCTGCCTTCTTTTTATCCTGCCTCCTACCAAATTTAAGCTCTTTGCCTATGCCCTCCAACTCACCTTCTCTGGGTCCTTCAGGATCTTCCTGTCATAATTCGCCCCTATTTTTCAGACCTTCTCAATTTCTGTCTCTCCGCTGAGGATTTTCACTTTCCCTTCCAGTATGTACAAACTCTCTTATTCTGAGAGGAAAAGAGTCTCTGTTTGACCCCTCAGTTCTCTCTGACTTGTGTTATATTTCACACTCTCTTTTCATTGTCATATTTGAATAAGTGGTCTAGATATAAAGATCTCTATGTCTTCACCAGTATCTCCTTAATGCCCAGGCATTAATAAAAACTGGCAGTATCAATTACTTCTGAAACTAGGGATGAAGGAGAGTGGCTAAAATGAGGATTGGGTAACAGCTATTTGAGTAGTGATTACTTTCCTACATCTCCTCCCCCATTTCCCTATGGTTACATGACCATCCCTCTCCCACTACAGTAGAAGTTTGGAGGCTGATTTTCTGGGGAAGATATGATGAAGACCTCTGGTCTGGGGGTGCCAGGTATAGTTAAAGGGTTGGATACCTTGTAAAAACAGAGAAATCAGATGACAATACACATACTAAATGCTGAGACCCTCTTAGTTCATCTCCCACACTGCTCCCAGAACATTGGCTGCAGCTGGACCTCTGCAGGCAGGAAATGCAAGACTCTCACCGGGCACTCTGACCATCCCAAAAGAAAGACCTAAAAATACTGACATTAGGGGTTTTTCCAACAAATGGCTCCTGTTGATCTGTTCACAGAGAAACTCAAAATGAATAAGCCCCACCTTGTGCTCAAGCTTCCAATCAGCTCTTTAACTTGTAATCATGATCAGATAACCAAGAATTTTTATATCTTTGAAGAAGATATATGTCTCACACCAAAGACATATATCAAAACAACCAAACAACAAATGGAAAAAAAAAAATCTTAGGGAAAATAAAGCATCTGCCAGGAGAAGAAAATTCCACAGAGAGAAGAGAGAATAACACATGCATAAAACAAGAATAGGGTGTCATCAAGAATGAATTAATAAAAGGAGCATTTAGAGGACAAAGGAAAAAGAATTTTGGAAATTAAATACATAATAGCAGAAATTCACATATTAATAAAGTTGAAGAAATCTCTTTAAAGTAGTGCAAAATGAGTTAGAAATGGAAAATAGGAGAGAAAAGATGAGAAAACTAGATGACCAGTTCAAAACGTACAACATCAGAATAATAGCAGTCACCCAAAAAAATCAAAGGGGAGGGAATCATCAATGAAATAATTTAAGCTGGGCAAAGTGGCTCATGCCTGTAATCCCAGCACTTTGGAAGGTCAAGGCAGGAGGGTTTGCTTGAGGCCAGGAGTTTGGGAACAGCCTGGGCAACACAGTGGGACCCCATCTCTACAAAAAAGTTTTAAAAAACGTAGCCAGGCTTGGTGGCACATGCCTGTAGTTCTAACTACTGAGGAGGCTAAGGTTAGAGGATCTCTCGAGTTCAGGAATTTGAGGTTACAGTGAGCTATGATCACACCACTACGCTCCAGCCTGAGTTACAGAGTGAGATCCTGTCTCTAAAAAAAGAAAAAGGAAAGGAAGAACTCAATAAAATTTCCCAGAATTGAGGCACACAAATTTCTAGATTTGAAAGGTCTATGGCAAAAAGTTTGAACTGACTGGAACATGAAGAGTTAGTGACGCCTGCTGAAGGACCCTTTATGCCATTCTAAGGAGCTTACATTTTATCCTGTAAGCACTTAGGAGCCAGCAGAGATTTTTAAGAAGGGAATGACCAGATTAAATTGTATACAAAGAGGAGGTAGAAATATGGCAGTAGCATGAAAATGGTGTGGAGAGGACAGAAAATAATGGCAATGAGAATGGTTCCATGGATATTTCAATGGGTTAGGAGAAGAATGTTAAAGCAGATTTAAGAACTATTTGGGAGGTGGACTAAGCAGACCTGGAGCAATAAAGAAGCTTTGATGAAAAATAAAGAAAGTAGAAAGTGGTTTCAAATCTTTAACTTGGACTATGTAGTAAAAGTTGAAGTCAATAACCAAAATAGAAAATTCAGGAGTAGCAGATTTCAAGGAAAGAATGATGAGTTCACTTTTGGGACATGTTAGGCTTGAGGTACTTGTGAGAAATCCAAGTGTAAATTGGTCTGAAGCCTAGGAGAATAACTTAGGACAAAGAAGAATTTGGTTAGGGTTAGGGTAAGAGCTGGGATCTTACAGAAAAAGTTAAGATCACCCAGAACAAGTATATAGAGTTGAGGGTGGGGAGGCAGGGAGGAACTAGGATGAAACCAAGTGACCACCAATAATTGAGGGGTAGACATACAGGGAGAAGCAACAAAAGAGACTGAGTCATACAAGAAGTGGAGAGTGTGGTCATACAAGCCCAGTGAGGACTGGAATTTAAGAAGGAAAAGCAAAACAAGGGAACAAGGAAAGAACAAAAGCCTTAGAAGAGTCCCACTACTAAGCTAAGACTCAGACCTCTTTGGAGAGGGAGTAGCTGCCTCAGGAACAAGATGCCTTCAGTTAGTGAAAGAACTTGCCGAATGTTGCTGACCAGAGCTGGCTCATAGGACTGACTCACCAGAGGGAGGAAAAACTTGCCGGACCATGTAGGCAGCTGGATCTGCTTTGTAGGGGCACCCCACTGGCTGATGGAAAAACTTGCTGAAGGACGCAGGTTGGCCGTAGCTGGTCAGTAAAAGCAACCTGCTAGGTAGCAGAGAAATATGCTAAAGGATGCAGGGCAAAGCTGGCTGCTGAGGAGAGCAATACCAGGCCTCCTTCATGATGTCAAAAACCAGCTCAGTGGAACCAGGAAATGAAGTATCTTTCTTCTTCTATGGCCTTGCAGTGTTTCTCCAGAACTCCCTATTGACAAGACTAATATCAAGCAGCTGACAAAGTAAACCTGTTTACAGGGTCCATCTCCAATATTAAATAGCATGGCAAAGAAGGGTACATTTGGATCTGAGAAGCAATAAATTAATAAATGGCACAATTCATCCCTTTGGCTTCCATATGCACCCATTTACACACATTCAAACTTCCATACAACAATAAAACAACTCTATGTTTCTACCTAAAAAGATTCGGTTAAACTTTATATAAGTGAATTTCTCACCAACTCCACAAAATGAGGAGACACATAGTCCGGTCATTATATCCATCATTAGTTATACTAATGACGCAAAAGGAACAGCAGTTTTTGCATTGTTGGAATTTGCCTTTTGATATTGGGATACACTCTCAAATAAATGTGGTTATGTTATACATTATTTTAATGGACACTCTCGCTTTATTTATTTATTTATTTATTTTGCTGATGACATTACTTGCTGTTTATTTTATGTTTATTTTAGACTATGGAAATGATGTTAGACAAAAAGCAAATTTGAGCAATTTTCCTATTCAAGTTCAAAAATGTCGTAAAGCAGCAGAGACAACTTGCAACAATGCATTTAGCCCAGGAGCTGCTAACGCTAATGAACGTACAATGCAGTGGTGGTTCAAGAAGTTTTGCAAAGGAGACAAGAGCCTTGAAGATGAGGAGCACAGTGGCTGGCCATTGGGAGTTGATAATGACCAAAAGAGCGCAAACATCGAAGCTGATCCTCTTACAACTACACAATAAGTTGCCGAAGAAGGCCGCCCCTACTGGGAAGTGAGGAGCCCCTCTGCCTGGCCAGCCGCCCCGTCCGGGAGGGAGGTGGGGGGGTCAGCCCCCTGCCCGGCCAGCCGCCCTGTCCGGGAGGGAGGTGGGGGGGTCAGCCCCCCGCCCGGCCGGCCGCCCCGTCCGGGAGGTGAGGGGCGCCTCTGCCCGGCCGCCCCTACTGGGAAGTGAGGACCCCTCTGCCTGGCCAGCCGCCCCGTCCGGGAGGGTGGGGGGGGGGGGGTCAGCCCCCCGCCCGGCCAGCCGCCCCGTCCGGGAGGTGAGGGGCGCTTCTGCCCGGCCGCCCCTACTGGGAAGTGAGGAGCCCCTCTGCCCGGCCACGACCCCGTCTGGGAGGTGTGCCCAGCGGCTCATTGGGGATGGGCCATGATGACAATGGCGGTTTTGTGGAATAGAAAGGCGGGAAGAGTGGGGAAAAAATTGAGAAATCGGATGGTTGCCGGGTCTATGTGGATAGAAGTGGACATGGGAGACTTTTCATTTTGTTCTGTACTAAGAAAAATTCTTCTGCCTTGGGATCCTGTTGATCTGTGACCTTATCCCCAACCCTGTGCTCTCTGAAACATGTGCTGTGTCCACTCAGGGTTAAATGGATTAAGGGCGGTGCAAGATGTGCTTTGTTAAACAGATGCTTGAAGGCAGCATGCTCGTTAAGAGTCATCACCACTCCCTAATCTTAAGTACCCAGGGACACAAACACTGCAGAAGGCCGCAGGGTCCTCTGCCTAGGAAAACCAGAGACCTTTGTTCACTTGTTTATCTACTGACCTTCCCTCCACTATTGTCCTATGACCCTGCCAAATCCCCCTCTGCGAGAAACACCCAAGAATGATCAATAAAAAAAATAAATAAATAAATAAATAAATAAATAAATAAATAAATAAAAGTTGCCGAAGAAATCAACGTCGACGATTCTATGTTCATTTGGCATCTGAAGCAAACTGGAAAGGTGAAAAAGTTCAATAAATGGTGCCTCATGAGCTGACTGAAAATCAAAAAAATTGTTGTTTTGAAGTATCATCTTCTCTTATTCTACCCAACAACAACGAACCATTTCTCGATCAGATTGTGATGTGCAACGAAAAGTGGATTTTATATAATTGGCAATGGCCAGCTCAGTAGCTGGACCAAGAAGCAGCTCCAAGGCACTTCCCAAAGCCAAAGTTGCACCAAAAAAAGGTCATAGTCACTGGTCTGCTGCCGGTCTGATCCACTACAGCTTTTTTTTTTTTTTTTTTTTTTTTTGAGACAGGGTCTCAATCTGTCACCCAAGCTGAAGTGCAGTGGCTTGATCTCGGCTCATTGCAACCTCTGCCTCCCGGGTTCAAGCGATTCTCCTGCGTCAGCCTCCCGAGTAGCTGGAACTACAGGTGTGCACCACCACACCCGTCTAATTTTTATATTTTTCTAGTAGAGATGGGGTTTCACTATGTTGGCCAGGCTGATCTCGCACTCCTGACCTCAGCCGCCTGCCTTGGCCTCCCTGGGATTACACACGTGAGCCACTGCACCTGGTCAAATCCACTACAGCTTTCTGAATCCCGGCAAAATGATTACATCTGAGAAGTGTGCTCAACAAATCAATGAGATGCACCGAAAACTGCAATGTCTGCAGCCAGCATTGGCCAACAGAAAGGGTCCAATTCTTCTCCATGACAATGCCCAACTGCACGTCGCACAACCAACGCTTCAAAAGTTGAAGGAATTGGGCTATGAAGTTTTGCCTCATCCGCCATATTCACCTGACCTCTCTCCAACTGACTACCACTCCTTCAAGTATGTCGACAACTTTTTGCAGGGAAAATGCTTCTACGACCGGCAGGATGCAGAAAATGCTTTCCAAGAGAGTTTGTTGAATCCCGAAGCACAGATGTTTATGCTACAGGAATAAATAAACTTATTTCTCATTGGCAAAAATGTGTTGATTTTAATGGTTCCTATTTTGATTAATAAATAAGTGTTTGAGCCTAGTTATAATGACTTAAAATTCACGATATAAAACTGCAATTACTTTTGCACCAACCTAATAATTTAGCCTCAAATTTAGTCATGGTCCCACTGAATATTCTTCCACCTAAAGACACAATTGTAAAGTTAACCTCCAACAACTGGTATATAAAATAATAAGGGGAAAAAGAGAGTGAATGATAAAATAGTTAAATATACAAGTAAACATACATATAGTAAACAAAGAGAAAATAGGTAATGCTACTACAGTCCTCACGTCTATAATTGGCCATAGGTGGTATCTATGACTTCCTTCTTCCACTAGCCATCTTGCTCTTTTATAATGTAGAGGTGAGCTGAAACTTCATTCCTGAAAAGTCCTCAATAGTCTTGTGCTTTTAAAAAGTGCTATAGTTTTCTGTAACCTTAACTTTGGGTGTGAAAGTATTAAAAGTAGCCGGGCGCAGTGGCTCACGCCTGTAATCCCAACACTTTGGGAGGCCCAGGTGGGCAGATCACTTGAGGTCAGGAGTTTGAGACCAGCCTGCCCAATATGGTGAAACCCCATCTCTTCCAAAAATACAAAAATTAGCCAGGAGTGGTGGCAGGTGCATGTAATTCCAGCTACTCAGGAGGCTGAGACAGGAAAATTGCTTGAACCTGGGAGGCAGAGGTTGCAGTGGGCCGAGATAGCACCATTGCACTCCAGCCTGAACAACAAGAGCGAAATTCCATCAAGGAAAGAAGGAAGGAAGAAAAGAAAGAAAGAAAGAAAGAGAGAGAGAGAGAAAGAAAGAAGGAAGGAAGGAAGGAACGAAGGAAAGGAAGGAAGGAAACGAGGGAGGGAGGGGGAAGGAAAAGGGAAGGAAAAGAGAAGGAAAAGGGAAGGAAAAGGGAAGGGAAGGGAAGGGAAAAGAAAGTATTAAAAGCAGCTCCAGAGAATCCCCTGGTGTCAGAATCGTTCTTTCTGCTCCATTGTGTAGCAGCAACTCAATTTTCCCATGGTACTAAGGAAGTAATCATTGCATAAAGTAACTGTTTTATCTGCCTGTTGGTTCAGTGACGTAGGGAGCCCAAATAGTCAAATGGAGTTTCATCTTCTAATTCAGTGGAATCGTTGTTCTATTCCCCATTAGAAACTAAGATCTCCAAACCAACAGAGCTCAAAGTAGCTGAAGGGGAAAGCAAAAATCTGGTGAGTGGGTTATTACATGTAATAGAGAGAATAGCCATTTCCATCTCTTGATTTCTGGTTTCTGGTTATGGAAGAGACAGTGCCATATAATGATCTCTGATTCAAAGCATAATACTGCATGCTGAAAGACAAAATCCCATCCTTTCATGGTATTGTCTTGTGACCTGATCATCTATAGTCATTCTCTAAGATCCATCCAGTCTCTGTAGAGGCCAAACAGGTGTTTTTTTTGTTTGTTTGTTTTGTTTTGTTTGGAGACGGAGTCTTACTTTGTCTCCCAGGATGGAGTGCAATGGCACATCTCAGCTCACTGCAACCTCTGCCTCCTGGGTTCAAGTGATTCTCCTGTCTCAGCCTCCCGAGTAGCTGGGATTACAGGCATGTGCCACCATGCCCAGCTAATTTTTGTATTTTTGGTAGAGACAGGGGTTTCACCATGTTGTTCAGGCTGGTCTCAAACTCCTGACCTCAAGTGATCTGCCTGCCTCGGCCTCCCAAAATGCTGGGATTACAGGCATGAGCCATTGCACTTGGCTGAAACAGGTATTTTGAATGTGGACATGAAAGTTATCAGCATCTGAGCTGTTTCAAGCCTTTGATGGCACTGATATCTGCAATTCCTGTAGGGATGCAGTATTGCTTTTGGTTTGCTATTTTGATAGACAGGTTTAGCCCATTCTACCACAATGGTGCTCATAAACATGTTTATGCCAATTCAGGAGATAGGGAAACAACCATAGGATATTTCTGTGGACAAAGCAGTCCTACTTTAACTTAGGCTAAGATTCCATCTATCACCTGTCACCGATAGCCCCACTGTGAGCCACCTGTGTCATTTTGGATCCCAATTACTTAGCATCAATTCAGAGACAGTGCCTGTTAATACCTTAAAGGTCTGGATATTCCTTTTTTTTTTCCTAGCTTACAGCCACTCTAGCAAATGGCGAAGGTCTCTTTGGATAAGGCCTAGAGAAGGTTTTATAATGTATTCTTGCAGCTGGATGGAATTTAATGTTGCTGGATCACTCCTTAAGGGAGAGAAGGCTCCCATTCAGTCAAGGGCTGTACAATTTGTAAACTGGCTTAAGTATGTCAACTGGCTGAGAGGCCATGATGCTCCATTGTGGTAACTCAAGTCGGGTTTTTGGCTATCAGACATAGGATAGGCTGCTCTGTTTCACTCCAAAGAACATCATAATTAATTGGCTAAAACCAAGGCTCCTTACGGATCTGCTATAGAATGAATGCTTGTATCCCCCCTCCCACCAAAAAAATCCATGTGTTGAAATCCTAACCCCCCATGTGATGGTATTAGAAGGTGAGGCCTTTGGGAGGTGATTAGGTCATAAGGGTGGATCCCCCATGAATAAAATTAGTCTCCTTATGAAAGAGACCCCCAGAAAGACCCCTTGCCTTTGCTGCTCTGTGAGCACACAATGAGACAATAGCCAGTCATCTATGAACTAAGAAGCAGGCCCTCACCAGACACCAAATCTGCCAGCACTTTGATCTTGGACTTCTCAACCTCTAGAACTGTGAGAAATAAGTGTGTGTTGTTGAAACCATCCAGTCTATGGTATTTTTGTTATAGCAGCCAAAAGAAACCAAGACAGGGTCACAGCATCTTTATTACTGATAACATCTCTGCTGCCCTTTACAGTAATGCAGCCACCCACCTTGTCTTTCACAGTTAAGTGCTGTCATTTGATATCTGCTACTTGGGCTCACATCATTTCTAGTGAAATCTGGGAGTTCATTTCAATGGCAGCAACTCACATGGTCATACCTTTCCCACAGAGGAAAGCAATCACAGTATGTATCACTCCATGCCCTAGTGACAGAAGTGTTTTCCAGGCCTCCTCAGGAGTTAGAGTGGGAAGATGAATGTGCAGTTTGCACATAATAAACTCACTCCAACTTTTCAATGCCTTTAAGTGTTTGGATTTCCTTCTTTACTTCATGCCAGTGAAGCTCCAGTATCTCATCCTCATTAAACATGTCACCCCTGAGTTAAAATTTCAGTCAACCAACTCATAAAGCTGTTACAGTCATCTCCATCTGCATACATTAACACATTAAACCTGGAATCTCTAGTAAGTGTCCCCAATTAATAATTCTACATGATCAATTAATTCTACCGGTTACCTTGGTCTGACACCTTTAGAACCTACTACAAATGTTCTCAGGTTTCTGTTAACACTGTATATATTAGCCAAACCGTGTAATAATGGTGAATTAGCTATTTCTTCCTGGGTCATACCGTATATCTGATATGGTTTGAATTTGTGTTGCTGCCCAAATCTCATGTCAAATTGTAATCCCCAATGCTGAAGGAGGGGCCTGGTGGGAGGTGAACTGGATCATGGAGGCAGATTTCCCCCTTGCTGTTCTCATGATATTGAGTGAATTCTCACGAGATCTGGTTGTTTAAAAGTGTGTAGCACCTCCCCATTCTCTCTATTCCTCCTGCTCTGGCCATGTAAGATGTTCCTGTTTCCCCTTCCATCATGATTGAAAGTTTCCTGAGGCCTCCCCAGCCATGCTTCCTGTATAGCCTGCAGAACTGTAAGCCAATTAAACCTCTTCTCTTTATTAATTACCCAGTTTCAGGGATTTCTTTATAGCAGTGCAAGAAAGGACTAACACAATATCTGACTCCCTAGAGCAGACTGAGATTGGATCCTACTTATGATTCCAGTGGCAACCAAAGGTGATTGTAGTGATTCTTGAGGAGGATGCATATCCCTTTGCAAAACTATCCCAGTTAGGTTGTTACCAGTTTTCAACCAAAGCAAGGCTAGTGTACGCAAACACAGGAAGACAAGCTACTTTCTTTGGCAAGGGAGATTCATGGTGTCTTGGTTTGAGACAAAATTTTGTTTTGTATTTTTTTATAAAAACCCAGGGCTGAAATGGTTATTTGTTGGAGGCAGACACCCAGCCTTCTTTTATTTTGTTGTTCAGGGATACCCTACATGCAGTTTGCATCTTGTCCAAGATGCACCCTCCATTAAGTCTGGTAAGAGGGGCAATTATTGTGTAGATCATGCCCCTTCCTTTAAAGCTACCACTCTGAAGACACACATGTCACTTTCACCCACATCCTGCTGGCCAGAACTTAATCATACAGTCGCAACTATCTAAAAGAAGGACAAAAACAAAAGAATAAAGAAAAATTTTGTCTTTGTTCTGAGTACCCATGTGCCCAGTACAGATTTGGGGATTCTAATACCAAAGGAAGATAGAAAGAATAAATCCTGGGACTGAAAAATCAGCAGCTTCTGCCACAAGTGTTAGGTTATAAAAGAAAATCACATCAAATACATTTTGGAAATTCTGTGTTAAACGAATGAGACCTCATTTTTTCTTGACAGCAGAATACATGGTTATGTCCATTGTGAGTCACCAAGACTTCTTTGGCCATGAAAGTTTTTTAAAGACTACTTCAAAGGACTAGTGTCTCACAAAATACATTTTGCCAAATACTAGACGTAGCAATAAACATGAATGATTTTGAAAAAGATATACAAGAAAATCTCAAGAAAAGGCACAAGATTCATCTATTAATAATTTTGAAGGTAAATTATTTCAAGCCATAAATAAACATATAATTTCAATATTCCTTAAAATTTTCCAGACCAAGAAAAAGGAGAAAATGTTCATGATTTCTTTCACAATGCTACTATAACCCCAATTCAAAGGCCTCACAAGTACAGCACACAAAAACAGTTACAGAAAAATCTCACTTGACCAAAATTCATAAATAAAACTTTAGCACACTGATTCAGCAGAATATTAAAGAGTTATCCACCACAACTATATAAGATTTGTTCCAGGAACGTAAGAATGGTTCACTGTTAGGAAATCTATTAATACAACTTAACACATAAATTTTCAAAGAAGAAAAATTATGTGAGCACCTTAAAAGGTGCCAAAAGGTTGAACACGATCTTAAAAAAATGTTGCCAAAGGCATTTAATAATGTATAGCATATATTCCTTATGATTTAAAGATGTTTTAGTAAAATAGGAAAGAAGGAAGAATACCGCTCTAACATTAAAAAAAACTATATCAACCACCAACAAATGTTGTATATTAATGTTGACACTCCAGAGATGTTCCTACAAAACTCAAAAACAAAGATTATCTGCTAACAACCCTATATTTTAACAATAGTTAACCTATTGTACTAGCAAAAGAAACAGATCCTTAACACTGAATATGGGTGAGAATATGGGGAAATAGAAACTTTCACCCACCTTTCTGGAGGCCAAGTTGAGAACCTGTATCAAAAAGTTAAGAATTATTCATATATCTTCAACTCAGCAATTTTCAGCTGTAGATATATATTGCGAAGGAATAATCAGACAAGTTCACCTGTGTACAGCAACATGTATTGTAGTACTGGTAGGTATGGGAAAAATCCAAATAAGCTATCTTAGAGGATTAGTTGAGGCATAGTTGTATTTGGTCAGGGCTTCATTGCCTTAACTTTGCCCACTCCTCTACCAGAGGAGGAGGGAGGTTTGTAGGAGGTTTACCACTGCTCAGAAAGTTCTTCCCTGATCCTTCCTTCTGGGGTGCTGCTGCCACCTGGAGCAGGTAGGTAGGAAGCAGCCTCTTACTGTCTCACTATCACCAACACATACCACCTACTCTTGCCAGTTGCCCCGAGTGTAACCTGAGTGTTAGATCACACTTTCCTAAGTCAATGTGAATTTTTTAAATGCAGAAAACATACCAAGACATAGAGTTTTTTGACAAGATGAAACCTAGTAAGCTTTTATTTATCTTAGTTACCCCATTTAGAAAGAATACAGATTGAGGAGTAATGAAGCCTAAAATTTTGGAGAGAGGGGTTTTAAGAAGAGACAACTCTTGGCCAGGCGCAGTGGCTTATGCCTGTAATCCTAGCACTTTGGGAGGCCGAGGCGGGCGGATCACCTGAGGTCGGGAGTTCAAGACCAGCCTGACCAACATGGAGAAAGCCTGTCTCTACTAAAAATACAAAGTTAGCTGGGCATGGTGGTACATGCCTGTAATCCCAACTACTCGGGAGGCTGAGGCAGGAGAATTGCTTGAACCTTGGAGGCGGAGGTTGCAGTGAGCCAAGATCGTGCCACTGCACTCTGCACTCCAGCCTGGGCAATAAAGCGAGACCCTGTCTCAAAAAAAAAAAGAAAAGACAGTTCTTAAGATCATTGGCAATGATCCTTGATGATAAATAGTGGGTGCCTTAGGTCGAAATAGCATGGTGAAACAGTGCTATTTGGCAGCATGGGAAAAGCAGCATTACAAACATAATTGAGGCTGGGCATGGTGGCTCACGTCTGTAATCCTAGCACTTTGGGAGGCCAAGGCCGGGGGATCACTTGAGGTCAGGAGTTTGAGACCAGCCTGGCCAACATGTGAAACCCCGTCTCTGCTAAAACTACAAAAATTAGCCGGGTGTCGTGGCGCATGTCTGTAATCCCAGCTACTTGGGAGGCTGAGGCAGGAGAATTGCTTGAACCCAGGAGGCGGATGTTGCAGTAGGCTGAGGTCATGCCACTGCACTCCCGCCTGGGCGACAGACCAAGACTCCAACTCAAACAAACAAAACCCATAATTGAGTCACATAAATCATGTGAAATTTCTAGGAATGATCATATATTTACTGGAAGCTTCTTCTTCTTGGGCTGAAATGAGAAGTCTGAAGAAGAAAAAATAGACAAGTAACATAGTCATCAGAGAATATATAAAATTTTGAGGGAGAATGAAAAGCGCATCTGTGAATTGAATATGTTCATAACTTCTTTTGATTACACTAAAACATTACATCTAGTGTCATGCTCTCTAATTTGTACATTAGATGACACATCTTTTCTGGGCCTCTAAACCATATTGTTCAGTCTCCCACATCCATCCACAGGTAAATTATGAACCAGCTATTCTTCTTAAGTTCAAACCATAACTCTCTCATTTTGACCAAATAAATATCATTTCAACACCTTATTCATATGGTGAGTGGAGTCCTGACCATGAGGACATCGGGACTCCTCACTAGAAAATATGCCTAGCCAGCTAATTATTAGATTGGAGCAAAAGTAATTGCGGTTTTTCATTAAAAGTAATGGCAAAAACTGCAATTACTTTTGCACCAAACTAATACTTTGTATTTATATTAAATTCACTTGTTTTTTATGCCACAAGTTCTATGGGAATCAGTATTTTTAAATATAGAAAATTTGTTGGTTGATGGCATATTCAGACGTAGAAAAAAAAATCACAATCTCTTTTCTCCCAGGAACAAAAGCTAAGAGCAGGTAAGAACCCAGAAAGTTACTCATCAGTGCAGAAGAATAGGCTTAGGGTCTTTCCTTTGCTGCCAGAGTAGTGCTGATTTCAGCATAAAGACATCCTTCAGTTGAGAGGCCTTGCCACTCATCAGTGATGTTCACTTTGGTTAATTAGAAATACTAAACTAACATGGGAATAATTCTGCTAGCCTAAAAGTGCATGAATAAATTATATAAAAGCCACAAGTAAACAGAACATTCACATTAGCTTTTCTTTCTTTCTTTTTTTTAGTCTCGCTCTGTCGCCCAGGCTGGAGTGCAATGGTGCGATCTTGGCTCACTGCAACCTCCGCCTCCTGGATTCAAGTGATTCTCCTGCCTCAGCCTCCTGAGTAGCTGGGATTACAGGCGCCCGCCACTGTGCCCGACTAGTTTTTTGTATTTTTAGTAGAAACAGGGTTTCACTATGTTGGTCAGGCTGGTCTCAAACTCCTGACCTTATGATCTGCCCGCCTCAGTCTCCCAAAGTGTTGGGATTACAGGCGTGAGCCACTGGGCCCGGCCCACATTAGCTTTTCATAATGGTTCCCATCTCAACTTCACAGACTTGAAAAGGCTCCAAAGTTCAATGTGATGGAAAGTCAGAATAAGACTCAACTGGGCCCATTCACACTTCAGATACATAACTAGCTCTTGTGCAACAGACAGCATGCTGCAGGGGTAAGGAATCAGTTTCCCTGAAATGTATTTTTGCCATGCTTTCATGTGTACTTAAATAGAAATAAGGGGTAAATTTTTGGTCAAGGATGCAGTTATGATAAGTTACTTTCCTATGATGATCCATTTCAGAGGCTTTGGTGAGATTGGGGGAAATATAGTGAACTACCTTTCTCTCAGGTCCCAGAAGGATAGAGAGAGTAGTGGTTCTTGCCAGAGTGAATGTTCTCACAAAGAGGAGAACAGAACTCTCCTGATATGCTATTTCTCTCCTCCCCGAAGGGGGACAACCACACACCTGGTTAGGGCTGCCCCTAAAAAGTAAAGGATACTGGAAAAAAAATTTTCTAGGGCCCCTACCCATATAAACAATTTAATTTACCCCAAGTCAGCATGTCAGCACCATTTTAGTAGTTCAATTTCATGCAATTCTATGAAATAAATGCCTTATTGGGTAGGGAGTATCCAATCTTCAGGCCACCTTTCTAGAACTGGGACCCAGCCATGGAAGCCTGGAATTACCCCATAGCATGAGTCAGAGAGTTCCTCAGAATATCTGATCAACTTCATGCATGAGGTATAAATAAATAATTGGAAAGTGAGATTTAAAATAATTCAATTTTTGGCCAGGCACAGTGGCTCACACCTGTAATCCCAATACTTTGGGAGTCCGAGGTGGGTGGATCACCTGAGGTCAGGAGTTTGAGATCAGCCTGGCCAACATGGTGAAACCCTGTCTCTACTAAAAATACAAAAATTAGCCAGACATGGTGGCATGCACCTATAATCCCAGCTACTTGGGAGTCTGAGGCTGGAGAATCACTTGAACCCAAGACGTAGAGGTCGCGGTGAGCTGAGATCATGCCACTGCACTCCAGCCTGGGCGACACAGTGAGACTTCATCTCAAAAAAAAAAAAAATCAATTTTCAATGGCATCAAAAAACATGAACTACTTAGGTATAAATTTAACAAAACATATGGAAATCCTGTAAACTGAAAACTACAAAACAGTTAGTTGTAAGAGGTATATCAAAAGATCTATATAAATGGAGAAATATAACAGGTTCATGGGTCAGAAGACTCAGTCTTGTTAAGGTGTCAATTCTCCCCAAATTTATCTGTAGATTCAATCAGGTTAGGCAGGTTTTTTGTTTTTGTTTTTAAGTAGAAATTGACAAGCAGTTTCTTAAATGTATATGAGAATGCAAAGGACCTAGAATCTAAATGCAAAGGACTAAACAACCCTGAAAGGGAAACAAGCTAGAGGACTCATACTACCTGACTTCAAGACCTATTATAAAACGATAGCATTAAGACTGTAGGGGCCAGCCTCAGTGGCTCACGTCTGTAATCCCAGCACTTTGAGAAGCCAAGGTGGGTGAATTATTTGAGCCCAGGAGTTTGAGACCAGCCTGGGTAACATGGCAAAACCACATCTCTACAAAAAAAAAATACAAAAATTAGCTGGGCATGGTGGCACACTCCTGTTGTACAAGCTACTCAGGGGGCTGAGGCAGAAGGATTGCTTGAGCCCAGGAGGTCAAGGCTGCAGTAAGCCATGATTGCACCACTGCACTCCAGCTTGGGAGACAAAGCAAGACCCTGTCTCAAGACAAAAACAAAAACAAAAACAAAAAAACAAAACTTATGGTGGCATAAGGATAGACATATGGACCATTGGAACTGAATAGAGAACCTATAAATAAACTCACGTATATATGATGAGTCAAAGGCACTAATATAGTTTGGATGTTTGTCCCCTCCAAATCTCATGTTGAAATAAAATCCCCAGTATTGAAGGTAAGGCCTGGTGGAAGGTGTTTATATCATGGGGGGGCAGATCCCTTGTCCATAGCTTTGCGCCATTCTTGTGGTAATGAATGAATTCACACAAGATCTAGTTGTTTAGAAGAATGTGGCACCTCTTCCCTCTCTCTCTCTTGCTCCCAATCTTGCCATGTGACATGCTGTCTCCCTGTCACCTTCTACCACAATTGTAAGTTTCCTAAGGCCCTCACTAGGAGCAGATGCCAGCAGCATGCTTCCTGTAAAGCCTGCAGAACTGTAAGCCAACAAAACCTCTTTTCTTTAAAAATTACCCAGCCTTGGGTATTTCTTTATAGCAATGCAAAAAATGGCCTAATACAGGAGATTGGTACTGAGAGTGGGATATTGCTATAAAGATATCTGAAAATGTGCAAGTGGCTTTGGAACTGGGTATTGGGCAGAGGTTGGAAGTTTGGAGGGCTCAGAAGAAGACAGGAAGATGAGAGAAAGTTGGAACTTCATACAGACTGGTTAGGTAGTTGTGACCAAAATGTTGATAGAGATAGAGTTGGCCAGGCCCAGTGGCTCACGTCTGTAATCCCAGCACTTTGGGAGGCTGAGGCAGGCGGATCACAAGGTCAGGAGTTCGAGACCAGCCTGACCAACATGGTGAAACCCCATGTCTACTAAAAATACAAAAAAATTAGCTGGGCATGGTGGCAAGCACCTGTAATCCCAGCTACTTGGGGGGCTGAGGCAGGAGAATAGCTTGAACTTGGGAGGCAGAGGTTGCAGTGAGCCAAGACTGCTCCATTGCACTCCAGCCTGGGCGAGAGAGTGAGACTCCATCTCAAAAAAAAAAAAAAAAAAAAGAGAGAGAGAGAGAGAGTGAAGGCCAGGCTGATGAAGCCTCAGATGGAAATTGAGAAGTTATTAGGAACTGGATTAAGGATCACCCATGCAAAGCCCTACCAAAGAGCCTGGCTGCCTTGTGTCCACATCCTAGAGATCTATGGAAGGTTGAACTTAAGAGTGACAGCTTAGGGTATCTTGCAGAAGAAACTTCTAAGTGGCAAGGTATTCAAGAATTAATGTGGCTGCTTCTAACACCTACAAAATTAGATGCAGGAGGAAAGGAATGACTTAAAGTTGGAACTTATATTTAAAAGGGAAGCATAGTGTAAAAGTTTGGAAAGTTTGCCACCTGGCCAAGTGAGAGAGAAAAAAGTCAAGCAGGCTGCAGAGCAACCAATTGCTAGAGAGATTTGCATCACTAAAAGGGAACCAGGTGCTGATAGCCAAGAGAATGGGAAAAGTGCCTTGAAGGCATTTCAGAGATCTGCCAGGCAGCTCCTCCCATCACAGGCCCAGAGGCCTAGGAGGAAAGAATAGTTTCATGGGCCAGGCGTGGAGCACCAAAGCCCTGAACCACATCCCTGCATCCTTGCTGTTCCAGCTACAGCCACAGCTCAAATGGACCCAAGTACTGCTTGGACCACCACTTTGGAAAGCACAAGCTTTGGTAGCTTCCAAATGATGTTAAGTCTGTGGACATATGGAATGCAAGAGTGAAGGAGGCTTGGCAGCTTCCACCTAGATTTCAGGGGGTATATGAGAAAGCCTGGGTTCCCAGGCAGAAGCCTGTCTTAGGGGTGGAGCACTCACAGATAACCTCTATTAGGGCAATGCTGAGGGTAAATGTGGGGTTGGAACCCCCACACAGAGCCATCATCAGGGAACTGACTTGGACAGCTGTGGAAAGTGGGCCATGCCCTCTAGACCCAAGAATGGTAGAGCACCAGCAAGCTTGCAACCTCAGTATGGGAAAGCTGCAGGCACTCAACTCCAGCCTGTGAGAGCAGCCACAGAGGCTGCATCCTGCAAAACCACAGGGGTGGAGCTGCCCAAGGCTTGGGAGCCCACCTCTTGCACCAGTGCGCCCTAAATACAGAACATGGAGTCAAAGGAGATTACTTTGGAGCTTTAAGTTTTAATAACTGCCCTGCTGGGTTTAGGACTTCTGTGGTGCCTGTTTCTCCCTTTCTTTTGGCTTATTTCCCTTTAGGAATAGGAATGCTCACCCAATGACTAT
This sequence comes from Homo sapiens, assembly GCF_000001405.40. NCBI lineage: Eukaryota > Metazoa > Chordata > Mammalia > Primates > Hominidae > Homo > Homo sapiens. Next base: position 45,237,009 of record NC_000001.11, read on the forward strand.
ACCACCATTGTATCTTGGAAATAAATAACTTGTTTAATTTCATAGGATTATAGATGGAAGGAGATGAGTCTCAAGTGAGACTTAGGACTTTGGACTTGATGTTGGAATGAGTTAAGACTTTGGGGGACTGTTGGGAAAAGTTGATTGTATTTTACAATGTGAGAAGGACAGGAGATTTGGAGGGCCAGAGGTGGAATGATATGGTTTGGATATTTGTCCCCTCCAAATCTCATGTTGAAATGTGATTTCCAGTGTTGGAGGTGGGACCCGGGGGGAGGTCTTTGTATCATGGAGGCAGATCCCTCCTGAACAGCTTAGCACCATCCCCTTGGTGATGAGAGTTCTCACTCAGTTAGTTCAGGCAAGAGCTGGTTGTTTGAAAGCCTGTGGCACCTCCCCACTCTGTCTTTTGCTCCAACTCTCACCATGTGACAAGCTTTCTCCCCCTTTGCCTTCCACCATGTTTATAAGCTTTCTGAGGCCCTCGCCAGGAGCAGATGCTGGAGTCATGCTTGAACATGTGTTGCTATAAATAAATATCTGGGATTGGATAATTTATAAAGTTCTGCAGGCTCTAGCAGAACTGTAAGCCAATTAATCCTCTTTTCTTTATAAACTACCCAGCCTCAGATATTTATTTATAGCAACACAAGGACAAGCTAACAGAAAATCAAAGCAATCTAACAGAAAAGGGAAAGCCTTTTAACAAATAGTGCTAGAATAGATGAATATCCATAAAAAAATGATCCTCAACTCCTACCTCACACCATATACAAAAATTAATTCATGACACCTAAATGTAAAACCTAAAACTAAAGCCTTTGGTGGGGGAGAAAGGAGGCTTGGGAGTAGACAAATTTTCTTAAATATGACATGGAAAGCAATAATAATTTTTAAAGTAATAAGTTAGACTTCATCAAAATTAAAACTTCTATTCATCAAAAAATATCATTAAGAAAATAATAGGAGGCCAGGTACAATGGTTCATGCCTGTAATCCCAGCATTTTGGGAGGCCAGGATGGGAGGATCACTTGAGTCCAGGACTTCAAGATCAGCCTGGGCAACAAAGCAAGACCCTGTCTCTACAAACATTTTTAAAAATTAACCAGGCATTGTGGCATGTGCCTGTAGTTCCAGCTACTTAGGAGACTAAGGCAGAAGGATCACTTGAGCCTGGGAGGTTGAGGCTGCAGTGAGCTATGATTGTGCCATTTCACTCCAGCCTGGATGACAGAGTGAGACCCTGTCTCCGAAAAACAAAAACAAAATGAAAACAACAACAAAAAGAAAATAATAGGCAAAACCACAAACTGGAAGAATATATCCACAAAACATATATTTGACAAGGGACTTGTATTCAAAATATACAAAGAATTACTAAAATTAATATTAATAAATAGGCAAAATATTTGAACAGACACTTCACAAAGCAAGATATATGAAAGGCCAATATGAACAAGAAAAAGTGCTCAACCTCATTACTCACCAGTAAAATGCAAATTTAAACCACTACACACCTACTAGAACGGCTATAATTTTTAAAAACTGGCATCACATCACCCTGGCCAGGTGCGGTGGCTCACGCCTGTAATCCCAGCACTTTGGGAGGCCAATGCAGGGGGGATCACCTGAGGTCGGGAGTTCAAGACCAGCCTGACCAACATGGAGAAAGCCCATCTCTACTAAAAATATAAAATCAGCTGGGTGTGGTGGCACATGCCTGTAATCCCAGCTACTCAGGAGGCTGAGACAGGAGAATTGCTTGAACCCAGGATGCGGAGGTTGCAGTGAGCCGAGATCACACCATTGCACTCTGGGCAACAAGAGCAAAACTCTGTCTCAAAAAAAAAAAAACAACTGGTATCACCAAATGTTGGAAAGGATGTGGATCAAAGAGAACTCTCATATGTTGCTGGTAAGAATGTAAAATGAAACAACCACTTTGGAAAAATATTTGGTAAAATCAAACATAAACATGTAGCATTATATTTCACTCCGGGGTATTTACTCAAGTAATTTCACTCCTAGGTATTCAGCCAAGAGAAATAAAAACAAATATCCACAAAAAGAATTGTACAGAATGTTTGTAGCAGCTTTATTCACAATAGCATAAAACAGCCAACAACCCAAACATTCTTCAGCAGTCGAATGGATAAACAAATTGTGGCATAGTCTTACAATTGAATAGTACTAAGAAATATAAAGAAACAAGTTACTGATATATGTACCAACATGGAAAAACCTCACAGACATTGCTAAGCAAAAGAGACTATGTACAAGAGTACATAATGTGTGATTCCATTTATATGAATTTCTAGAAAAGGAAAACCAATCTAAAGTGAAAATAATCAGAACAGTGGTTCTCTCTGGGGGTCAGGGGAAAGGAGTGATGGGGAAAGGACACAATAGAGCTTTCTGTATCTTGAAGGTATGGGTTATAGACGTATATCTATTTGTCAGAATTATACAGTTAACTTTTTTGTATTTAAGTATATGTAAATTTTACCTTAAAAATAACTGCAGGGCCAGATGCAGTGGCTCACACCTGTAATCCCAGCACTTTGGGAGACTGAGGCAGGTGGATTGCTTGAGCCCAGGAGTTCGAGACCTGCCTGGGCAACATGGTGAAACCCCACTTCTACAAAAAAAAAAAAATACCACAATAAAATGCAAAGTGTTCTTAAATGCTGTTTTGAGAGGGGAAATCTGGGTGCTATGGTGGGGAGGAGGCATGAGCTGAACAATGCAATTATGTTGTTAAAAACATGAAACTCCTGTAAATAGGCCAGGAGAAATGCCACTTTTTCAGATCTCTTCAAGTTTCATGACTCACTAAAACTCTTCACTATTTTAGTCAGGTTTTAGTTCAAACAGAGTGCAGATTTTTGCTGTGTGGTTTCCTTATAGGGCCTAAATATTTAAGAATTTTAAACATAAATATTAATAGAAATATTGATTCACTGAGACATGATAAAGCTTTGGTGCTGGAATCAAACCAGATTGGGTGAAGCTCAAAACTGTAACCTCCAAGTGCCCAGTGTGATAGCCATGAAATGCACGGGACACAGCCCTTACAGGGAATAGAATGGTTCTGTTTCTCAGCACACCTGTATTAATCCGTTTTCATACTGCTGATAAAGACATATCCGAGACTGGGCAATTTAAGAAAGAAAGAGGTTTAATGGACTTACAGTTCCATGTGACTAGGCCTTATAATCATGGCAGAAGGTGAAAGGCACTTCTTACATGGCGGCAGCAAGAGAAAGAACTTGTGCAGGGAAACTCCCATTTTTAAAACCATCAGATCTCATGAGACTCATTCACTATCATTAGAACAGCACAGGAATAATAATTCAATCACCTGCCACCAGGTTCCTCTCACAACATGTGGGAATTGTGGGAGTTACAACTCAAGATGAGATTTGGGTGAAGACACAACCAAACCATATCATTCTGCCCATGGCCCCTCCCAAATCTCATGTCCTCATGAGATTTCCCAACAATCCGCCAAAGTCTTAACTCATTTCAGCATTAATTCAAAAGTCCACAGTCCAATGTCTCACCTGAGACAAGGCAAGTCCCTTCTGCCTATCAGCCAAAATCAAAAGCAAGTTAGTTACTTCCTAGATACAATAGGGGTTCAGGCATTAGGTAAATACAGCCATTCCAAATGGGAGAAATTGGCCAAAATAAAAGGGCCACAGGCCCCATGCAAGTCCAGAATCCAGCAGGGCAGTCAGTTCTTTTTTTTTTTTTTTTTTTTGAGACAGAGTCTCACTCTGTCACCCAGGCTAGAGTGCAGTAGTGCCATCTCAGCTCACTGTAACCTCTGCCTCCAGGGTTCAAATTATTCTCACGCCTCAGCCTCCCAAGTAGCTGGGATTACAGGTGTCTGCCACCATGCTCAGTTAATTTCTTGTATTTTTAGTAGAGACTTGGTTTCACCGTGTTGGCCAGGCTGTTCTTGAACTCCTAACCTCAGGTGATCCACCTGCCTCAGCCTCCCAAAGTGCTGGGATTACAGGCATGAGCCATTGCACCCAGCCTAGTCAAGTCTTAAAGCTCCAAAATGATCTCCTTGACTTCATGTCTCTCATCCAGGTCATGTTGATGCAAGAGGTGGGTTCCCATGGTCTTGGGCAGCTTCACCCCTGTGGCTTTGCAGGGTATAGCCTCCCTCCCAGCTGCTTTCATGGGCTGGCATTGAGTATCTGTGGCTTTTCCAGGTGCATGGCACAAGTGTCAGCGGATCTATCTTTCTGGGGTCTGGAAGATGGTGGCCCTCTTCTCACAGCTCCATTAGGCAGTGCCCCAGTAGAGATTCTGTGTGGGGGCTCCAACCCCACATTTCCCTTCTGTACTGCCTTAGTAGAGGTTCTCCATGAGAGCCCCACCCCTGCAGCAAACTTCTGCCTGGACATCCAGGTGTTTCCATACATCCTCTGAAACCTAGGTGGAGGTTCCCAAACCTCAATTCTTGAATTCTGTGCACTTGCAGGCTCAAAAGATTGAGGCTTAGACCCTCTGAAGCCACAGCCTGATCTGTACCTTGGCCCTTTTTAGTCATGGCTGGAGCAGCTGGGACACAGGGCACCAAGTCCCTAGACTGCACACAGCACAGGGACCAAGGGCCCAACCGACAAAACCATTTTTTTTCCTCCTAGGCCTCCTGGCCTGTGATGGGAGGGGCTATTGTAACTATCTCTGACATGCCCTGGAGACATTTTCTACATTGTCTTGGGGATTAACGTTTGGCTCCTCATTACTTATGCAAATTTCTGCAGCTGCTTGAATTTCTCCTCAGAAAATGGGATTTTCTTTTTTATCTTAGTGTCAGGCTGCAAATTTCCCAAACTTTTATGCTCTGCTTCCCTTCTAAAACTCAATGCCTTTCACAGCACCCAAGTCATCTCTTGAATGCTTTGCTACTTAGAAATTTCTTCCTCCAGATACCCTAAATCATCGCTCTCAAGTTCAAAGTTCCATAAATCTCTAGGGCAGGGGCAAAATGCTGCCAATCTCTTTGCTAAAACATAAAAGTCATCTCTGCTCCAGTTTCCAGTGAGTTCCTCATCTCCATCCGAGACCACCTCAGCCTGAACCTTACTGCTCATATCACTATCAGCATTTTTGTCAAAGCCATTCAACAAGTCTGTAGGAAGTTCCAAACCTTCCCACATTTTACTGTCACCTTTTGAGCCCTCCAAACTGTTCCACCCTCTGCCTGTTACCTAGTTCCAAAGTTGCTTCCACATCTTTGGGTATCTTGTCAGCAATGCCCCACTCTACTGGTACCAAAGTAGTGTATTAGTCCATTTTCATGCTGCTGACAAAGACATACCTGAGACTGGGCAATTTACAAAAGAAAGAAGTTTAATGGACTTATAGTTCCACATGGCTAGGGAGGCCTCACAATCATGGCAGAAGACAAAAGGCACTTCTTACATGGCAGTGGCAAGAGAGAAAACTTTTGCAGGGAAACCCCCATTTTTAAAACCATCAGATCTCATGAGACTCATTCACTATCATGAGAACAGCACAGGAAAGACCCGCCCCCATAATTCAATCACCTCCCACCAGGTTCCTCCCATGACATGTGGGAATTGTGGGAGTTACAATTCAAGATGAGATTTGGGTAGGGACACAGCCAAACCATATCAACAACAAAAGGCCCTTGGCTAATGTCCACATACAAGGTGAGGAGTTAAAATTGTAAGGTTTTATATTTTCTGCATTCCTAAGGTTACTTCTGTTAGTTGAATTTATTTATTCTGTAGTGTTTGGACAGTGTTAACAAAATCTCTGGGCACAAAATTCATATGGAACCAAAAAAGAGCCCAAATAGCCAAACCAATCCTGAGCAAAAAGAACAAAACTGGAGGCACCATGCTATCTGACTTCAAAATATATTACAAGGTTATAGTAACCAAAACAGCATGGCATTGGTATAAAAACAGACATATACTCATGCCTATAATCCCAGCACTCTGGGAGGCTGAGGTGGGTAGATCGCTTGAGCTCAGGAGTTCAAGACCAGCCTGGGCAATGTGGCAAAATCCTGTCTCTACAAATAATACAAAAATTAGCCAGACTTAGTGTTTAGTACCTGTAGTCCCAGCTGTTTGGGAGGCTGAGGTGGGAGGATGACTTGAGCTTGGGAGGCAGAGGTTGCAGTGATCCAAGATCATGCCACTGCTCTCCAGCCTGTGCAATAGCGCAAGACCTTGTTAAAAACAAAACAAAACAAAACAAAACAAAACAAAAAAGCAGACATATAGACAAATGAAACAGAATAGAGAACCCAGAAATAAATGCATATGTTTGCAGCCAATTGATTTTTGAAAAGGTGCCAAGAATATACATTGGGGAAAAGGACACCCTTTTCAATAAATGGTGCTGGGAAAAATGAAACTGGACCCCTCTGTCTTACCATATACAAAAATCAACTCAAAATGGATTAAAGGCTTAAACAGAGACCTGAAACTAGAAAACTACTAGAATAAAATATAGGAGAAACACTTCAGAATGTTGGTTTAGACAAAGATTTTATAGCTAAGACCTCAGAAGTACAGATAATAAGAACAGAAATAGACAAATAGGACTATATTGAACTAAAAAGCTTCTGTACAGCAAAGGAAACAATCAACAGAGTGAAGAGACAACTTGTTGAATGGGAGAAATATATCTGCAAACTATTCGTTTGCTAAGGGACTAATATCTAGAATATACAAGGAATTGAAACAACTCAACAGCAAAAAACAAATAATCCCATTAAAAAGTGAGCAAAGGATCTAAACAGACATTTCTTAAAAGAAAACATAAAATGACCAACAGGCATATGAAAAAATGCTCAACATTGCTAATCATCAGGGAAATGCAAATCAAAACCACAGTGAGATATCATCTTACCCCACTTAGAATGGTTATTATTAAAAAGAAAAAATAACAGATGCTGTCAAGGATACAGAGAAAAGGGAACTCTTATACACTGTTGATGGAAATGTAAAACAGTACAGCCATTATGGAAAACAGTATGAAGATTTCTCAAAAAACTAAAAACAGGACTGGGAATGGTGGCTCACATCTGTAATCCCAGTGACTCAGGAGGCTGCGGCAGGAGGATGGCTTGAGCCCAGAGTTTGACATTACAATGAGCCATGATTGTGCCACTGCATTCCAGCCTGGATAACAGAGCGAGATTCTATCTCTTAAAAAACAACAACAACAACAACAACAAAAACCAAAACCCTAAAAATAGAACTACCATATGATTCAGAAATCACACTAATGAGTATTTATCCAAAGGAAAAGAAATCAGTATATCAAAGGGATACCTGAGCTCCCATGTTCACTGCAGCACTATCCACGATAGCAAAAATATGGGATCAACCTAAGTGTCCATCAATGGATGAATGGATAAAGAAAATGTAGTATTATCCACAATGGAATACTATTTAGCCTTAAAAAGAATAAAATCATGTTATTTTTAGCAACATGGATGGAACTTGGAGTCATTATGTTAAATGAAATAAGCCAGACACAGAAAGATAAATATTGCATGTTTTCACTCATATGTGGAATCTAAAAAAGTTGATCTCATGGAGGTAAAGTAGAATGAGAGTTACCAGAGACTGGGAAGAGTGTGTGAAGCAAGGGAGATGAAAAGAGGTGGGTTAATAGGTATAAACATATAGTTAGGCAGAAAGAAAAAGTTATAATGTTCAATAGCAGAGTAGGATGACTATGGTTAATAATGTATTGTATATTTCAAATCAGCTAGAAGAGAGGATTTGAAATGTTCCCAATGCAAATAAATGATACATGCTCAAGGTGATGATAGCCTAAATATGCTGACTTGATTATTACACATTCTTATGCATGTGTCAAAGTATCACATGTACCCCATAAATATGTACAAATATTATATATTAATTTTAAAAACACCAAAAAAACCCAGTGGTTTATCTTCTTTCAGAAGAGTTATAAATAATACATATAGATATTCTCAATTTGAGGAGTTGGAGCTTAATTTCTACCCTCTCCCTTCTAAAGATGAGCTATGCAGAGTAACTCTCTATAAAAGGATAAAGCAGGGAAAGGGAGAAATAGTAACTTTACTGCATGGAAAGCTAGCAGATACCACTTTAACCAAGTGATGAAAGTTAACGTCATTAGTGATATCATGTGGGTATCACTCATTGTTGATAGGATCTAATGAGAAGGGCACTTCACCTCTGTGATACTCTTTCCAAAAACCTAAAAGTCCAGTGTAATCATGAGAAAACATAGTACAAACTCAGATTGAGGAGCATTCTATGAACTACCTAGCCAGTACTCTTCAAGAAAATCAAGGTCATGAAAAACAAGGGAGGACTGAGAAACTATTACAGACTAGAGAAACCAGGAAGACATGGCAACTAAATACTAGTGTGTAGACATACAGGTAGAGAAAAAATTGATGTATCAGAAATGTATTTAGGCTGGGCGCAGTGGCCCATACCTGTAATCCCAAAACTTTGGGAGACCAAAGTGTGAGGGTTGCTTGAGGCCATCAGTTCAAGACAGGCCTGGGCAACATAGCAAGATTCCATCTCTATTTAAAAATTTATATACATATATATATGTATGTATTTAGAGACAGAGTCAATAGACTTTGGTGTTGGGACTGATGTGAGAGTGAAGAAATTTGAGGACTCATGAATAAACCCCTTTGATTCAGCAATTACTGGATGGTGGAACCATTTTGTAAAATGGAGAACAATGGAGATGAAGATGGGAGTGGGCAGAGATAATAATGTCAGTTTTCTATGTCTACTGTTGGAGAGAAAATTCTGGCCTGGAGATAAAGTTGAGCACAACTGACATATAGATGGTAACCGAAATGATGACAATGAATGAAATCATCTAAGGAGAGAAGTTAGTGTGGCAAGAAAAGAAAAGAGCTGAAGAAATAGCCCTAAAACACCCTAACACTGGAGGATGAATAGTGGAGGAAGAGCCAGCCATTAGATGAGGAAGAAGCAGAGATATGTAATAAACTCCAAAAGAGAATGACAACATGAAAGCCAAGAATAGAAATTGTTAAATGCTGCTAAAGGCTGAAGCGTCCCTTGGATTTAGTAACGAGAGGTTACTGATAATAAGAGCATTGGAATGATAGAAATGAAAGACAAATTAAGTGGTTTGAAAAGGGAAAGGCTTAGGACTTCTGATTTTAAGATGGCAGAATGATTACTTACAGTAGTCTCCAAAAAATATAAGAGACTCCTTTAACCCAAGCTTTGAGAAGTGCATTGGTGAGAGGAGAACTACCATCCTTGAAAGGCTCTGTATTGGCCATTCTCTGCAAGTCAGGAATGCCAGTGGGTGATATTGTTTGGCTGTGTTCCACTCAAATCTCATTTTGAATTGTAGCTCCCATAATTCCCACATGTTGTGGGAGGGAGCTGGTGGGAGATAATTGAATCATGGAGGCAGTTTCCTCCATACTGTTCTCGTGGTAGTGAATAAGTCTCACAAGATTGGATGATTTTATAAGGGGTTTCCCCCTTTCGTTTGGCTCTCATTCTCTCTTTGCCTGCTGCCATGTAAGACATGCCTTTTGCCTTCTGCCTTCTGCCATGATTGTGAGGCCTCCCCAGCCATGTGGCACTGTGAGTCCATTAAACCTATTTTTCTTTATAAATTACCCAGTCTCAGGTATGTCTTTATCAGCAGTGTGAAAACGGACTTCACTATCTTGCCTCAAGTCTGTGTTTACTCTCCAACTCTGTCATAATCTAGATTGTAGAGACTTTGATTGTATCACCTTTCCATAACACCTAACCAACTTCTGTAAGTAGTTGACATTTTGCTGACTGTACAATGAACAGGAAGTCACATAACAAATACCCTGACTAGATGCTTTTGTAAGACACATGCATAGCCTGGAGTGGAAAATAAACATCATAAAAGTTCAGGAAATTGCTATGTTCTGAATGTCTGTGTTCCCCCGCCAAATTCTTATGTTGAAAATGAATCACCAAGGTCATGGTATTAGGAAGTGAGGCCTTTAAGAAGTGACTAGGACATGAGGGCTCTGCCCTCACGAATGGGATCAGTGCCTTTATAAAAGAAGCCCCAGAGAGCTAGCTAGCTCTTTCCATCATATGGGGATGGGGATACAGCTTAAAGATACCATTTATGAACCAGGAACCAAGCCCCTACCAAACACCAAATCTGCCAACGCCTTGATTTTGGACTTCTCAGCCTCTAGAACTGTGAGAAGTAAATATCTATATTTACTTCTTTATATAAGGAATATCCAATATCTTCATATAAGGTACCCATTCTATGGTATGATATTTTGTTACAGTAGCTAAACAGATTAAGACAAAGACCTCTACCTCTACCCCTACCCCTACCCCTACCCCTACCCCTACCCCTACCTCTACCTCTACCTCTACCTCTTTCCTTTCTACGGTCTCCCTCTCCCTCATCTCCCCTTTCCACGGTCTCCCTTTGATGCCTAGCCGAGGCTGGACTGTATTGCCACCATCTCGGCTCACTGCAACCTCCCTGCCTGATTCTCCTGCCTCAGCCTGCCGAGTGCCTGGGATTGCAGACGCGCACCGCCACGCCTGACTGGTTTTCGTATTTTTTTGGTGGAGACGGGGTTTCGCCGTGTTGGCCGGGCTGGTCTCCAGCTCCTGACCTCGAGTGATCTGCCAGCCTCGGCCTCCCAAGGTGCCGGGATTGCAGACGGAGTCTCGCTCACTCAGTGCTCAATGTTGCCCAGGCTGGAGTGCAGTGGCGTGATCTCGGCTCGCTACAACCTCCACCTCCCAGCTGACTGCCTTGGCCTCCCAAAGTGCCGAGATTGCAGCCTCTGCCGGGCCGCCACCCCGTCTGGGAAGTGAGGAGCGTCTCTGCCTGGCCGCCCATCATCTGTGATGTGAGGAGCCCCTCTGCCCGGCTGCCCAGTCTGGGAAGTGAAGAGCGCCTCTTCCCGGCCGCCATCCCATCTAGGAAGTGAGGAGCGTCTCTGCCCGGCCGCCCATCGTCTGAGATGTGGGGAGCACCTCTGCCCCGCCGCCCCATCTGGGATGTGAGCAGCACGTCTGCCCGGCCGCGACCTCGTCTGGGAACTGAGGAGCGTCTCTGCCCGACCGCCACCCCGTCTGGGAGGTGAGGAGCGTCTCTGCCCGGCCGCCCCATCTGAGAAGTGAGGAGCCCCTCCGCCCGGCGGCCGCCCCGTCTGGGAAGTGAGGAGCGTCTCTGCCCAGCAGCCGCCCCGTCCAGGAGGTGGGGGGTGCCTCTGCCCAGCCGCCCCGTCTGGGAAGTGAGGAGCCCCTCTGCCCGGCCGCCACCCCATCTGGGAGGTGTACCCAACAGCTCATTGAGAAGGGGCCATGATGACGATGGCAGTTTTGTCAAATAGAAAAGGGGGAAATGTGGGGAAAAGAAAGAGAGATCGGATTGTTACTGTGTCTGTGTGGAAAGAAGTAGACATGGGAGACTCCATTTTGTTCTGTACTAAGAAAAATTCTTCTGCCTTGGAAAAAAAATAAAAGACAAAGACTTACATCAGTGAAGTTTTCAGGGGTCTAATGGTCTGAGGGATGGCAAGATATATTCTTCAAGGTGAAGGACAAGTTGCAGCTTGTACTTCCTACCCCTAAGAAAAAAGTTCAGTGCCTAGTGGATCTCTTTAGATTTTGAAAGCAGGACCACTTTGTTCATGAGCCTGTTAAGCGAAAATGGTGGGAGGTAGAGGGCTGGAGAAAGAGGCTGACTATACCACATTTGGGCCTGTTTCCTTCACGAAATAACCCATAAGGCTGCCAGATTTTTTTTTTGTTTTTAGATGCAGCCTCGCTCTGTCACCCAGGCTGATGTGCGGTGGCATGATCTCAGCTCACTGCAACTTCCACCTCCCAGGTTCAAGCAATTCTCCTGCCTCAGCCTTCCAAGTAGCTGGGATTACAGGTGCCTGCCACCATGCCCACCTTATTTTTGTATTTTTATTAGAGACAGGATTTCACCATGTTGGCCAGGCTGGTCTCGAACTCCTGACTTCAAGTGATCTGCCCACCTTGGCTTTCCAGTGTGCTGGGATTACAGGCGTGAGCAGCCGTGCCTGGCCAAGGCTGCCAGATTTTTTTAATTTTTTGTTTTTTTTTAGAAATAGGGTCTCGCTATGTTGCCCAGGCTAGAGTGCAGTGGCTATTCACCAGTGTGATCATAGCACACTACAGCTTGAACTCCTGGCCTCAAGAGATCCTCCTGCCTCAGCCTCCCAAGTAGCTGAGACTATAGGTGCATGCCACCATGCCTGATTAGGCTTCCAGTTTCAAATGGGGCACAAATCAAGGAAAAGAAACATCTGGATTTCCATGCAAGCTGAATACAGTGGCGCTCAAAGTGTCTGTAGCAGACAGAGATAAAATAAAGCCTCTGCCACGTCATAATAGGATAATCATAGTTTAAACTCTCAGTATTTTGGAACAAAATTATGTTTTCTTCTGCAGACAAGCATTCTTTTTATGAAAAACAGCTTCTATAGAGACTAAATAATATCATGTGACTTGAGTTGCCCATCATAAACTATTCTCTGATCCTTCAAGCCATAAATTTGACAGGTATAGCAGCATTCTATCATCAAGTGTAAGAGAAAAAGATATGTATATACAAATATGTTACATATATATCTCATATATCACATGTGTGAGATTACCCTTGAGCTGGTCCTGAAGACACATGTGAGTTGCATGAGCAAGTGACTCAGACTCCTACAGCACCTACTCCTACTCCATTAACACCTGTCCTTCAACTCAGTTACATGAGGAAGAAAAAATCCAGGCCTGATTTTCTGATGAGTCTGTGCAATGTGGTGATATCACCTGAAAGGGAATGGTCACAGCATCACAGCCCCACTCAATGGTGGCTCTAAATGAACAGGAAATCTTCCCAATGTACATAACTTTGAGCAATGCACCTGGCTGTTCACTTTGCCTGGAAGAAGAGATAGCCAGAGGCATGTATTTATATTAATTCAAGGACAATGGTTAATGAATAGTTAGTGACTTCAAAGAAATGAGATTGAAAGGAAGTCTGAGAAAGAGTTCACTACAGCCTCGACCTCCTGGGCTCAAATGATCCTCCTGCCTCAGCCTCCTGAGTAGCTGGGACCGCAGGTGCATGCCACCATGCCCAGCTAATTTATTTATTTATTTGTTTATTTATTTATTTTTATGGACATGGGGTCTCTCTATGTTGCCCAGGCTGGTCTCAAACTCCTGGGCTCAGTGATCTTCCTGCCTCAGCCTCCCAAAGTGCTGGGATTACAGGCATGAGCCACTGTTTTAATTTTTTAATAAAAATTTAAGAATTAGCTGGGCATAGTGGCATGTGCCTGTAGTCCCAGCTGCTCAGGAGGCTGAGACAGGAGGATCACTTGAGCCCAGGAGTTTGAGATATGATCATGCCTGGGTGACAGAGTGGGACCCTGTCTGTGAAAGAAAGAGAGAGAGAGAGAGACAGAGGGAGAGAGGAAGGAAAGGAGGGAGGGAGTAGTTGGTGTTTAGGTATTAATCCTTACTTCATTACATTCTTAATAGATATCGTTTGTTGAATAAAGGAGGGAGGGAGGGAGGGAGGAAGGAAGAAAGAAGGAGGGAGGGAGGAAGGGAAGGAGAGAGAGAGAAAGGAAAGGAAGAAAAAGAAAGAGAGAAGGAAGGAAGGAAAGAAAGAAGACAGAAAGAGAGAGAGAAAGAAAAGAAAGAAGAAAGAAAGAGAAAGATTGTTAAAAAAAAAGGGAAAAAAAACAGTTGGTGCTGGAATTAGTTAAGACTTCTGGATATGTTGAGATGGGATGAATGTATTTTGCACATGAGACATATGTGAATTTGAGGGGCTGAAGGGCAGACTCTACAGGGTTGAATATCCCTCAAAATCCAGGTCCACAGGAACTTCAGAATGTGATCTTATTTGGAAATAGGTCTTTGCAGATGGAATCAAGTGAAGATGAGGTCATATTAGATTAGGGTGGGCACTAAATATGACTAGTATCCTTCTAAGAAGCCCATTTGAAGGCACAGACAAACACAGGAAAGAAGGCTATGTGAAGACAGAGGCAGAGATTGAGGTGATGCAGCTACAAGCCAAGAAAGGCCGGAGATTGGTGGCAACCACCAGGAGCTAGGGGAGAAGCACAGCATGATTCTCCCTTAGAGCCTCCAGAAGAAACCAGCTCTGCTAACACCTTGATTTTGGACTTGTGGACTCCAGAACTGAGATAGGGTAAATTTCTGTGGTTTTAGGCTACCCAGTTTTGGTAATTTGTTACAGTAGTTGGTGTTTAGGTATTAATTGGTACTTCATTACATTCTTAATAGATACCTTTTGTTGAATATCTGGGTCACAAATCATTTCTTCCAATTCACCACTTAGCTTTTGACTTTGTCTATGATGCCATTGGTATATGTAGTTTTAAACGTAAAATGTATCAACCTTTTCTTTCATGTTTTGTGCTTTTTGTGTCCTGTTTAAGAAATCCTTCCTACTCTGAAACAATAAAGATATCTCCCACATTTTCTTCTAAAAGTTTATATGAATAATGTGGGATAGAATTATATTTTTTTCAATCAGTTGCTCCAGCACCATTTAGTAAAGAGCCTATCCCTTCTCCACTGAGATGTAACTCCATCTTTATCATGGATCACATTCCCTATATGCATGGGTATGTTTTTAGTCTCTCTCTTCTGTTCCATGGATCTATTTGTCTATCCTCGTACCAAATTAATTACCCTAACTTTATAGCAGTGGTTCCCAACAAGAGGCAATTTTACCTTCCAGGGCACATTTGGCAATATCTGGAGACATTCTTGGCTATCACAACTGGGTTGTTGGGGGCTACTGGCATCTAGTGGGTAGGGGCCAGAGATGCTGCTAAACCACAATGCACAGGACAGTACCCCACAGCAACGAACTATCCAGCTGAAAATGTCAACAGGGATGAGGTTGAGAAACCCCGTCTTATAGTGATACTTGGTATCGGGTAGGACCATACATTATCTCACTAAATCCTTGCAATAACTCTATATGATATGTATTATCACTAGCTTCACTTTACAGATGAGAAAACTAAGGCTCTAGGAGGTTGAATGACTTGTCCTAGATCACACATTTCTCAATAATTGGTGTAACTGGGTACAAACTAAGTAAAACTCCCCCTAATATATTTCTCACTATGTCCTAAGGCAGGGCTCCCAAATCTCAGCATGTTTTCTTTGATTGATTAATTTTATCAGAAAATTCACTGTGTACCCTTTATGTGCCAAGTCCTAGGCTGAATGGTGGGAATACCCAGCAAACAAACCAAGGCCCTTGCCCTCATGGAAGTCCATAGTCTAGTGGGAAGATAAACCTTGGAACAATCTCTCCTAAAATTGCTGTTGCAGAGGGTAACCATCACTTTGGCTTCCAGTTTTTTAAAATCTTCAAGGAAACTTGTCATCTTATGTACTCTCAAATTTTGTTCAAAATATGAATATTAATCTACAATGGGAGGGGTTTGCTAAGCAAAGTTTAACTTTAACCTGACCCCATTCAAAGTATTGCAAATTCCAAGCAAACGTATCAAGTGAAATTTTACTGTGTATAGGGGTATGTAAATGTTGGTATATATATATATAAAGGTGTATAAAAATTGGATAGCAATGTTTATGAAAAGACCAACAAATTAAATCTCTTGTTTAGAGAAAATGCTTGTCAATTGTATCTGAATTAATAGCAAGGAATCTGTGATGAAACAGCAGAATCAAAGTTAGCACCATTTAACCTCTCTCCGCCTTTCAGAAGTTTGGAATGAAGATCTGCAGGGTCATTAACTTCTCTCTGTGGTAGCAGGATGGATGTGGTAGTCTCAAACCATCCATAATAGATGGGTGTCTGGTCTAGCCTTAGAAATCTACTCATATGATGATCGCTCCACAGCCTCCCTGGGCAGTTCTTAAGTGTTCTTAGAATTTTAATGTTTATTAAATCCAAACCTCATCAACTTATTTCCAAAGCCCAGACAATGGCAGACTGAATCTGTGGTAATTGATTAGTCACCTGTCCCTCCCTTGCCAGATTCTTCTCTTACATGCCAGGCACTTTCCAATGTCAAACTACTGCTTCCTTTTTCTCCTAATTGCCAGACTCTCTTCTGACTCTCAGTCTCCTCTAGACTCAATTCTGGGAGTGTTCCTGATTTTACTTGCTGGATTTTGAAACTTTACAATTACCTGTCTTACTTTTCTAAACAGCAATGCTTTAGGCATGAGATTAAAACTATTTAATTGCATATTACTGTACCTGGCTAAGGAAAATTAATGCCTTTTTTTTTTTTTTGAAACCGAGTCTTGCTCTGTCACCCAGGCTGGAGTGCAGTGGCGCGATCTCAGCTCACTGCAACCTCCGCCTCCCGGGTTCAAGCAATTCTCCTGCCTCAGCCTCCTGAGTAGCTGGGATTACAGGCACCCACCACCACACCCAGCTAATTTTTGTATTTTTAGTAGAGATGGGGTTTCACCATGTTGGTCAGGCTGGTCTCGAACCCCTGACCTTGTGATCCACCCACCTCGGCCTCCCAAAGTGCTGGGATTACAGGCGTGAGCCACCGCATCCGGCCAGTTGATGCCTATTTTGTAATGTTCCATTTATGAGAAATAACCTAGCTTTGAAACTTTTCACCTAGTGATGCTCACATTACCAATTTAGCCATTTTTACATCATTTTCAGCTATGTATTTCTTTTTTTCTTAAGTAGATTGACAAAGGAGACCAAACTTCCCTCAGGATGGTTTGGCCAATGTTTGGTTGAAGAGTCATGAAAAAAGCAATTCAATTTTAACAGTTCCTGCTCTGATCATTCATCCAAGAAATACTCACTTAGCTCCTATTGTGTTCCAAACACTGGTCCTGTAGCATTAATAAGACTCAAGACTCTGTCTTCCTGGAGCTCACTTCCTTGGTGAGGTGCCAGGCATTTTGATTAATAATAATAATAAAATGTAATAACCGCTTTAAGTGTCAGAGGAGCACAGTGGAAATCAGCTTGGTCCCAAACATTTCCTGAGTGACTGCGACTTCAGTCTGACTGGCAGGTACTATATTGAGCAGGGTGGGTGGGGATGGCGGGCTACAGAGATGAACCATAGGCCGGGTGCAGTGGCTTATGCACTTTGGGAGGCCGAGGTGGTGGATCACCTGAGGTCAGGAGTTTGAGACCAGCCTGGCCAACATAGTGAAACCCCGTCTCTACCAAAAATCCAAAAATTAACCAGGCATGGTGGCTCATGCCTGTAGTCCCAGCTACTCGGGAGGCTGGGGCAGGAGAATCACTTGAACCCAGGAGGCGGAGGTTGCAGTGAGCCGAGATCATGCCATTGCACTCTAGCCTAGGCGACAGGGTGAGACTACATCTCAAAAACAAACAAACAAACAGATGAACCGTATATGGTCCCTACCCTCAGGAACTTACAATCTAGTGAGGAAGACTGAATGGGGCTAGATGTTTTGAAGTTTACAAAGATAAAATGCTGGGCTGAATCTTGAAGGATAAGAAGATAGTGGGCAGACAGAGTTGGAAGAGGGAACTCTTCCAGACAAGGTAATAGCCTGAACAAAGATACAGAGGCATAAACCACAGGGTATGCTCAATGAACCAAAGGTCATTTGGCACTCATGAGGGTAGAGAACAAGTCTGGGAATGGTAAAAGTTGAAACCAAAGAGGGAAATAGAAGTCTTGAGAGAGGATTTAATATTATAGACATGGCAGTGGTGATATAGACAGACTTTATGTTTTAGAAAGATCACTCAGGTTTTGAGGTGGAGGGTGGGTTTTTGGCTTAGGTAAATGGATAGATTTGGTTTGATTCACTTAGCTAGAGAACACTGGAGGAGAAGATGTGGGTCATGCAGGGATTGATGGAGGGGACACAAAAAGTTCAGCTTAGGGTACATTGAATTTGAAGTGTCTCTGAAACATCACAGGGGAAACATTTTATAGGAGTTTGAATACATTAAGTAGCCAACCTGTCACAGCCTGATGGGCTCTTGCCTGCTGCACTGAGAACAGCAGATAATGCTGAAAAGAAAGAGTTTAATATCACAGGACCAGCCAAGCAGGACAGGAGGCATTTCTCAAATTCATGTCCCCAACAATTTGGAGGCTAGGGTGTTAAGGGCATTTTGGCAGACAGGGGTCTAGGGAACTGAAACTATCGATTGGCTGGGGATAAAGTCACAAGAGTGTTTAAATTGTCTTTGCACAGTCTAATCAGTTCCAGGGAGGGGGGCATCTAAGGACCAGGTAGCATCTCTTGTGTTGCCAAAATGCTAAATCTGAAAAATATCTCAAAGACTAGTTCTTTAGGTTTTACAATAGTGATGTTAATTCATTTGAATAGTTGGGAAAGTTACAAATCTTGTGACCCCCAGTTACATGACTCTGGGATAGCAAAAGCAGCTTATAGAAAAGCAAGCTTGGCTGGGTACAGTGGCTCACACTTGTAATCCCAGCACTTCGGGAGGCTGAGGTGGGTGGATCACCTGAGGTCAGGAGTTTGAGACCAGCCTAGCCAACATGGTAAAACTCCATCTCTACTAAAAACACAAAATTAGCCGGGTGTGGTGGCGCATACCTATAATCCCAGCTACTTGGGAGGCTGAGGCAGGAGAATCTCTTGAACCAGGGAGGCGGAGGTTGCAGTGAGCCGAGACTGTGCCACAGGACTACAGCCTGGACAACAAGAGCAAAATTCCATCTCAAAAAAGAAAAGAAAGTTAAACAATGACAGGTGATTGTTTATGCCTATTCTATAGCAAAGTTCAAGTCCCTACCATGATTCTAATCTTGTTTTATGAAAGCATCTTCAATCTCCAAACATGGAAGGGGGTCAGTTTTCCTTACCTCAAAGTTTAGCTATAAACTAAATTCCTTTCACAGTTATCTTGGCCTCTATACCAGAATAAGCAAAAAAGCAATTTAGCCTGTGAGATTAGAAGCAAGATGCAATTAGTCATGTTAGATTTCTCTCTCATTACTGGCCTGACATGGTAGTTCACGCCTGTAATCCCAGCACTTTGGGAAGCTGAGGCAGGCGGATCACTTGAGGTCAGGAGTTTGAGATCAGCCTGGCCAACATGGCGAAACACTGTCTCTACTTAAAAAAAAATACAAAAATTAGCTGAGCACGGTGGTGTGCAACTGTAATCCCATCTACTCAGGACACTGAGGCAGGAGAATTGCTTGAACACAGTAGGCAGAGGTCACAGTGAACCAAGATTACACCACTGCACTCCAACCTGGGTAACAGAACAAGACCCTGTCTCAAAAAAAAAAAAAAAAAAAAAAAAAGATTTATCTCTCATTACTTATAATTCTGCAAGGGTGGTTTCAGATGCAGGGAGTGATCAGGACCTGGGAAGATTTGTGAGTCATCAACTTATAGATGGTAGTTAAAACCAAGGGAAGTGATAAGGCCAAATATACCCAGACTCTAAAATATTAATGGATTAAAAAGTAATGCCAATTTCTCTAGGACAAACTTCTGGTGAATAGTGAATAACCTACGTTCCAATAATATAATTTCTTCCCATGGTATTTTTTTTTGGCGGGGGTGGGGGGTATAGGGTTTCACTCCTATCACCCAGGCTGGAGTGCAGTGGCATGATCTTGGCTCACTGCAACCTCTGCCTCCCAGGCTCAAGTGATCCTTTCACCTCAGCCTCCCAAGTATCTGGGACTACAGGCACCCACCACTGCACCTAGTTAATTTTTGTTTTTATAGAGACAGGGTTTTGCCATGTTGCCCAGGCTGGGATTAAACTCCTGAGCTCGAGTGATCCACCTGCCTTGGTGTCCCAAAGTGCTGGGATTACAGGCATGAGCCACTGCACCTGCACACTCCCCCATGGTATTTAATAAAGCTTCATTTAGTTTTCCATTTCATTTTTTATTCCATTTAAAAATTTTTAAATGCAACAAGAGAGGAGAGGTGGAGGACAACTATATAGTAAGGAAACCTGTCAAATACTAACTCAGCTTGGTTATCAAGGTTAACATCATCACTGACAGGTCATGTGATATGGTTTGGATCTGTGTCCCGGCCCAAGTCTCATGTTGAATTGTAATCCCCAATGTTGGAGGTGGTGCCTGGTGGGAGGTGATTATATGATGGGGGTGAACTTCTTGTGAGTGGTTTGGCACCATCATTTTGGTGCTGTCCTCACCATAGTAAGTGAGTTCTTGTGACACCTGGTCATTTAAAAGTGTGTGGCACCTCCTTCCCCTCTCTTTCTTGCTCCTGCTTTCACCATGTGACATGCTTGCTCTCCCTTCACCATCCACCATAATTGGAAGCTTTCTGAGGTCTCCCAAGAAGCTGCTATGCTTCCTGTACAGCCTGCAGAACAATGAGCCAATTAAACCTCTTTTCTTTATAAATTACCCAGTCTCAGGTATTTCTTTATAGCTGTGCAAGAATAGACTAATACAGAAAGTTGGTATTGAGGAGTGGGGCATTGCTATAAAGACACCTGAAAATGTGGAAGCAACTTTGGAATTGGGTAATGGGCAGAGGTTGGAAGAGTGTGGAGGGTTCAGAAGAAGAAAAGATGATGAGGGAAAATTTGGAACGTTCTAGAGACTTGTTGAATAGTTGTGACCAAAATGCTGATAGTGACATGGACAGATATTGGACAGGCTGAGGAGGTCTCAGATGGAAATATGGAACTTATCGTGAACTGGAGCAAAGGTCACTTTTGCTATGCTTTAGCAAAGAGCTTGGTTGGATTGTGCCCCTGCCCTAGGGATCTATGGAATTTTGAACTTGAAAGAGATGATTTAGGGTATCTGGTGGAAGAAAGTTCTAAGCAGAAAAGTGTTTGAGACGTGGCCTGGCTGCTTCTAACAACCTATAGCTCATATGTATGAACAAAGAAATGACCTGAAACTAAAACTTATATTTAAAGGGGAAGCAGAGCATTAAAATTTGGAACATTTGCAGCCTGGCCATGTGGTAGAAAAGAAAGGCCCATTTTCAGGAAAGGAATTCAAGCAGGCTGCAGAAATTTTCATAAGTAAAGAGGAGCAAAGTGATAATATCCAAGACAATGGGGGAAGAGCTTCAAAGGCATTTCAGAGACCTTCAAGGCATCCCCTCCCATCACAGGCCTGGAGGTCTAGGAGGACAAAATGGTTTGTGGGCCAGGCACAGGACAGCCTTGGGACACTGCTGCCTGTGTGCCAGCCACTCTAACTCTAGCTGTGGCTAAAAAGGGCCCAAGTACAGCTTGGGCCACTGCTTCAGAGAGTGCAAGTAATAAGCCTTGACAGTTTGCACATGGTGTTAAGCCTACAGGTGCACAGAGTACACAAGTTGAGGCTTGGGAGCCTCCGCCTAGATTTCAGAGGATGTATGGAAAACCCTGTATGTCCAGGCAGAAGCCTGCTGCAGGAGTGGAGCCCTCATGATGAACCTCTTCTAGGGTGATGCAGAGGGAAAATATGAGGTTGGACCCCACACACAGAGTCCCCACTGAGGCACTGCCTAGTGGAGCTGTGAGAAGAGGGTTATCATCCTCCAGACCCTGGAATGGAAGATCCACTGGCAGCTTGCACCCTGTGCCTGGAAAGCCATAGGCACTCAATGCCAGCCCCTGAGAGCAGTTGTTCTGGGGGCTGAACCAGCAAAGCCACAGGAGCAGAGCTTCCCAAGGCCTTGGGAGCCCCTTCCCTTGCATCAGAGTGCCCTGGATGTGAGACATGAATTCGAAGGAGATTATTTTTGAGCTTTAAGATTTAATGGTTGCCCTGCTGGGTTTTGGACTTGCATGGTGCCTGTAGCCCCTTTCTTTTGGCTGATTTCTCCTTTTTGAAATAGGAGTATTTACCCCAGGGGTGTTCAATCTTTTGGCTTCCCTGAGCCACAGTGGAAGAAGAATAGTCTTGGTCCACATATAAAATACACTAACACTAACGAGAGCTGATAAGCTAAAAAAAAATTGCAAAACATATCTCATAGTGTTTTAAGAAACTTGTGTTGAGCCATGTCCAAAGCTGTCCTGGGCTGCATGTGGCCCATGGGCCATGAGTTGGACAAGCTTGATTTACACAACAGCTATACCCCCACTGTCTCTGGAAGTAACTAACTTGTTTTTGATTTTACGGACTCATAGGTGGAAGGGACTTCCCGTTTCAGATGAGACTTTGGACTTTGGACTTTGGACTTTTGGGTTAATGCTAGAATAAGTTAAAATTTTGGGGGACTGTTGGAACGCATGGTTGTACCTTGAAATGTGAAAATGACATGAGATTTGGGAGGGGCTGGGGGTAGAATGATATGGTTTGGATCTGTGTTCCTGTCCAACTCTCATGTCAAATTGTAATCCGCAATGTTGGAGGTGGGGCCTGGTGGAAGGTAATTGAATCATGAGAGTGTTTCTCATGGATGGCTTAATACCATCCCCCTGGTTGCTGTTCTCATGATAGTGAGTGAGATCTCATGAGATCTGGTTGTTTAAAAGTGTGTAGCACCTTCCCCCTCTCTCTCTTCCTCTTGGTCTGGCCATGTGAGATGCCTTGCTTCACCTTCACCTTCCACCATGATTATAAGTTTCCTGAGGCCTCTCCAGAAGCTGCCATGCTTCCTATACAGTCTGCAGAACCATCAGCCAATTAAACCTCATTTCTTTATAAATTACCCAGTCTCTGGTATTTCTTCATAGCAGTGTGAGAGAAGACTAATACCTCATGTTAATGGCAATGTACCCTTGATATTGAAACTGAGGACAAACCCAATTAGGCCCACCAAATTTAACTTACCTTACTTGTCTTTATTAATTTGCTTTTAGTTGATTTTAAAACCTATATAGCTAAAAGTCACATTGCTAAGTAATATATAACTAAATTTCCACTAGCTTTCTTGTAGATAACATTTCTGATGTATAGATCACCATGGTAATGGTTGCTTAAGTTGTTTTTCAGGAACTTAGAGAGTCAGTTCTTGTCCAGTTCAAGCCAGCTGAGACCACCAACCTTTCAACTGGGCCTGTGTGAGCATCTGATGGGTCACCTTTTGATGTCAGAGGGCCAAAAACTCCACCCTCAGATCATGCTAATGCTGTAATTTTCTGAACATATATTCTATGAAGAGCCATGAAGTCTGTTATGCTTGCACAGATGACCAATTACCTCAGTTTTCCTTACCACGATCACCTTTCCCCATGCTTTGGACCATCTTGCTCCTCTATTCTATAAATATCCCTAAAATTCCATCTTCAGGGAGGCAGATTTGAGACCTGTTTTCCCATATCCTTGTTTGGCTGCCTCATGAATAAACTCTTCCTCTGCAGCAAAACACATCATCTCAGTGATTGACATACTGCATGACAGGAAGAAGAAGCCTGGTTCAGTAACAATATGATGGGATGAGAATGGTATTTCACCTCTGTGATTTTTTCCAAAACCTATGACCCCAGTCTAACCATGAGAAAAACACTGGACAAATACGGACATTTGCAAAAACAAACAAACCCTGGCCAGTGCTTCTCAAAACTGTCAAAGTCATCAAGGACAACAAAGTATGAGAAACTATCACAGACCAGAAGAAGCTAGGGAGACATGATGACAGAATGTAATGTGGTGTCCTGAAGAGGATCCTCAAACAGCAAATGGACTTTGGGGGGAAAACTGGTGAAATGCTAATAAAGTGTTTAATTTATAGTCACGTACCAATGTTGATTTCTTAGTTGTGATATATGTCCCATGGTAATATAGGATGTTAACAATAGGGGAAACTGAGTGAGGGGTATGTGAGAATTCTCTGCCCTATCTTCACAACTTTTGTTTACATTTGAAACTATTCTGAAATTAAAAGCATAATTAAACAGCTGCACCCAGTAAACATTTCTGTTTTCCTTGAGTTCGCTTTTAGGCAAAAAATATTTCTCCCTGTGGTGTAGAGTGAGAAAAGCTGTGTAGAGAGAATGGCCCCTGAGGAAAACCAACATTTACAAGGCAGTCAGAGAAAGGAGGAAAGACAAGAACCATTGTTGAAGTCAGGAGAGTACAATGTTTAGGAGAGGGTCAACAGGATCCAATGCCAAGAAGTCTAGTAAGATAAGGACCTAAATGTCCACCAAAAAATAGAATTAAAAAGCCCTGAAACAGACATACATCTAAATGGAAACTTGATATATTATAAGGTAGCCTTATGAATCAGTGGGGGAAATGTTGAGTTATTCAATAAATGATTTTTGGGCAGTCAGTTACCCATATTGATCCCTACCTCATAGCATTTATAAAAAATCAACTCCAGCCAGGCACCATGGCTCATGCCTGCAATCCCAGCACTTTGGGAGGCCAAGGCAGGCAGATCACCTGAGGTCAGGAGTTCAAGACCAGCCTGACCAACATGGTGAAACCCCATCTCTACTAAAAATACAAAAATTAGCCAGGCATGGTGACGTGTGCCTATAATCCCAGCTATCCAGGAGGCTGAGGCAGGAGAATCACTGGAACCCGGGAGGTGGAGGCTGCAGTGAGCCGAGATTGCACCACCGCACTCCAGCCTGGGCGACAGAGCAAGACTCTGTCTCAAAAAAACCCAAAAAATTAACTCCATGTCAAGGACTTGAATGTGAAGAAAAACCTGTATAAATCATTTAGAAGAAAATATAGGAGAATTTTTTTACCTCAGGATAGAGTAAGATTTCTTAAACAAGATTCCATATCTTCTAACTATAAAATAAAAGATTAATAAACTTTAAAATTACAATGCAAATTAAAACAACAGTGAAATACGCTAATTTATGCCATCAAATTGGCTAAGATTTAAAAGTGTAGCAATAGCAAGATTCGAAGATTTGGAGAAACTGGAACTCTCATACATTGCTGCCAAAATGGAGGCGTTGCCCTTGGCCCAGCCCAGAGGGCACCTGCAGCCCCTGAGAACAGTGGATGCCATACACCTCTAACACCTGCATCTCTTGGCTTGAAGGCTTTATCTGGCTGCAGGAGGAGTCTTGGCTTATGTGAAAGGGAGGCTGAGGTACTAGAGAATTAGCACCCTCGGGAGCAGTTCATAATCAATGTGGGGTGGGAGTTGGTGGAAAATGCCCCAGCTTCCTTACTCCTTGGTAGGACAATTCCGATGTGTGCTTCTACCCATTCCCTTAGAGGGTACCCAACAGGATGGAGCCCCAGTTGCTCCCAGCTGTAACCCTCTCATTAATGGCTTTCTTCCCTTTTCTATCTCACTTTCCTACTCCCTCACCATATTTCTTGGACTCACCCTCAAGTAAGGTACTTGTGCTTATCGCGTTATCTCAGTCTGTTTAGATGAACTCTAAGACAGAGGTCTTGTGCAGCTTCAGCAAAGCCTTCTCTCAAGCCCCAGGCACAGCTCTTGCTACCTCCGCTATACTCCCTTTGCTCCAGCTCCTCGCCAGCCTCTGTCATACTGTCCTGGAGCCTTCCTAACTCCAGGTCTGACTGGCTCACTTTGAATAGTTCAAAGCTGATGCCCTGTTATTTGTCCCCCTTGCTCCCAACACACCACAACTGCTCACCGAATGCCTGCTAAATGGGCTGAATTGTTTAAAGTTCTTCTTACATTTTAACTGATAAATCATTACCTCCCAAGAAACCCTATACTACCCATAGGGTGAGTACTATTTACAGGTGCTAAAATCAGGACACATAAAGGTTGTGACAAAGTGAGAATAACTTTGTCCCCAGTTCAAACCAGAAATCAGCTAGGGAAAAAAAATCCAATAATTTGTTAGATTTATATATTAATTCTGACAGTTTGCCTTTTTAAAATTGTTTAATTATGTTAGGTGCTTTTAAGGGGTATAGATGAACTGGGGTAATTATTAATCCATTTCTGCTTATTAATAAAATGCAGCTGGGCACAGTCACTCACACCTGTAATCCCAGCACTTTGGGAGGCTGAGGCAGGCAGATCACTAGAGATCAGGAGTTCAAGACCAACCTGGCCAACATGGTGAAACCACAACTCTACTAAAGTACAAAAATTAGCCGGGTGTAGTGGTGAGCAGGGGAATCGCTTGAACCTGGGAGGCAGAGGTTGCAGTGAGCCAAGATGGCACCACTGCACTCCAGCCTGCGCAAACGAGTGAGATTCTGTTTCAAAAAAATAAAAAATAAAAAAATGCCTTGCTTGAAATGAACACAAACAGGTCAATTCTGGGCCACGGATATCTAAAGGGAAATATGTCCTATTGTTTTCAACATTGTGCCTTTGCGAGACAGGACAGGATGGTAGATAAGAGCATGGATTTTGAAGCCAGCCTGCCTCTGTCTTCATCTTGACTCTGTCATTACAGTCATGTGATCAGAAACAATTTACCTAATCCTTCTATTTTTCAGTTGCCTTAACTATAAAATGGAGGTAGTTACAGTACTTACTTCATATGGTCACTATTATAGAGATAGAGATGGGGATGGGAATGATGATGTTGCTGTTGTTTTTGGCCCATCGCTGCTAGCTTCTCGGTGCCATCCTTTTCCTCATGCTCCATCAGAGAGCATCCTGCTCCATGCCTGTCATTCCTGCTCTTCCTTCTTCCCTCAACCAGCCATGTGTTCAACCTCTTCCTCCTTCCTCACTACCTGGGTCCAGCCCAATATCTTTCTCCATCATTCACTTGTGCCCTCGTCTCTCCATCCCTCTCCCCACCTCCCTCTGCCTGTTTCATTTCTCTTCTCCAGTTTGAGGACATAACTATCTAGGAGAGGTATACTTGTAGTTCTCAGAATGAACGTTCAAGAAAGTACAATGGAATGATTAAGAAGCAAGACAAGGAAGAAGGGCTGGGTAAGTTGAAGGGGTGTGTAGAACAGGTGGGAAGGAGAGCTAGAAAGGTAAGGTGACCCCAGTGAATGGAATTCACTCTGAGTTTCTTGGAGGAAGAAGCACTAACCCCAACCCCTTTTCTCCCTAAGAGAGTGCATTTCCTGTCCTACCCAGGGCCTCAGGTGCATCTCTCATTCCAAGTGTCTGGAAGGAGTAACTGAATCAGAGGCATCTGTCTCTCTCACAGATAAAGGTAGCAGGTGTGTGGCTTCTGAAGAGAAGGTCTTGGGAAAGGAGCTGGGCTTCTCCAGTTTTCAACCTGCCCCAATCACGCAGTATCATCTTGGCTATATCTGGCAAGTGGGAGACCATTTCTTATCTAGAAAACACTGGTTCTCTGGATGTAGATCTCTTTCAGATTACAATCTCCTAGAATCACGCTTAAGTTCTCTTTGGCACTGCAATAGGAGAACGCATGAAACTGCTGCATAGGAGAAAACATAAACTGTGGTGTCAGAAAGACTTACATCTTATGTTCAATTTTCACCTCCGCCACTCACCGGCTGTATGACTTTGAGCAAGTCATTTAGCCTCTCTGCACCTCAGTTTCCTCATGGAGATTAATATATCCACCTAAAAGCTTTTAAAAAGAAATAGATAAGATGATACATGAAAGCTCCACAACAACATGAAGGCTGGAATTGTGCCAATTTGTTCATTATTGTGGTCCAATGCCTAGCACAGAGTATGCCCTCAATAAATATCTGTTATAATTGAATGAATAAGTAGGTACCTAACAAATTGTAGCCAGATATCCTTTTGTCCAGGCAGATGTTTGGTAAGAATTTGTGCTGATGGTAATGACACTCTGCCTTGACGTAGTCAGAAAAAAAAATCACTACATCAAATCCAGGGATAGTGGCACACTAATCTAATATGCTGGGGTATTGCATCGTGTCCCATAGGCTAAAAAGGGTTTGTGAATGAATATTTCAATAGTATTGCTTGCGCCCACTGATAAGTTTCACATGGTGCTTCTCAGACTTTAATGTGCCTCTGAATCACCTGGGGATCTTATTTAAATGCAAGTTCTGATTTAGTAGTTCCAGGTGAAGGCCTGAGAAGCTCCGAGGTGATGCTGAGACTGCAGGCTTGTGGACCTCCTTTTGGGCATCAAGGATCTAGGCAAAGGATCAACATTTTCCTGTAAGGAACCAGGTAGTAAATATTGTAGTCTTTGTGAACTGTATAATCTCTGTTGCAACTGCTCAACTCTGCCATTCTAGAACAAATGAGGCCATTGACAATATACAAATAACTGAGCATGGTTGTGTTCTAATGAAACCATGTTTCCAAAAACAAGGGGCAGACTGGATCTGGCCTGTGGGCCATAATTTGTCTCTTCCTGGTCTAATATATTTAAAATCAGTATACCATTCTTGTAATACACATCCATGAACTTGTCTCCTGAGCTCCTAATAATTGTACAGTATATGGTAATTTCCCTTATCTACAAATCCACCTTCCCCTACCCACAATCTATATGGTTCCAGGAACACAGCACCCATTGCCAAGTTCCTGTATGGAACTCGGACTCCAGACTCCAGCTGATTGGTGCCAAAGGGGCATCATTCACATTCCCTTCTGTAAAATATGCACCAGGGGCACTATTTCATAGAATGGCATCCTTTAGAGGTTTAGATGAATGGCACCCTTTAGAGTTGTGCAGCTTGGCTGAACTAGGCACCAGACTGAAGCTGGTTACTCATGGACTTTCCTCAACACTCTGGAATTGAGTCTGGGAGATTTCTGCCTCAGTCTACCTGTCTATCCTTTTATTTTGGTTTATTTATTTATTTTTGAGATTTGGTCTTGCTCTGTCACCCAGGCTGGAGTGCAGTGGCATGATCACAGCTCACTGCAGCCTCGATCCCCTGGGCTCCAGCAATTTTCCCACATCAGCCTCCTGAGTAGCTGGGACCACAGGTGTATGCCACCACGCCCAGCTAATTTTTGTATTTTTTGTAGAGACAGGGATCTCACCATGTTGTCCAGGCTGGTCTCTAACTCCTGGGCTCAAGTGATCTGCCTGCCTCAGCCTTCTAAAGTGCTGGGATTACAGGTGTGAGCCACCACGTCTGGCCTAGAGGCTTTTTTTTTTTTTTAAGCCAGTGGATTAGGATACAGAGAACACTAGTGTCAAGTTCACAACTACGCCAATTGTCATGCTGGGGTATGAGGGGAGTGGGTGGATGAGCAGAAAGAACACCCAGGGGGGCCATAAGCAGGTGAAAGATGATTTTATTCAGCAGCAGCTCTCATCAACAGCTCTCTCACACTGTCCGCCCTGTCTTGGCTGCTTAGTCCGGCGGCTCCCACACACAGCTGCGTGGCTGGCTCTCCCTTGCCTTCAGGGTCAGCAGCTAAACTCTCTCTGGGCACAAGCAAGCCAAGCTGTGTCCTGGCTCCCCTCTGTCTGTCTGCAAAGATGGACAGCTTTGACTCTCTTTCTCTTTCTCTTGGCTCCAGCATGCCTGTACAGTGTTATCAGGGCAATTATACCTTTTACAGACAATAGTGGCTTAGAGTCAAGGAATGGCCTTCCCATGTTATGGCTACATGGCTGTGATAACAAGTGGAGTTATACGCCTGCACTCTAAACTCGCTGAGTCACTCTGGATGTTTACCTTGGCCTATTTTTGACCAAAGCACAGCCGTATTCCTTACAGTTAGTAATGAGAAAGAATGAAGGAGAGAGAAAGAGTGAGAGCTGGCAAGAGGGCTTCCTAAGTTCTCTTTAGCACTGCAATCCTTGGCTCCAGGTTATTCCTGAGGTTCTACCACTTCCTAGCCCTGGAGTTTCATGAGATGACCTGTATCCTTATATAAATTCATTTTTCTTTTGCTTAAATCTAGTATAATTCTGTTGCATGCAAACCACAGTCCTAATGGCACTAGAAAACAATAAAAGAATACTTCAATAGAATTTAAATTTGGTAGGATTTTTTGAAAAATCAATTTGTAGAATGTTGCAGGAGCATATATTTTTGTTTGAAGCTGGATGGCCCTGACAATAGAATATGTGAAATTTCATAAATATTAAATTACATCTGTATTCTAATAATCTACATAGTAATAAATCATGTCAGTTGTACAGGACCTCCTAGTCCCTTGCTTTGGGTTAGGTTTCAGTGGCAGAGGGAAAAAAAAATTACTACTCCTTTGTACAGAAATGGATTTATTGTGGCCGGGCACAGTGGCTCACGCCTGTAATTTCAACACTTTAGGAGGCCAAGGTGGGTGGATCGCCTGAGGTCAGGAGTTCGAGACCAGCCTGGCCAACATAGTGAAACCCCATCTCTACTAAAAATACAACAAATTAGCTGGGCATGGTGGTGGGCACCTGTAATCCCAGCTACTTGGGAGGCTGAGGCAGGAGAATCACTTGAACCCCAGGAGGTGGAGGTTGCAGTGAGCCGAGATCACATCATTGCACTCCAGCCTGGGCAAAAAGAGCAAAATTCCGTCTCAAAAAAAAAAAAAAAAAAGAAATGGATGTAATGCAAGATATTAAATGGCTTACAGTATGATTAGATGGGCTGGAGAAACTGTAGGCCAGTCTTCCAGAAACAACTCTCAAAGCCACACTCTAGAGCTGAGCTGTAAAGGAAGCTGCTGCTCCCACTAAGAATAGTAAACTACCAGCTGAATCAGGGATTAACACCCAGTAGCCACCAACTTTCTGAAATCATGCCACCTCTTCCACTTCAGGAAGCTCCTGCCAAATTAGGGAGCCATCACTTGCACTTCCAGGTCCAGACCAAACAGCTCTATGACCATTGGGACCAGAAAGATGGATTCCTAAAACTCTCTCCTGGAACCATATAGATTGTGGGTAGGGGAAGGTGAGTCTGCAGGTAGGGGAAATTACCATATACTGTATGAGGGAATTATTAGGAGCCCAGTTCCTTTTCAGGTCCCATGTGAATGCATTTGTTTGAAGGAACCTAAGTCTCATTTAGAACTCTAACAGTAAAGGAACCTGGGAAACGTAGTTTAACTTTTCAGTCTCTGCATTTCAGAAAGTCACACCATAATGACATTGGAAGAGATGATGAATGAGCTGGTCACAGAATAAGCCATATCCTAATTTACCACACAGTTGTAAAACAAAAATTATATTTTTGTGAAGAAAATGTAAACACGAGCAAACAAGCAATAATACAGTAGTTCACTGTACTTGTTAGATTAATGCTGCATAATTCAGACTTTCTCTGTTTCTACCAGTGTTAGTTGTACATTCATTCCTACTTAGGCAACTGGAATAGAATTTAACATCTGAATGATTATGATAAGTACAGAGATTTATTCACTCACTTGTTTATTCAATAATATTTTTGAGTGTCTGCTGTGTGTGTATCAGGCATTACTTCTGTGCTGGATTACAACAGGGAATAATGAATATTACATCTCACCAGGTCAAGTGATATGATTTGGCTGTGTCCCCACCCAGATCTCAACTTGAATTGTATCTCCCAGAATTCCCACATGTTGTGGGAGGAACCCAGGGGAGGTAATTGAATCACGAGGGTCAGTCTTTCCCATGCTATTCCCGTGATAGTGAATAAGTCTAACGAGATCTGATGGGTTTATCAGGGGTTTCTGCTTTTCCTTCTTCCTCATTTTCTCTTGCTGCTGCCATGTAAGAAGTGCTTTTCGCCTTCCATCATGATTCTGAGGCCTCCCCAGCCATGTGGGACTATAAGTCCAATTAAGCCTCTTTTTCTTCCCAGTCTCGGGTATGTCTTTATCAGCAGCATGAAAATGGACTAATACAGTAGATTGGTACCAGTAGAGTGGGGTGTTACTGAAAAGATACCCGAAAATGTGGAAGCGACTTTGGAACTGGGTAACAGGCAGAGATTGGAACAGTTTGAAGGGCTCAGAAGAAGACAGGAAAATGTGGGAAAGTTTGAAACTCCCTAGAGACTTGTTGAATGGCTTTATCCAAAATCTGATTGTGATATGAACAATAAAATCCAGGCTGAGTTGGTCTCAGATGGAGATGAGGAACTTGTTGGGAACTGGAGCAAAGGCAACTCTTGTTATGTTTTAGCAAGGAGACTGGTGGCATTTTGCCCCTGCCCTAGAGATTTGTGGAACTTTGAACTTAAGAGAGATGATTTAGGGTATCTGGTGGAAGAAATTTCTTTCTGTTTTGTTTTGTTTTGTTTTGTTTGAGACAGAGTCTAGCTTTGTCGCCTAGGCTGGAGTGCAGTAGTGCAATCTCAGCTCACAGCAACCTCCACCTCCCAGGTTCAAGCGATTGTCTTGCCTCAGCCTCCCGAATAGCTGGGATTACAGACACCCGCCACCATACCCAGCTAATTTTTTTTTGTATTTTTAGTAAAGACAGGGTTTCACCATGTTGGTCAGGCTGGTCTCGAACTCCTGACCTCAAGTGATCCACCTGCCTCGGCCTCCGAAAGTTTTGGGATTACAGGCGTGAGCCACCACGCCAGGCCAGGCAGAAGAAATTTCTAAGTAGCAAAGCCTTCAAGAGGTGATTTGGGTGCTGTTAAACACATTCAGTTTTATAAGGGAAGCAGAGCATAAGAGTTTGGAAAATTTGCAGCCTGACTATGCGACAGAAAAGAAAAATCCATTTTCTGGGGAGAACTTCAAACCAGCTGCAGAAATTTGCATAAGTAGCAAGGAGCCTAATGTTAATCCCCAAGACCGTGGGGAAAACATCTCCAGGCCATGTCAGAGACCTTCATGGCAGCCCTGCCAACACAGGCCCAGAGACCACTCAGGAGGAAAAAGTGGTTTCAAGGACCAGGCCCAGGATCCTAGTGCTGTGTGCAGTCTAGGGACTTGGTGCCTATGTCCCAGCCACTCCAGCCATGGCTGAAAGGGGCCAATGTATGGCTTCAGCTGTGGCTTCAGAGGGTGAAATCCCCAAGCCTTGGCAGCTTCCACGTGGTGTTGAGCCTGCGGGTGCATGGAAGTTAAGAACTGAGGTTTGGGAACCTCCACCTAGATTTCAGAAGATGTATGGAAACACTTGGATGCCCAGACAAACATTTGCTGCAGGGGCGGGACCCTCATGGAGAGACTCTGCTAGGGCAGTGCAGAAGGGAAATGTGGGGTTGGAGCCCCCACACAGAGTCCCTACTGGGGGCACTGCCTAGTGGAGCTGTGAGAAGAGGGCCACCATCCTCCAGACCCCAGAATGGTAGATCCACTGGTAGCTTTCACTGTGCATCTGGAAAAACCGCAGACACTCAATGCCAGCCCATGAAAGCAGCTTGGGAGAGAGGCTGTACCCTGCAAAGCCACAGGGGCAGAGCTGCCCAAGACCATGGGAACACACCTCTTGCATCAGTGTGACTTGGATGTGGACATGGAGTCAAAGGAGATCATTTTGGAGCTTTAAGATTTGACTGCCCTGCTGGATTTTGGACTTGCATGGGCCCTGTAACCCCTTTGTTTTGGCCAAGTTCTCCCATTTGGAACAGCTGTATTTACCTAATACCTGTACCCCCATTGTATCTAGGAAGTAACTAGTTTGCTTTTGATTTTACAGGCTCATAGGTGGAAGGACTTGCCTTGTCTCGGATGAGACTTTGGACTGTGAACTTTTAGGTTAATGCTGAAATGAGTTAAGACTTTGGGGGATTGTTGGGAAGGCATGATTGGTTTTGTAACATGAAGACGTGAAATTTGGAGGGGCCAGGGTTGGAATGATAAGGTTTTGCTGTGTCCGCACCCAAATTTCAACTTGAATTGTATCTCCCAGAATTCCCCGTGTTGGGGGAGGGACCCAGGGGAGGTAATTGAATCACAGGGGTTGGCCTTTTCCATGCCATTCTCATGATAGTGAATAAGTCTCACAAGATCTGATGGGTTTAACCGGGGTTTCCACTTTTGCTTCTTCCTCATTTTCTCTTGCTGCCACTGTGTAAAGAAGTGCCTTTCACCTCCCACCATGATTCTGAGGCCTCCCCAGCCATGTGGAACTATAAGTCCGATTAAACCTCTTTTTCCTCTCAGCCTTATGTCTTTATCAGCAGCATAAAAACAGACTAATACATTAAGATTCCTTGTGAAAATTCTCTTTATCCTCTATGAAACTGAAAGGATTCAGAGGGTACTGTTGACAGAGACAAAGACAAAGCAGTTGCAGTGGTTGATTACCCTTAAATATTTGGCTTTTTTAACCCAAAAAGTACAAACTTTTGGTTAAAGCATGTAATAAAATGTAAATCAACTACTGCCTTAAAGATTGGGTAAAAATCTACATTTAAGATTTTTTTTTAAAAAAAAAAAACCTTTCTTGACCAAAATTTCATCATGATTTCATGATCCATAAGCGTTGTGCCTTGTATGCCAACTAATCTTTGGCGGTGGATAGTGGAAGTACATGTATAATTAATCTTTCCTCATATTGAAATCACTCAACCAACACAGTCTTTCTAGGATTAGATATTTGTGCTATCTTGTTTGTGTTTTTACTCCAATTTGTATGGTTGAGAAAGTCCATAAAGTACAGAGAAAATGTAAAAGAAAATTTCAGGCACCTGTTGGAATTATTACTAATGTAATTCCTGATTTATTCCTGCTATGGTTTCAATGTGTCCCCCAAAGTTCATGTGTTATAAAATTAATCTTTAAGGCCAGGCACGGTGGCTCATGCTTGTAATCCCAGCACTTTGGGAGGCCAAGGCGGGAGGATCACCTGAGGTCAGGAGTTTGAAATCGGCCTGACCAATATGATGAAACCCTGTCTCCACTAAAAATTCAAAAATTAGCCAGGAATGGTGGCATACACCTGTAATCCCCGCTAATTGGGAGGCTGAGACAGGAGAATTGCTTGAACCCAGGAGGCAGAGTTTGCAGTGAGCTGAGATCGTGCCACTGCACTCCAGCCTGGGCAACAAGAGTGAAACTCTGTCTCAAAAAAAAAAATTTAAGGCAACAGTCTTGGGAAGTGGGGCCTGATAAGAGGTGATTAGTTTCTGAGAGCTCTGCTGTCGTCAATGGATTAATGTCATTATCACAGGAGTAGGTTAGTTATCATGATAGTGGGTTGCTATAAAAGCGAGTTTGGCCACTTCTTGTTCTCTTGCTCTCACACGCCCTCTCTTGCCTTTCCACTTTTCACCATGAGATGATGCAGCAAAAAGGCCCTCACCAGAGGCAGACCCTCAATGTTGGACTTCACAGCCTCCAGAACTTTAAGAAATAAATTTCTGTTCTTTTAAAATTACCCAGTCTGGGCTGGGCATGGTATCTCACACCTGTAATCCCAGCACTTTGGGAGGCTGAGGCTGGCAGATTGCTTGAACCCAAGAGTTTAAGACCAGCCTGGGCAACATGGCAAAATTCCATCTCTACAAAAAATACAAAAATCAGCCAGGTATGGTGGCATGCACCTGTGGATCCAGCTACTCGGGAGGCTCAGGTGGGAGGATCACTTGAGCCCAGGAGGTTGAGGCTGCAGTGAGCTGTGATCATGCCACTGTATTCCAGCCTGGGCAACAGAGTGAGACTCTGTCTCAAATAAAATAAAATAAAATAAAATAAATAAAATAAAATAAAATAAAATAAAATAAAATAAAATAAAATAACCCAGTCTGTGGTATTCTGGGATAACAACACAAAATGCATGAAGGTAATGCCAACCAAAAGAAAACAAAAAATTGTTCATGAATATGCTGATTTGTTCATTCAGTATTAATTGCAAAATATTTTATGGTTAGTTATCCATTGCTACATAACAAATTATCCCAGAACTTAGAGACTTAAGACAACAACAATCATTTATTATCTCTCACAGGATATAACTTGGTGTGGTGGTTCTGGCTGAGAATCCCTTGTGAGGTTACAGTTCAGATGTCAACCAGAACTGCAGCTATCTGAAAGCTTGACTGGGGCTGGAGAATCCACTTTCAAGGTAGCTTTCTCCCATCACTAGCAAGTGGTTGCTGGCTGTTTGTGGGAGGCCTCAATTCCTCTCCAGGTATCAACTAGAGAGGAATTGAGGCCTCCCACAGAATCTAGCTAATTCTTAGCGAGAGCCACCATACCAAGTTATATCTTATGAGAAAGAATAAATGATTATTGTTGTTTTAAGCCTCTAAGTTCTGGGGAAATTTGTTATGTAGCAATAGATGACTAATAATAAAATAGTTTTGCAATGAATGCTGAATGAATGAATTAGCATATTTATGAACAATTTTTTGTTTGTTTTCTTTTGGTTTGTCATTGTCTTAATCCATTTTGCGTTGCTATGACAGAATACCACAGGGGCGTTCTGGTTTTCCTCAGTGACCTCACAGCATGGTATGGCTTCCCCTGAATGAGTGATCCAAGAGTGAGAAAAATGCAGGGAGGAAGCTGTATCTTCTTTAACCCAGCCTCAGAAGTCACACACAGTCACTTCCACCACAGTCTATTTGTTAGAAGGAAGTCACTAAGTCTGGCCTTACATTCACGAGGAGGAAAAATAGACATCTGCCTTTGAAAAAAAGTGTTGGGCCAGGCACGGTGGGTGGCTCACGCCTGTAATCTTAGCACTTTAGGAGGCTGAGGCGGATGGATAATGAGGTCAGGAGTTCAAGACCAGCCTGGCCAACATAGTGAAACCTCATCTCTACTAAAAATACAAAAAACAAAAACAAAAACAAAAAACAATTAGCCAGACATGGTGGCAGGCACCTGTAATCCCAGCTACTTGGGAAGCTGAGAAAAGGAGAATTGCCTGAACTCAGGAGGCAGAGGCTACAGTGAGCCGAGATGGCACCATTGCACTCCAACCCTGGGAGACAGTGTAAGACTCTGTCTCAAAAAAAAAAAAAAAGTGTTAAAACATTTGTAGACTTTTTTTTTTTTTTTTTTTTTGAGACAGGGTCTCAGTCTGTTGCCTGGGCTGGAGTGCAGTATGGCACAATACAAAAATTAGCCAGGCATGGTAGCGTGTGTCATGAGGCTCACTGCTGCCTCAACTTCCTGGGCTCAAGTGATTCTCCTAACTCAGCCTTTTGGGTAGCTGGGACTACAAGCATGTACCACCATACCTGGCTAATTTTTGTATTTTTGGTAAAGATGAGGGTCTTGCTATGTTGCCTAAGCTGGTCTTGAACTCCTGGGCTCAAGCAATCCTCCTGCCTTGGCCTCCCAAAGTGCTGGGATTACAAGCGTGGGCCACTGTGCCTGGCCTGTGGACATTTTTTAACTACCACAACTATTTTGTGTAAGTACTGGGATAAATGCTGGGAGACCCGGTATATAAAACAGGCATGGTCCCTCTGAAACTTACAGACAAGAAAGAGGAGAGAGGCTTTAATCAAATGAACACACAAATAAATGTAAAATTACAACTGTGATAAGTTCTTGAAGGAATGATACACAATGTGATGAGAGAGAATGGTGGGGGATCTAGGGTATATCCAAAGAAGTGATGTTTTAGTCAAGATCCGAAGGAAGACTAAGGGCATCCCAGGCAGAGAGCATGTGCCTCCTATGGTAGGGAAGAACGTGGCATGATGGAGGGTCTAAAAGGAGGCTATTGGGTCTGCAGCAGAGTGCAATGAAGACTGGAGAGGGAGGCAGGGACCCCCCACAAACTGGGCCCTGGGTCTGAGTGACCATGTGACCCTGGGACAGATGCTCTGGGCCACCTAACCCCCTCTTTTTATATTGCACCCACATATGAAGCTGCAGGAGTCCAGTACCCTGTTGTTACCAAATCACTACAGGAAGACTCTCAGCCACACCTGGCCTGTGTGTACCTCTTTCACCAAGGAATGCTTAAGATAAATTCCACCCAAAGGTGTCACCTTACCTTTCTAACTCTCCTTGTAACTCTCTACCTGTTCTATACATCCTCTCAACTGACCCAGCCTCCTTCTTTGTTTTGGTCCCCAATCATTCTTCTGTATCTTCTTGAACTTCCACTCTAAGACCTACAAACTCCCTCAGATACCTACATCCCCAAGGTTTTCTTAGAGTGGAACCTGCACTTCTATCTAAACAAAAATCTGGAGATGATTCTGGGCAGTTGGCAGAGTAGGAAGAACCAAGAATATATCTCCCCACCTAGACAACAATTGCACTGTCAGATTCTGTCTGATGTAACAGTTTTGGAAATCCAGAGTCTATTGAAAGCTTGCAACTTCCAGGGGAAGACTTGGTGATAAATTGTAGTTAATTTCAGTAAATTTCAACTGTTACCACAGGAGCAGCTACCCATCTCCCACCAACAAGGAGAATGATATGATGTGTTCCTGGAGCAACCTGCACATAGCTTGTGGGAGCCAGGATGGCTCTGTTCTCCAAATATCAGGGATCTGTGCTCTGATTGCTGATTACTGCTTCTGGTAACAGAAGTGCAGAGAGTCAAAGGGCCATTGTTGTTGCACCTCCCTCCATTGCCACAAGTCCCTCCTCTATAGTTGAAGTGACTTCCTGGGGATTTAAAGGCCCAGGATCCTTTTCTTCTCTCTTTCATTTTTTCCCCTTTTGGGAGCCAGACACTGAAGACTAGGACATTAAAAAACAATTGCATATAAAGTGGTTTTTGTATGTTAAAATATATAAATTAAAATTTAAAAGTATACATGCCTAGGAAAAGGTGCAGTTTCAGAAAAGACCTGAGAAGACCTTAAGTTTTCATCTCAGGCTGATCTTTGGCACAAACACTGCATATAAAATTTAAAAAATAAATAAATAAACAAAAACAATCACAAATGCCAGCAAACCCTGAGGAGAATCTGATTTCCAGAGTTTCCACATTAGATGCAAATGTCCAGTTTTCAACAATAAAATCACAAAACATTTTTTAAAAGCCAGGAAAATATGGCCCAAAGGAAAAAATAAATCAACAGAAACTGTCCCCGAAAAAGACTTAATGGGTGATGTACTAGAGAAAGACTTTATTTTATTTTATTAGAGATAGGGTCTCATTGTCTGTCACCCAGACCACAGTGCAGTGGCCCTTATTTTTTTATTTTTATTTTTATTGCGGAGACAGAGTGTTGCTATGTTGTCCAGGCTGGTCTCAAACTCCTGGCCTCAAGTGATCCTCCTGCCTCAGCTCCCAAGGTGCTAGGATTATAGGCATGATCCACCGCACCCCACCTGTAGTGGATCTTCACAGGTGTGATCACAGTGCGCTACAGCCTTGAACTCCTGGGCTCAAGTGATTCTCCCTCTTCAGCCTCCTGAGTAGCTCGAATTACAAGTATGAGCCACTGTGCTGGCAAGAAAGACTTTAAAACAACAGTTTTAAATATGTTCAAAGAACTAAAGGAAGATGTGGAGAAAGCCAATAAAACAATGTATGAACAAAATAGTAATATAAATAGATTTTTTTTAATCTACAAAAAGTAAATTATGAAGCTTAAAAGTGCAATAACTGAAATGAAAAATTCATTAGAGGAATTCAAAGGCAGATTTAAGCAGGCAGAAGAGTCAGTGAACTGAAGGTGGGACAATGAAAATTAGTGAGTCTGGAAAACAGAAAAAAAAAGAAAAGTTGAAGGAAAGTGAACAAAGCCTAAGGGAACTCTGGGACACCATGAAGCTGACCAGCATACATATTGTGGGATTCTCAGAAGAAGAAGAGAGAGAAAGGGAGAAGGAGAGAATATTTGAATAAACAATGACAAAAAACATCCCAAATTTGATTAAAGACATGAATGTAAACATCCAAGAAGCTCAATGATATCCTAGTAAGATGCATTCAAGGAGACCCACACTGAGACATTATAATCAAAATTTCAACAGCCAAATACAAAATGAGAATCCTGAAACAGCAAGAAACAGCTCATCACAGGGGATCCTCAATAAGGTTATCAGCACATATTTCATTAGAAACTTCAGAGGCCAGAAGGCAGTGGACTGATATATTCAAGGTGCTAAAAGAAAAGAACTGTACACCAATAATTCTATATCTGTCAAAACTGTCCTTCAGCCAAGCATGGTGGCTCATGCCTGTAATCTTAACACTTTGGGAGGCTGAGGTGGGCAGATCACCTGAGGTCAGGAGTTCGAGACCAGCCTAGCCAATACGGTGAAACCCCATCTCTACTAAAAATACAAAAATTAGCTGGCTGTAGTAGCGGGTGCCTATAATCCCAGCTACTTGGGAGGCTGAGACAGGAGAATTGCTTGAACCTGGGGGGCAGAGGTTACAGCAAGCTGAGATCATGCCCCTTCACTCCAGCCTGGGCAAAAGAGCAAAACTACGTCTCAAAACAAACAAACAAACAAACTGTCCTTCAAAAGTGAGGGAGAAATTAAGATATTCCTAGATGAACAAAAGCTGAGGGAGTTAATTACCACTAGACCAGCCTTGCCAGAAATGCTTAAGGGAGTCCTGCAAGGTGAAATGAAGAAACACTAGACAATAACTTGAAGGTATATGAAGAAATAAATACTTCATTAAAAGTAAATATGTAGGCAATTATAACAAGCTAGTATTATTGTAACAATAGTTCATAACTCCACTTTTTGTTTTCTTTATTTTTTAAATTAAAGATGAGGTTTCTCTCTGTTGTCCAGGCTGGAGTACAGTAGTGTGATCACAGCTCACTGCAGTCTTGACCTCCTAGGTTCAAGTCAATCTCCTATCTCAGCCTTTCAAGTAGCTGAGACTACAGGTATGTGCCATCATACCCACCTAATTTTTATTTTTTATTTTTTAGTAGAGATAAGGTATCACTGTGTTGCCCAGGCTGGTCTCAAACTCCTGGACTCAAGCAATTCTCCCACCTTGGCCTCCCAAAGTACTGGGATTACCGGTGTAAGTGACTGCACCTGGCCAAAACTTTTTGTTTCCTACACAATTTAAGAAACTAATACATTAAAAAACAATTAGTCCAGGCCAGGCATGGTGGCTCATGCCTGTAATCCCAGCACTTTGGGAGGCCAAGGTGGGTGGATCACTTGAGGTCAGGAGTTCAAGACCAGCCTGGCCAATATAGTGAAAACCTGTCTCTACTAAAAAAAAATTAGCCAGGCATGGTAGCATGTGCCTGTAGTTCCAGCTACTTGGGAGGCTGAGGCAGGAGAATCACTTGAACTTGGGAGGTGGAGGTTGCAGTGAGCAGAGATCACAGCATTGAACTCCAGCCTAGGCAACCGAGCAAGACTCCGTCTTAAAAAATAATAATAATAATTAGTCTAAAGGCTAGTATTATTGTAGTTTTGGTTTGTAACTCTACATTTTGTTTTCTACATAATTTAACAGATAAATGCATTTAAAAATGATTATGTTTTGGGGCATAAGGATATAAAGATGTAATTTTGTGGAATCAGTAACTGAAAAGAGTGGGGGAAAAGCTGTAAAGGAGCAGAGTTTTTGTGTGTTATTGAGGCTAAGCTAGTGCAAAATCAAATTAGAGTGTTATTACATTAAGATGTTAAATATAATCCCCATGGTAAGAAAAAAGTCATAGAATATACAGAAAAGCAGGCCAGGTATGGTGGCTCATGCTTGTAATCCCAATGACTTGGAAGGCTGAGGCAAGAAGATCACTTGAGCCCAGGAGTTTGAGGTTACAGTGAGCTATGATCATGCCACTGCTCTCCAGCCTGAGTGACAGAGCAAGACTCTGTTTCTAAAACAAAATAAAACAATTAAAAACCACATGATTCAACTATATGCTGTCTACAAGAAACTCACTTTGGATCCAAAGACACACACAAATGGAAAGTGAAAGGATGGAAAAGATATTCCAAGCAAATAGTAACCAAAAGAGACAAAACAAATACCAGACAATATAGACTTTATTATTAATACTATTATTAGTTTGAGACTGTATCTTGCTTTGTCACCCAAGGTTGGAGTACAGTGGCATGATCATAGCTCACTGTAACCTCAAACTCCTAGGTTCAAGTGCTCCTCCCACCTCAGCCTCCCTAATAGCTAGGATAGGTGCATGCCACCATGACTGGCTAACTTTTTAAAAACATTTTGTCTCTAGAAAAACAACAATGAAAATTAGCCAGGCATGGTAGCATGTGCCTATAGTTCCAGCTATTTGGGAGGCTGAAGTGGGAGGATGACTTGAGTCCGGGAAGCAGAGGTTGCAGTGAGCCAAGATGGTGCCACTACATTCCAGAGGGGTGACAGAGTGAGACCCTGTCTCAAAAAGAAAGAAAGAAGAAAAAGAAAGAAAGAAAGAAAGAAAGAAAGAAAGAAAGAAAGAAAGAAAGAAGGAAAGAAAGAAAATCCCTAGATATAATGGCTTCACTGGTTAATTCTACCACATATTTAAAGAAGAACTAATATCAGTGCTTCTCAAACTTTCATTAAAAATTCAGGGTGAAGGAATACTTCCTAACTCATCCTATGAGGCCAGCATTACCCAGATACCAAAATTAGATAAAGACATCACAAAAAAAAAACACCACAGACCAATATCCCTTATGAATATTGACACAGAAATTCTCAACAAAATACCAGTGAACCAAATTCAGCCACATATTAAAGGGATTATGTAACAGAAACAAATGGAATTTATTCCTGGAATGCTAGGATGGTTGAACATATGAAAATTGAAAAATGTTATATACCACACTAACAGAATGAAGGGAAGTAAAATACATGATCTGCTCAATTGATGCAGAGAAAACAACAGACAAAATTTGATACCCTTTCACGATAAAAAGCACTTGAAAAACTAAGAATGAAGGAAAACTACATCAACATAATTAAAACCATATATGAAAAACCCACAGGAAATAGCATACTCAGTGGAAAAAGACTGAAAGCTTTTCCTCTAAGATCAGGAACAAGACAAGATTCCCACTTTTTTTTTTTTCCAGATCTGCAGCAGGAAGGGATGCCCACTTTCACCATGTCTGTTTCACCACTTCTTTTCAGCATAATGGTGGAAGTTCTAGCCAGAGCAATTAGGCAAGAAAAAGAAAACGCATCCAAATTGGACAAGAGGAGTAAAATCATCTGTTTGCAAATAATGTGATTTTATATGTAGAAAACCCTAAAGATTTCACAAAAAACTGTTAGAACTAATAAATGAATCAACAAAGTAGCAGGATATACAGTCAATATGCAAAAGCACTTGCATTTCTATACACTGACAGTGAATAATCTGAAAAGGAAACTGGAAACAATTCCGTTTACAATGCTTAGGAACTAAGTTAACCAAAGGAGTGAAAGATTTATACAATGAAAACAGCAAAACATTGCTGAAAGAAATTAAAGAAGTTATAAATGGAAACACATCACGTGTTCACGTATTGGAAGACTTAATATTGTTAAATTTTCTGTACTACCCAAAGCAATCTACAGATTCAATGCAATCCTTATCAAAATCCCAATGACATTTTTAAATAGAAAAATGCATTTTAAAACTAATATAGGGGCCGGGTACAGTGGCTCATTCCTGTAATCATAGCACTTTGGAAGGCCAAGAGGGGAGAACCTCTTGAGGTGAGAAATTTGAGGCTGCAGTGAGCTATGATTGTGCCGCTGCATTCCAGCCTAGGTGTAGTGGCACAATCGTAGCTCACTGCAGACTCAAAGTGGCACAGCCATTATATCTAGGGATTTTCTTTCTTCCTTTTCTTTTTTCTTTTTTTTTTTTTTTTTTGTTGTTTTTTGAGACAGAGTCTCCCCTGTCTTCACTCTGGAGTGCAGTGGCACCATCTTGGCTCACTGCAACCTCCGCTTCCCAGGCTCAAGCTATCCTCCCACCCCTGTCTCTTAAGTAGCTTACAACAGAGCAAGACTCTGTCCATGAAAATATAAATAAATGGCTGGGTACGGTGGCTCACGCCTGTAATCCCAGCACTTTGGGAGGCCAAGGAGGATGGATCACCTGAGGTTAGGAGTTCAAGACCAGCCTGGCTAATGGGGCAAAATTCCATCTCTACTAAAAATACAAAAGTTAGCCAGGTGTGGTGGTGCGCACCTGTAGTCCCAGCTACTTGGGAGGTTGAGACAGGAGAATTGCTGAACCCAGGAGGCAGAGGTTGCAGTGAGCCGAGATCACGCCACTGCATCCCAGCCTGGGTGACAGAGTGAGACTCCGCCTCAAAAAAAATAAAAAATAAAATAAATAAATAAAAATTTTTAAAAATTCAGGCCAGAAGTGATGGCTTACACCTGTAATCCCAGCACTTTGGGAAGCTGAAGTGGGAGGATCACTGGAGGCCAAGAATTCAAAACCAGACTGGGCAACATAATGAGACTCTGTCTCCACAAAAAAACAAATACAAAATTAGCTGGGCATGGTGGTGGGTGTCTGTGGTCCCAGCTACTCTGGAGGCTGAAGTAGGAGGATCACTTGAGCCCAGGAGTTTGAGACTGCAGTGAGCCATGATCATGCTACTGCACTCCTGCTTGTGTTACAAAGCAAGACACAGTGTCAAAAAAAAAAAAA
The DNA here is from genome assembly GCF_000001405.40 of Homo sapiens. Classification (NCBI taxonomy): domain Eukaryota; kingdom Metazoa; phylum Chordata; class Mammalia; order Primates; family Hominidae; genus Homo; species Homo sapiens. The sequence continues at coordinate 45,281,276 of NC_000001.11, forward strand.
AAAAATTACTCAAGCCCTGTCCCACACAATGTGGAAGTCTGTGCTAAAAAACTTTGTGTTTTGTATATTCCTTGGAAAAATCTCGTGTTCCCCTTATCTCTGCTTCTCCTGTTCTCCAGCTCATGATGACTTCTCTATTTGACCTAAGGTTCTTCCTTGGACCTTCCCATCTTCTCATTTATTCTCCTCACTGACCCCCTCTCTCCAACTTTCTCAGGCCTATTCCCCCAGGCTGCCCCAAACTCCAAATTCCTCTCACTTCTTCCTTTCTTGAGCAGAGCAATTCTGCTCTCTTTATCTCATACCTCCCCCTCCCTTCCTTACCCCTCCCAAGAATCACTGGCTGTTTCCTCAATAAAAAGAACCACCTGGCCAGGCGCGGTGGCTCACGCCTGTAATCCCAGCACTTTGGGAGGCTGAGGTGGGTGGATCACTTGAGGTCAGGAGTTCAAGACCAGCCTGACCAACATGGTGAAACTCCATCTCTACTAAAAATACAAAATTATCTGGGCGTGGTGGCGCATGCCTGTAATCCCAGCTACTCGGGAGGCGGAGGCACGAGAATAGCTTGAACCCTGGAGGTGGAGGTTGCAGTGAGTGAGATCATGCCATTGCACTCCAGCCTCGGCAACAAGAGCGAAAAAACAAACAAAAAAGAACCACCTATCCGTGCTGCGAATGTTGTCCCTTCCCTGGAAGTGATAATAAGCCAGGAATTATCTTTCTGAAGAGCAACATTTTTCCTTCCCACTATTACATAGAGAAAATCATTCCTTTACCATCACCATCTGCCCATCCTCTGTGCCTCTCCATACACTGTTCCCTCTGCCTGGAACACCCCACACAATCCCCAGCACCGTCACTTGGCCCATCCATCATACGAAACTTCAAGTCTCCCTCAAACATTACGATCCCCAGCACCTCTTACATTTGCTGACTGAATAAATAAGTAAATTATGTCTTCTCAACTCTCAAATACAAACAGCATTCATCTCTGCAAAAAATCTTCAGCAAAAATAAAGCAAAATTGGCTCAGATTTAATCTCACGGGCCTCAAATTTTGAGCTACCCTTATCAGTAGTTTCTCCTCCTGCTGCTTTATTTCTAGAATTGTTATTAGCTCCTCCAAGGTGAAAGTTAGCCAAGACTGGATCATACTTCCCTTTCCTTCCTCATGTTCATTAACTCCTTTAATTCCTGTATTTCCAGGATGGAGCACGCTGCTTGTCAGAAACACAGCTGTTTCCCTGTGGTCTCTGTACCATTTTGTAAGACCTTTTTGGCATTTTGGCATTTGCTCAACATTTGTGGGTTTGCTTTCCTTCCTTTGCAAGTGAAATAGCTTCAATAGTAGCTAATAGCTAACAACACAATTCTTCTGATTTCTTAAAAATTATACTCTAGATCATTTGGAAAAGAGCTGCTTTCACATCGTAAGTAGCAAATTTAGAGAAAGGAATGCTCACATTTATCGAGATGTGGTCTTAAGGTAAAAACAGGTAACTATGCACTATGGCACTAATACTTTAATAATTATTTGTGTTGTTGATTCTAATGCTATTTTCCCATAGCATTCCCATATACATTGCAGATTAGCAAAGTAAATATTTCATCAGCCCCAATCTTCTAGAAAATGTCATATGTTTAACCCCTAACATATTGGTCATTTTTGTTGTTTCCCTTTTCAGTATTTTATAAAAAACATTTTGAAGTGTTTTCACAAAGTTTACAATTTCCTTTTTCTTTTCTTTTCTTTCTTTCTTTTTCTTTCTTTCTTTCTTTCTTTCTTTCTTTCTTTCTTTCTTTCTTTTTCTCCTTCCTTCCTTCCTCTCTCTCTTTCTTTCTTTCTTCTTTCTTTCTTTTTTTGATTTTGAGATAGGGTTTCCCTCTGTTACCCAAGCTAGAGTGCTGCGATCATAGCTCACTGCAACCTTGAACTCCTGGGCTCTAGTGATGCTCCTGCCTCAGCCTCCTGAGTAGCTAGGACTACAGACACATGCCACCATGTCTGACAAATTTTTTAAATTTTTTTTTGTAGAGGCCAGGCACTGTGGCTCACGCCTGTAATCATAGCACTTTGGGAGGTCTATGCAGGCAGCTCACTTGAGGTCAGGAGTCTGAGACCAGCCTGGCCAACATGGTAAAACCGTGTCTCTACTAAAAATACAAAAATTAGCTGGGCATGGTAGTGTGTGCCTGTAATCCCAGCTATTTGGGAGGCTGAGGCAGGAGAATCGCTTGAATCTGGGAGGTGGAGTTTGCAGTGAGCTGAGATGGCGCCACTGCACTCCAGCCTGGGCAACAGAGCGAGACTGCATCTAAAAAAAAAAAAGGGGGGGTTGTGTTTTATAGAGACAGGGTCTCACTATGTTGCCCAAGCTGGTCTCAAACTCCTGGCTTCAAGCGATCTTCCCACCTCAGTCTCCCAAAGTTCTGGGATTACAGGCAACAGCCACTGTGCCCAGACTCCTTTGCCCATTTTTAAATTTAGTTATTGTTTTCTCACTATTAGGTTGTATGAGTACATGTTCTTTAATTTTTTTCCCTTGCAAATCAACACAGAATGAACTGAATAAACACCAATGGGCATCCAAATTAGCATGAAGAGTCAGCATTTTCAGCATAACTTAATGGTGGCTATTGGATCTCAATTGTAATAAATTTATAAAATATGCATTTTGTCACCACTATCAGCAACTTCATTTTTCCATTTCCCACTTATTTATATAAAATACCAGTAAAATGCACAAAAAAATCAAATAGCTGTACAAATCATCTTGTACTGACAAAGTTGGCAAAACCAGAATTGCTTAGCACAGTATGAGATAAAAATGTTCACTTATCAGCAGATGTGCAAACATTCAACATGCTTTATTTAGGCCGGGTGCAGTGGCTCATGCCTGTAATCCCAGCACTTTGGGAGGCTGAGGCAGGTGGATCACGAGGTCAGGAGATCAAGACCATCCTGGCTAACACAGTGAAACCCCATCTCTACTAAAAAAAAAAATACAAAAAAATTAGCCTGCCGTGTTGGCAGGTGCCTCTAGTCCCAGCTACTTGGGAGGCTGAGGTAGGAGAATGGCGTGAACCCAGGAGGCGGAGCTTGCAGTGAGCAGAGATCGTGCCACTGCGCTCCAGCCTGGGCGACAGAGCCAGACTCCATCCCAAAAAAAAAAAAGCTTTATTTAGAGATATCAAAGTGTAATGTACAAAATTACAGGTTGTAATTAAGTCAAGAACTACCCCTACTTCTCTTTTGACCATCTTTTTTAAAGTTAATGACACTGGTTGGTGGAGCCAAGATGGCCGAATAGGAACAGCTCCCGTCTACAGCTCCCAGTGTGAGCAACACAGAAGACGGGTGATTTCTGCATTTCCAACTGAGGTACCGGGTACATCTCTCTGGGGAGTGTTGGACAGTGGGTGCAGGAGAGTGGGTGCAGTGCACTGAGCATAAGCTGAAGCAGGGCGAGGCATCGCCTCACCCGAGAAGTGCGAGGGGTCAAGGAATTCCCTTTCCTAGTCAAAGAAAGGGGTGACATACGGCACCTGGAAAATCGGGTCATTCCCACCCTAATACTGTGCTTTTCCAACGGTCTTAGCAAACGGCACACCAGGAGAATATATCCTGCGCCTGGCTGGGAGGGTCCTACACCCACAGAGCCTCCCTCATTGCTAGCACAGCAGTCTGAGATCAAACTGCAAGGCAGCAGCGAGGCTGGGGGAGGGGCACCTGCCATTGCCGAGGCTTGAGTAGATAAAGCGGCCAGGAAGCTCGAACTGGGTGGAGCCCACTGTAGCTCAAGGAGGCCTGCCTGCCTTCCTTTGTAGACTCCACCTCTGGGGGCAGGGCATAGCCAAACAAAAGGTAGCAGAAACCTCTGAAGACTTAAATGTCCCTGTCTGAAAGCTTTGAGGAGAGTAGTGGTTCTCTCGGCACGGAGTTTGAGATCTGAGAACAGACAGACTGCCTCCTCAAGTGGTTCCCTGACCCCCAAATAGCCTAAATGGGAGGCACCCCCCAGTAGGGGCAGACTGACACCTCACACGGCCGGGTACTCCTCTGAGACAAAACTTCCAGGGGAATGATCAGGCAGCAACATTTGCTGTTCACCAATATCAGCTGTTCTGCAGCCTCCGCTGCTGATACCCAGGCAAACAGGGTCTGGAGTGGACCTCCAGCAAACTCCAACAGACCTGCACCTGAGGGTCCTGACTGTTAGAAGGAAAACTAACAAACAGAAAGGACATCCACACCAAAACCCCATCTGTACGTCACCATCATCAAACACCAAAGGTAGATAAAACCACAAAGATGGGGAAAAAACAGAACAGAAAAACCGGAAACTCTAAAAAGCAGAGCGCCTCTCCTCCTCCAAAGGAATATAGCTCCTCACCAGCAAAGGAACAAAGCTGGATGGAGAATGACTTTGACGAGTTGAGAGAAGAAGGCTTCAGACGATCAAACTACTCCGAGCTAAAGGAGGAAGTTCGAACCCAAGGCAAAGAAGTTAAAAACCTTTTAAAAAAATTAGACAAATGGCTAACTAGAATAACCAATGCAGAGAAGTCCTTAAAGGACCTGATGGAGCTGAAAACCATGGCATGAGAACTACGTGATCAATGCACAAGCCTCAGTATCCGATTCGGATACTGAGGAAGAAAGGGTATCAGTGATGGAAGATCAAATGAATGAAATGAAGTGAGAAGAGAAGTTTAGAGAAAAAAGAATGAAAAGAAACGAACAAAGCCTCCAAGAAATATGGGACTATGTGAAAAGACCAAATCTATGTCTGATTGGTGTACCTGAAAGTGATGGGGAGAATGGAACCAAGTTGGAAAACACTCTGCAGGATATTATCCAGGAGAACTTCCCCAATCTAGCAAGGCAGGCCAACATTCAAATTCAGGAAATACAGAGAATGCCACAAAGATATTCCTCAAGAAGAGCAACTCCAAGACACATAATTATCAGATTCACCAAAGTTGAAATGAAGGAAAAAATGTTAAGGGCAGCCAGAGAGAAAGGTCGGGTTACCCACAAAGGGAAGCCCATCAGACTAACAGCTGATTTCTCGGCAGAAACTCTACAAGCCAGAAGAGAGTGGGAGCCAATATTCAGCATTCTTAAAGAAAAGAATTTTCAACCCAGAATTTCATATCCAGCCAAACTAAGCTTCATAAGTGAAGGAGAAATAAAATACTTTACAGACAAGCAAATGCTGAGAGATTTTGTCACCACCAGGACTGCCCTAAAAGAGCTCCTGAAGGAAGCACTAAACATGGAAAGGAACAACCACTTCCAGCCACTGCAAAAACATGCCAAATTGTGAAGACCATCAAGGCTAGGAAGAAACTGCATCAACTAACGAGCAAAATAACCAGCTAACATCATAATGACAGGATCAAATTCACACATAACAATATTAACATTAAATGTATATGGGCTAAATGCTCCAATTAAAAGACACAGACTAGCAAATTGGATAAAGAGTCAAGACCCATCAGTGTGCTGTATTCAGGAAACCCATCTCACGTACAGAGACACACACAGGCTCAAAATAAAGGGATGGAGGAAGATCTACCAAGCAAATGGAAAACAAAAAAAGGCAGGGGTTGCAATCCTAGTCTCGGATAAAACAGACTTTAAACCAACAAAGATCAAAAGAGACAAAGAAGTCCATTACATAATGGTAAAGGGATCAATTCAACAAGAAGAGCTAACTATCCTAAATATATATGCACCCAATACAGGAGCACCCAGATTCATAAAGCAAGTCCTTAGTGACCTACAAAGAGACTTAGACTCCCACACAATAATAATGGGAGACTTTTACACCCCACTGTCAACATCAGACAGATCAACGAAACAGAAAGTTAACAAGGATATCCAGGAATTGAACTCAGCTCTGCACCAAGCAGACCTAATAGACATCTACAGAATTCTCCACCCCAAATCAACAGAATATACATTCTTCTCAGCACCACACCACACCTATTCCAAAATTGACCACATAGTTGGAAGTAAAGCACTCCTCAGCAAATGTAAAAGAACAGAAATTATAACAAACTGTCTCTCAGACCACAGTGCAATCAAACTAGAACTCAGCATTAAGAAACTCACTCAAATCCTCTCAACTACATGGAAACTGAACAACCTGCTCCTGAATGACTACTGGGTACATAATGAAATGAAGGCAGAAATAAAGATGTTCTTTGAAACCAACAAGAACAAAGACACAACATACCAGAATCTCTGGGACACATTCAAAGCAGTGTGTAGAGGGAAATTTATAGCACTAAATGCCCACAAGAGAAAGCAGGAAAAATCTAAAATAGACACCCTAACATCACAATTAAAAGAACCAGAAAAGCAAGAGCAAACACATTCAAAAGCTAGCAGAAGGCAAGAAATAACTAAGATCAGAGCAGAACTGAAGGAAATAGAGACACAAAAAACCCTTCAAAAAATCAGTGAATCCAGGAGCTGGTTTTTTGAAAAGATCAACAAAATTGATAGACTGCTAGCAAGACTAATAAAGAAGAAAAGAGAGAAGAATCAAATAGACACAATAAAAAATGACAAAGGGGATACCACCACCAATCCCACAGAAATACAAACTACCATCAGAGAATACTATAAACACCTCTGCGCAAATAAACTAGAAAATCTAGAAGAAATGGATAAATTCCTCGATATATACACCCTCCCAAGACTAAACTAGGAAGAAATTGAATATCTGAATAGACCAATAATAGGCTCTGAAATTGAGGCAATAATTAATAGCTTACCAACCAAAAAAACTCCAGGACCAGATGGATTCACAGCCGAATTCTACCAGAGGTACAAGGAGGAGCTGGTATCATTCCTTCTGAAACTATTCCAATCAATAGAAGAAGAGGGAATCCTCCCTAACTCATTTTATGAGGCCAACATCATCCTGATACCAAAGCCTGGCAGAGACACAACAAAAAAAGAGAATTTTAGACCAATATCCCTGATGAACATTCATGCAAAAATTCTCAGTAAAATACTGGCAAACCGAATCCAGCAGCACATCAAAAAGCTTATCCACCATGATCAAGTGGGCTTCATCCCTGGGATGCAAGGCTGGTTCACCATACACAAATCAATAAACGTAATCCAGCATATAAACAGAACCAACGACAAAAACCACATGATTATCTCAATAGATGCAGAAAAGGCCTTTGACAAAATTCAACAACTCTTCATGCTAAAAACTCTCAATAAATTAGGTATTGATGGGACATATCTCAAAATAATAAGAGCTATCTATGACAAACCCACAGCCAATATCATACTGAATGGACAAAAACTGGAAGCATTCCCTTTGAAAACTGGCACAAGACAGGGATGCCCTCTCTCACCACTCCTATTCAACATAGTGTTGGAAGTTCTGGCCAGGGCAATTAGGCAGGAGAAGGAAATAAAGGTCATTCAATTAGGAAAAGAGGAAGTCAAATTGTCCCTGTTTGCAGATGACATGATTGTATATCTAGAAAACCCCATTGTCTCAGCCCAAAATCTCCTTAAGCTGATAGGCAACTTCAGCAAAGTCTCAGGATACAAAATCAATGTGCAAAAATCACAAGCATTCTTATACACCAATAACAGACAGAGAGCCAAATCATGAGTGAACTCCCATTCACAATTGCTTCAAAGAGAATAAAATACCTAGGAATCCAACTTACAAGGGATGTGAAGGACCTCTTCAAGGGGAACTACAAACCACTGCTCAATGAAATAAAAGAGGACACAAACAAATGGAAGAACATTCCATGCTCATGGGTAGGAAGAATCAATATCGTGAAAATAGCCATACTGCCCAAGGTAATTTATAGATTCAATGCCATCCCCATCAAGCTACCACTGACTTTCTTCACAGAATTGGAAAAAACTACTTTAAAGTTCATATGGAACCAAAAAGAGCCCGCATTGCCAAGTCAATCGTAAGCCAAAAGAACAAAGCTGGAGGCATCATGCTACCTGACTTCAAACTATACTACAAGGCTACAGTAACCAAAACAGCGTGGTACTGGTACCAAAACAGAGATATAGACCAATGGAACAGAACAGAGGCCTCAGAAATAATGCCGCATATCTACAACTATCTGATCTTTGACAAACCTGAAAAAAACAAGCAATGGGGAAAGGATTCCCTATTTAATAAATGGTGCTGGGAAAACTGGCTAGCCGTATGTAGAAAGCTGAAACTGGATCCCTTCCTTACACCTTATACAAAAATTAATTCAAGATGGATTAAAGACTTAAACGTTAGACCTAAAACCATAAAAACCCTAGAAGAAAACCTAGGCATTACCATTCAGGACATAGGCATGGGCAAGGACTTCATGTCTAAAACACCAAAAGCAATGGCAACAAAAGCCAAAATTGATAAATGGGATTTAATTAAACTAAAGAGCTTCTGCACAGCAAAAGAAACTACCGGCAGAGTGAACAGGCAACCTACAGAATGGGAGAAAATTTTTGCAACCTACTCATCTGACAAAGGGCTAATATCCAGAATCTACAATGAACTCAAACAAATTTACAAGAAAAAAACAAACAACCCCATCAAAAAGTGGGCAAAGGATATGAATGGACACTTCTCAAAAGAAGACATTTATGCAGCCAAAAAACACATGAAAAAATGCTCATCATCTCTGGCCATCAGAGAAATGCAAATCAAAACCACAATGAGATACCATCTCACACCAGTTAGAATGGCGATCATTAAAAAGTCAGGAAACAACAGGTGCTGGAGAGGATGTGGAGAAATAGGAACACTTTTACACTGTTGGTGGGACTGTAAACTAGTTCAACCATTATGGAAGTCGGTGTGGCGATTCCTCAGGGATCTAGAACTAGAAATACCATTTGACCCAGCCATCCCATTACTGGGTATATACCCAAAGGATTATAAATCATGCTGCTATAAAGACACATGCACACGTATGTTTACTGCGGCACTATTCACAATAGCAAAGACTTGGAACCAACCCAAATGTCCAACAATGATAGACTGGATTAAGAAAATGTGGCACATATACACCATGGAATACTATGCAGCCATAAAAAATGATGAGTTCATGTCCTTTGCAGGGACATGGATGAAGCTGGAAACCATCATTCTCAGCAAACTATCGCAAGGACAAAAAACCAAAACTGCATGTTGTCACTCATAGGTGGGAATTGAACAATGAGAACACATGGACACAGGAAGGGGAACATCACACACCGGGGACTGTTGTGGGATGGGGGGAGGGGGGAGGGATAGCATTAGGAGCTAAACCTAATGCTAAATGACGAGTTAATGGGTGCAGCACACCAACATGGCACATGTATACATATGTAACAAACCTGCACGTTGTGCACATGTACCCTAAAATTTAAAGTATAATAATAATAAAAAAAAGAAATCAGACAAAAAATATGTGTGTATAGACATAGACATATATATATATATATATATGACTCCATTAAAAAAAAAAAGTAAGTGATCTTTGTTCTTACACCATATGGTATAATAAGCACCTTTTTTCTTCAGGAATGATTGGATGTTCATAGAAATGCCCACTTAAATTCCTAGAGGCCGGCCATGGTGGCTCACACCTATAATCCCAGCACTTTGGGAGGGAGGCCAAGGCCTGCAGATTACCTGAGGTCAGGAGTCTGAGACCAGCCTGGCCAACATAGTGAAACCCATCTCTACTAAAAACACAAAAATTAGCCGGGCGTGGTGGTGCATGCCTGTAATTCCAGCTACTCGGGAGGCTGAGGCACGAGAATTGCTTGAACCCAGGAGGCAGAGGTTGCAGTGAGCCAAGATTGCAAACTCCACTCCAGCCTGGATGACAGAGCAAGACTCTGTCTTAAAAAAAAAAAAAAAAGTTCCTGGAACTCTAGGCTGAGTCGGCAGAAAGGCGACATGTTTATTTATTAGGGATTGTAATTGGTGAGTAGTAACAGAGATCTAACTATGATGGCTTGTACAAATTTATTCTTGTACATAAGAGAATTCCAGAGGCAGGCAGTCTAAGACTGGTATGCTCTAGAAAGTCACCTAGGATTCTATTTTTGTGCTTCACCATTCTTTAAGCAGCTTCTATCTTCAAGGTTAAAATGTGGCTACTGGCACTCCAGCCATCATATCATAGTTCTGGGCAGGAAGATGAAAGTTAAAGTTAAAGTTAAAGGGCTTTTCTGGAAGCCTTACTGCTTATAGCTCATTGGCCACCCTATCTAAAAGACAGGTTAGAATGTAAAATTTTTCCTCTAGACATGTGGCCAGCAAATTTTCCCTAACTAAGAAGGGAAAAAATCAATATTAAATAGGCAATTAATCGTCTGTAGATCAGAAGAAACAAAACATGGCCTGGCATAGTGTGTGTATGTATGTGTGTGTGTGTGTGTGTGTGTGTGTATATATATATATATATATATATATATATACACAGATATATACAGAGAGAGAGAGAGAGAGTACAATGAGATTTATTATAAGGAAATGGCTCATACAGTTATGGAGGCTGCAAAGTCCCATGATCTGTTATCTGCAGGCTGGAGACCCAGGAAAGCCAGTGATATAGATTTCAGCTTTAGTCCAAAGGCCTGAGAACCAGAAGCACTGATGGTGTAAGTCCCAGTCTAAGGGCCAGAGAAGACCAACGTCTCAGCTCAAGCCATTAGGCAGCCCCAGCAAACTATTATAGCCCCATTTAATCCTCCCACCGACCCCACAAAGTCAATCATTAGCTCAATTTTATAGGTAAGAAAACTGAAACACAGAGAAGTGACATGACTTTCCCCCTCCTCCAGCTCATAAATGACAGGCTAGGGATGACAGCCCAGGTTTTCTTGACATAGAGACCCTGTGGCAACCAGGGCCCTTCCTTCCAGGGCTCTGGGCTACTCAGAGATTTGACAGAAATGTGGTGTACTCCCACTCACCTCCTCTCTCTCCCTGACCTTTGTGAGTTCTCTTGACCTCTTTCTCCGAGTACCCTAGCCCAACCCCAGGCATTGTCAATGACTCTCTGGCACAATTAGCTCTTTGCTTTCACTCAGGTAACTCAGAAATCTTCTGTGCCCTTGTAGAGATGCTCTTCCCTGAAATCCTCACATTTTAGAACCTGTATCAGCCCAACATCTCCAGCTAGTGTTAATTGGGAGGGATCTCTCCACCACTTTCCCCCTCTAGAGAGCTAGCCAGGGGCCAGGACAACTAGGCAAGCAGGCACTGCACCAGCTACCCTCACAGCAGTTCCCATGTGACATTCTATTTAATCCTCACAACAAACCTGTGAGTTAGGCATTATTATATCTTCATTTTACAGATGAGAAAACGAAGGCACCACACAGTAAAGAAACTTCCCTATGCCAGGCACAGCGGCTCACACCTGTATTCCCAACACCTTGGGAGGCCAAGGCAGGAGCATCACTTAAGCCCAGGAGTTCAAGGCTGAAGTGAGTCACAATCGCATCATTGCGCTCCAGCCTAAGCGACAGAGGAAGGCCCCTGTCTCATTAAATACATAAATAAATAAAAGAAACTTGCCTAATGCCACATAGTTAATGATACTTGACCTAGACTAGAGAAAGCTTCCTTGAGAAGCTTTGAGCTGAAGGAGTAGAAAATAGAAGAATATTGCTATGGTCTGAATGTTTGTGTCCCTTAAGTTTCATATGTTAAAATTTTAACTGCCAAGGTGAAAGGTATTGGGGGGTGGAGGCTTTGGGAGAGATTAGATCATGAGGGTTCCTCATGAATGGGATTAGTGCTCATATTAAAGAAGCTCAAGGGAGCTTGTGTGCCCTCCCAGCATGTGAGGACACAGGAAGAAGGCGCCATCTGTGAACAGGAAGAGGGCCCTCACCAGACACCAAATTTGCCAGCACCCTGATATTGGAGTTCCCAGCCTCTAGAACTGTAAGAAATAAAGCTCTTTTGTTCTATAAGCTACCCAGTCTATGGTATTTTCTTATAGCAGCTCAAACGGACTAAGATGAGTATCATGTGCAAAGGTCCTGTGCCAGGAGGGAGCCTGTGTGTTTGAGAGAAGATCATGTAGCTGAAGCTGGGTAAGAGAGCAGAGCAAGAGGGGCAGAGGCCAGGCTAGACAAGGCCTTGGAGACCTCCTTGAAGTTTTGGATCTCTGTTATAAGAGCAACAGGAAGCCATCAGCTGGATTTAAACAGAGAAATAATGAAGTAAAGTCATCAGTGGGTTTTAAGCAGTTGGAAAAGATTCTTCTGGGACAGTGTAGATAAATGATTGCAGGGCAAGTGAAAGGCAGGGAGACCATTAGTGTCCATGGTGGTAATCCCAGCAAGAGACGGTGGTAATCCAAGCAAGAGACGCTGGTAACGCGGATTAGGACAACAGCAGTAGAGACAGAAGTGAAAATGGAAAGAAGTGGATGCTTTCAAGAGCCATGTAAGAGAGAAAATTGGCAGCACTTGGTGACTGGACACGGCTACAGGGTGAGGGAGAGGTTGAGGTCCAGGTTTCTGGCTGGTGCAACTAGCTGGGTGGTACATGTTTCACTCAGATAGGGGATGCTGGGCAAAGAAAAGATTTGGGGGAAACTGTGTTCAGCTTGAGACATGTTGGATTTGAGTAAGACACCAAAGGGGAACTATCCAAAAGACAGCTGGACATGGGAGCTCGAAGGTCAAAACAGAGGTGTGGGCCTGAGTACATATTTGGGAGCTGTAACCAGGACCAGCCCATCCGCTAAGCACAGTAGAGACATGAGTGCCCCAGGACTTTTAGGGCTGACAAAAATGCTTTAATTCCTGATATGGTTTGGATGTTTGTCCCCACCCAAATCTCATGTCAAATTGTAATACCCAGTGTTAGAGGTGGGACCTGGTGGCAGGTGATTGGATCATGGGGGTGAACTTCTCATGAATGGTTTGGCACCATCCTCTTGGTGCTGTCTTCACAATAGTGAGTGAGTTCTTGCAAGATCTGGTCATTTAAAAGTGTGTGGCACCTCCCCCGCCCCACCCCGCCTTCTTGCTCCTGCTTTCACCATGTGATGGGCCTGCTCTCCCTTCACCTTCCACCATGATTGGAAGCTTCCCGAGGCCTCCCCAGAAGTAGATACCACTATGCTTCCTGTACAGCCTGCAGAACCATGAGCCTATTCAACCTCTTTTCTTTGTTTTTCTTTTTCATTTTTTTAAATAATTGAGATGGGATCTTGCCATGTTGCCCAGGCTGGTCTCAAACTCCTGGGCTCAAGTGATCCTCTTGCCTCAGCCTCCCAAAGTACTAGGATTACAGGCATGAGCCACCATGCCCAGCCAAAACTCCTTTCTTACAAATCACCCAGTCTCAGGTATTTCTTTTTCTTTCTTTCTTTCTTTTTTTTTTTTTTTTTTTTGAGACAGGATTTTGCTCTGTCACTCAGGCTGGAGTGCAGTGGAACAATCTCAGCTCACTGCAACCTCCGCCTCCTGGGTTCAAGAAATCTTCCCATCTCAGCCTCCCCAGCAGCTGAGACTACAGGCACACACCACCACAACTGGCTAATTTTTTATTTTTCTGTAATTTTTGGTAGAGATGAGGTTTCTCCATGTTGCCCAGGCTGGAGGAATTTCTAGCAGTGCAAGAGCACCCTAATACAATTCCCTTTAAATCAGAAGAAAAAACAAACTTTTAAGTCAAAAGTTTTTTGGTTTGTTTGTTTGTTTGTTTTTGAGATAGAGTCTCGCTCTGTCACCCAGGCTGGAGTGCAATGGCATGATCATGGCTCACTGCAACCTCCACCTCCTGGATTCAAGTGATTCTCCTGCCTGAGCCTCCCAAGTAGCTGGAATTACAGGTGCACACCACCACACCCAGCTAATTTTTGTATTTTTAGTAGAGACGGGGTTTCACCATGTTCCCCAGACTGGTCTCGAACTCCTGACCTCAAGTGATCTGCCTGCCTCAGCCTCCCAAAGTGCTGGGATTACAGGCGTGAGCCACTGCACCCAGCCTGTTTAAGAGACAGAGTTGCTCTGTTGTCCAGGCTGGGGTGCAGTGGCTTGATGATAGCTCACTGCAGCCTCAAACTCCTGGGCTTGAGTGACCCTCCTGCATCAGCCTCCCAAGTAGCTGGGACCACAGGCTTGACTGCGCCTGGCAAAGAAGATGTTTTAATAAATAATATTAATATAATTTATCTTTGTGCTAATGCAGTCATAAAATATAACTTTAAAAAAATGTTTACAGGCCGGGCACAGTGGCTCAGGCCTGTAATCCCAGCACTTTGAGAGGCCAAGGTGGGTGGATCACGAGGTCAGGAGTTCAAGACCAACCTGGCCAACATAGTGAAACCCCATCTCTACTAAAAATACAAAAATTAGCCAGGCATGGTAGCGTGTGCCTATAGTCCCAGCTACTCAGGACGCTGAGGCAGGAGAATCGCTTGAACGCGGGAGGCGGAGGTTGTGGTAAGCTGAGATCGCGCCACTGCACTCCAGCCTGTATGACAGGGCGAGACTCTGTCTCAAAAAAATAAATAAATAAAAAGTTTACATAGGAAGGGGCCCACAAAAGTCTGAATGCTGCTCTGTTTGTAACAATAAACATGCTTTCTGCTATAACAGAAACCCACTGGCAATGGCTCCAACAGTGACAATGTTTAATTTCCCTTGTGTGAGGAAATTCAGCGTTAGTGTGGCCTCCAGGGTTGGCAGATCGAGTGCCCTTAAAGGCAAAGACTCCTTCCATCTCTCCGCTCTGCCACCTTTACTGTTGGCTCCATCCTCAGGTGTTAGCAAAACAGCTGCAGCAGTTCCAGGACACCTTCAGACTTAACAACATTCCCGGGAAAAAGAGATACTTCTGTTTACATCACTCTCACCTAGGGGTGAGGAAACCTTTCCCAGAAGGCCTTCAGCAAACGTCCTTATTATGGAATAAATGTTTGTGTCCTCCAACATTCTTATGTTGAAATCCTAACCCCCAAGGTATGTATTAGGAGATGGGGCCTTTGGGAGGCGATTAGGTCAGGTGATTAGGTGTTTGGTGCCCTTACAAAAGAGACCCCCAAAGAACTCTCTTCTTATTTTGTTTTTATTTTTTTAGAGACAGGGTCTTGCTCTGTCACCCAGGCTGCAGTGCAGTGGCACTATCATAGCTCACTGCAGCCTTGAAATCCTGGCCTCAAGTGATGGTCTTGCCTCAGCCCCCAAGTAGCTGGAACTACAGGTTCTCACTATGTTGCCCAGGTTGGTCTTGAATTCCTGGCTTCAAGCAATCCTCCTGCATTGGTCTCCCAGAATGTTGGTATTACAGGTGTGAGCCACAGTGCCTGGCCCCCAGAGAACTCTCTAGCCCTCTTTCTGCCAAGTGAGGTCACAGCAAGAAGACAGTCAATGAACCAGGAAGCAGGCCCTCACCAGACACCGAATCTTCCCATCCTTTGATCTTGGTTCCCAGCCTCCAGAACTGTAAGAAATACATGTGTATTGTTTAAACCATCCAGTCTATGGTATTCTGTTATAGCAGCCTGAACTGACTAAGACGGTCCCTTTCATCTCACTGAGCAGGGCTGGAGCATATCTTCATTCCTAAACCAACTACTGGCAAGAAGGATGGAATGAATGTGATGGGCTAAGATCAATCATGTGGGGTGGAAGAGTGCTTAGGGAGTCAACCCTATGCCTTCTCTAGAAGTCTTCCTCCGGGAGGTGGGAATTGAAGCTGAAAGCATGGATGAGCTCACCCAGAGAGTGTTCAGAGGGAGAAGCACAGAGGACCTAGGCGCTTCAGTTGAGCTGGAAATCCAGCTCAACTGGAAGGCTACAGAGGCAGACACCGAATCAGTTACGGCTCCTGCTGCAGAAGGGCTTCCTGTCTGATGGAAGGGACCGCCATCAAATACAGTTACAGATGGACCCAAAGTGTAGTTGGGTCAGCCTGTGACAGTAAACTGGATTGAAGTCCCAGTTGTGTATTAATAACTGTTTGACTTTGGGCAGGTTACTTAAGCTCTATGGCTCAGTTTCTTCCTCTGTAAAGCACCCTATACATAGTAAATATCAAATAACTACAGTTATTATTGTCCACATGATTATGATATTTAGGTGGTGGGAGGCCAATGGATGGGATCTAAGCAGGAAAGCGTCCTAGTCAGCTTTACATTTCAATCAGGTAGCTTGGGCAGCCTGTGTTCTGTCCCTGCTCAGAGGTACCTCTTACCCTCACTGAGTTTCCATCCATCTTCCCCCAGAACTGAGCCCCACCAGACCCTTTCAGGCCCCAGCAGCATCTCCACAAACTCTCTCTGTTGATTTTAGCTGTGCTTCTGTGCCTCGGAATCAGGATGAGTTACTGAGTTACTGTCCCTCATTTCACCTCTGTCCACTTGGCATTGTTGCCGCTCCAAGAAATTAGTCAGGTTTATTAAGCACGACCTCTCTTTTGTGAGCCCTGTTCCTGGCCTGCTGATCTGTACCTGTCTGCTGCTCTCCTGGCTCGGCTCAACTGGAGAGGCCTCAGCCTCCATTACTGCTTTGGTGGGGGCAGGGATAGGCGGCCGGGTGGTCACATCTTTTGTTTGCAAAGACTGACGCACCAGGCTGGATCACAGACAAAGGCAGGACGCTCTGCTAGAGTGAGCACAAGGCCCTTTGTTGCCATGGCTGTGGAAAAATAGGAACAAAAAGGATAAATGTTGCATCAAAATATGCTAATAATTAACACTTAGCACCATGGATATAAAAAGCACTTAATGCTAAATTACAATAATCATAATAGCTAGTCTTTATTCAGCCCTACTCCATATGGCACCATGGTTTGGTAGCTTAGTATGTGTGAGCTAGAGCCTAAGTGCTTGGGTCCAAATCCTGGCTCTGCTATTTACTAACTCTGTGACCTCGGGCAAGTTACTCAAGCTCTCCTCTCTCAATCTTTGCATCTGTAAAGCACAGATAATGAAAGTACACAGCTCATAGGGTATATGAGTTCACACCATGCTTAGAAAGCACTTCAACATGGCCTGCCACATCATAAGCACTCAATGAATATTTTATTTTTATATACATTTTTATAGACATTGATCAGCAAATTTAGACCTCAAAACAAACTTGTGACATAGATATTATTATTCCTATTTACCAGTTGAGGAACTCAAGACTCAGAGAGGTTGAGTAACTTTCCCAAGGTCACCCACCAAGAAAATAGCAGAACCCAGTTGTGTCTGACTATAAAGTCCTGTGCTTTCCACCGCACCAGGTGACTGTCTTCCATGAGCTTCTGGCAAGAAGCCCCAGGTCAGTGTAAGGGTACACTGTTGATGACTGTCTCACAGTTCCCTCTTCCCTTTAGTCACAGTTGGAACACACTAGGTGTTTTCAGAATGAAGGACACAGGAGTCCCGAGTACAAGGCAGCATCATCAGTCGTTTCTGTCCACTCCAGCCCTGCATTATGCTCAGCCTGCCCTAGAATGTGCAAGGCCCAGTTCTCTGATAGAAGATGGAAGGCCAGCTGTGGAAGGACAGAGACATGACCCAGCTCTGATGAGGACTTGCTCAAGCTCCACCTGTCCGATGATGTGGCTAGCTGAGTGGAGCCACAGGGCAGAAACTGGCCACACCACAGGGCAATGGGTCACACCAGACACAGGGGCTGGGTAGGTCTGGGGCCAAGGTGGCCTTGGCAGATTTTTGCACCCTAAGACTCTTGGACAGAGTCAAGGAAATGCAGTGAACCTGCACAGCCTAAAGCCCACTGCATTTCAATAGCAGCTCCCTGCTAGGGAACTTAAGATTCCTGAAGGATGTTTGTATTTTGTTTTTTAATATGAAGGAATCCCAGAGTCTGGCTTATTACACTTCCTGTGGAGGGGACATCTGGCTGCCAGGCCACTGCCCATCACAGTCAGGCCTTGGTCCATACCTGTACAAAAGCAACTTTTGTTCACTATTCAAAAGCAGCTCAATTCCTAAGTGACTGCCTGGGCAAAATAAAACTCAGCCTTACAATGTCCCTGGGAAGGAGAGAAGCCTGGCTATACAATTAACTGCAGTCATTCACTGAGCATGACCCTGGTCACAGCCCCCACCCAGCACTTGTCCCTCCAGTTTATGGCTAACTCTCGTGCTCTCCCATGTCCAGAAGTCCCTTTGCAATCATATGAGAGTGGGCTAGGTCCATCCTGGACTCTGGGAAACATAGCCCTGGCTCCTCAATTAGAACCCAACTTGGTGTCAGAATAAGGGCCCATGAAGGAGCCTCCCTGGATGTCCCCAGGCTATGTCCACATTTAGCTCAAGGTGGCAGAGCCCACTCATGAAAGGACAAGCAAGCTGTCAATGCCATGTGCCCATCCCCTTCCCCAAGCCCTGATCACAGGCCCCCTTCCTCAACCCCTTCCACCCACACCTGCCTCTTGCTTCCCATTCATATCCCTGGGTTCCCAAATGAAGATTAGAGCAGCAGAAAAATGGCCAGGCTGCAGGTTCAGGGAAAATCACAGGAGCTCTGTGGTTGAACAGACATGGGTTTGAATTTCACCACTTAACACCTGTGTGACTTGGGCTGGTTACTTAATCTCTGAGTCTCAGTTTTCTCATTTCCAAAAAGGGAGTAAACTGTACTCTTAGGATTTCTATAAGGATTAGAAACAATATGTGTAAGTGTGTTATACCCAGTGGCACTCACTAAATGGTAGCGATTGCCTGGCAAAGGTGAGTCTCTTTATATTTATTTACAGTGTAAATACTGTTTCTCTCTTAATTCTTACAATCACCAGGCTGCATGCAGGGTCTGCCCACCACAGATGTTGCTGTGAGGGGCTTGGCTGGGTTGAAGCTAAGCCCTCTTGCTGGGCATAGACCTTGCTCCAGGTCAGATATGGGAGTTTTGGCTCTTCTGACTGTGGTTGGGTGACCAACTCTCCCACCTGCCTGGGATTATCCCAGCTTTAGCACTGAAAATTCCTTGTCCTTGGAACACTGAAAGTTCAGTCCTGGGAAAACTGGGATGGTTGGTCACCCTATCAAGGCAGCTGGCCAGGACAGATGGAAAGGTATCAGACCTTGTGGGAAGAAGCTGGGCTTTTCGACAACCTTTCCAACTTGCTGGATGAACACACCAGGCTGGGGACCACTCAGCCTAGACTGAGTTAAGCTGAGGCCAATGATGACATCTACAGGTCATATGAAAAAACTGCAGCCTAAGAATCACCCACTTGGCCCGTAAGTGGTTCGTTCATACATTTATTGTGGTTCATATATTCATATATGTAATGTGAATAAACATATTCATATATTTATTGTGCTCTCAACACTGGGCATAAGTCTCAGGGGTCTTGGAAGGCATCCGCAAGCAAGTGAAATTTATGCTGAGGCTTGGTGATTGAAAAAGTGTTAGCCAGGTTAAGGTGAGAGGGAAAGAAAGAGCATTCCAGGATGGAGAAAACAGCAAAGAAAAAAGCCCTGAGTGCGAAGGAACAGAAAACCTTCAAGAAACAAATTATGGCATGGAGAAGGGGACAGCGGTAACCAAAAAAAGCTGGAGAGTTTGTCTGAGCCTAATCAACCATGGAAAAAGTTTCTGTCTTTACCCTAGGAGCAATCAGAACTTATTGAAAGGTTTTAAAAAGCAGGATAGTAACATAATTAGATCTGCATTTCTCAAAGTTAACTCTGGCTACAGGGTGGAAGCTGGTTTAAAGAGTAGCAAGCCTACCACTTCAACCCAGGGGGTCAAGGCCACAACGAACTGAGATCACGCCAGGGCACTCCAGCCTGGGGTACAAAGTGAGACCCTGCCTCAAAAAAAAAAAAAAAAAAAAAAAAAGAGTAGCAAGCCTAAAGCCAGGGAGGCAATTAGAATTAGAATATCATTGCAGTGTCCAGGTGGTACAGAAGGTGGTGGGGACAAAGGGAGGAAAAGAAAGGTGACCGTTGGTAAGAAATAATGGAAAATTGGCCGGGCGCAGCGGCTCACGCCTGTAATCCCAGCACTTTGGGAGGCCGAGGTGGGCGGATCACAAGGTCAGGAGATTGAGACCATCCCGGCTAACACGGTGAAACCCCATCTCTACTACAAATACAAAAAATTAGCCAGGCGTGGTGGCAGGCGCCCGTAGTCCCAGCTACTCAGGAGGCTGAGGCAGGAGAATGGCATGAACCCAGGAGGCGGAGCTTGCAGCGAGCTGAGACCACGCCACTGCACTCCAGCCTGGGTGACAGAGCGAGATTCCGTCTCAAAAAAAAAAAAAAAAAAAAAAGGAAAATTAGCCAGGCATGGTGGTGTGTCTGTGGTCCCAGCTTCCCAGCTTCTCGGGAGGCTAAGGCAGGAGGAGCTGGAGAGGTTGAGGTTACAGTGAGGCATGATTGCACCACTACACTCCAGCCTGGGCAACAGAGCGAGAACCTGTCTCAAAAGAAAAAAAAAAGGGAAAAGGATTATGGAAATAGAATGGGCAGGGCCATGGTGATTGACTAGAGGTGCGCATTGAGGAATAGGGACATTCAAGTAACCAGACCTGTAGGTTTCTGGCTAGGAGAGCAGTGGAACAGCTACTGAGATGGGAGCATGAGAAGGGGGAGGATAATGTTGGGTATGATTGATTTGAGGTCCCTGTGGGACATTCAACTCAAGATGACAAATAAGCAGTTGAATAAAGGTTAGGAAGGGAGACTTCACTGTGTGGATCAACTGCATGTAGATGGTAACCAAAGCTCTGAGCAGCACCAACATTTCAGAGTGGGCAGAGGAAAGACAACATGGCTAGAGCAAAACCAGGCGAATGTGGCACTATGAAAGCTGGGAGAAGAATGTTTCACAAAGGAGAGAATGGTCAACTGTATGAAGTCTTTTAGAGAAGCAGTGAAATGAGATCTGAAGATTGTCCATAGGACAACATGAAGATCATTGGTGACCTTAGAGCCTTTGAAGGTGCAGTGATAGAGAGAAGCCAAATTAGAATGAGTTGTGGAGTGAGTAGGAGGTAAGGTTGTGGAGAAAGCGAGTGCAGACAATTTGAATAAATGTAGCTAAACAAGTCACTAGTGGGAGGGTAAATAGGTAAAATCATAAATTAAACACACACATAGCTTTTACCCCAACAATTCTACTTCCAAGAAATCAGCCTACAAATATACTCCATATGTGCACAAAGACCTACAGAAAGGATGTTTACTACACCATTTTATAAACAGCTACAATGTTAATCAATAGGGGGCTGGTTAAATTAATATAACACATCCACACAATATAACACACACAGGGTATTACGTGGCCATTAAAAATACCATGGTAGGCTGGGCGCAGTGGCTGACACCTGTAATCCCAGCACTCTGGGAGGCCAAGGCAGGTGATCACCTGAGGTCAAGTGTTCGAGACCAGCCTGGCCAACATGGCGAAACTCCCTCTCTACCAAAAATACAAAAATTAACTGGGCATGGTGCAGGTGCCTGTAATCCCAGCTATTCTGGAAGCTGAGGCAGGAGAATCACTTGAACCCCGGAGGCGGAGGATGCAATTAGCCGAGATCGTGCCATTGCCTGGGCGACAGAGCAAGACTTCTGTTTAAAAAAAAAAAAAATCATGGTAGGGCCGGGCACGGTGGCTCAGCCTGTAATCCCAGCACTTTGGGAGGCCAAGGCAGGCAGATCACCTGAGGCCACGAGTTCCAGACCAGCCTGGCCAACATGGCAGAAACCCCCATCTCTACTAAAAAGACAAAAATTAGCCCAGCGTGGTGGCGCATGCCTGTAATCCCAGCTACATGGGTGGCTGAGACACGAGAATCGCTTGAACCCAGTGGTGTGCCACTGCACTCCAGTCTGGGCAACAGAACCAGACTCCATTTAAAAAAAAAAAAAAAGTACATATGGTAAATATTATGTGTATTTTACCAAAACAAGTTTTTATTTTTAAGGCACAATCTTGCCCTGTCGTCCAGGCTGGAGTGCAGTGGCGCGATCACAGCTCACTGCAGCCTTAACCTCCCCCAGCTCGGGCGATCCTCCCACCTCAACCTCCCGAGTAGCTGGGACCACAGGCCTGCGCCACTACGCCCGGCTAATTTTTGTATTTTTGTAGAGACGGGGTTTCACCATGTTGGCCAGGCGGATCTCGAACTCGTGATTTCAAGTGATCCGCCCGCCTCGGCCTCCCAAAGCGCTGGGATTACAGGCGTGAGTCACCGCACCTAGCCGAAAAAGAATTTTTTAAAGTCACCATCTCTACGAGGTTTTTCTGGGCCACCCCCCGGTAAAATGTCAAGCCCTCGACGAGCCGGGAGAGAGTCGGAATCCTGTGGGGGAGGCAGGGGCGTGTCCAGAAAGGCGGGAGCTTCCGGAACCGCTTAGAGCTAAGGGAGCTCGGAGCGGGGGCCGGGGCCGAGGGCGGAGCAGGGTGGGGAAGGGGCGGGTCCAGAAAGACGGGAGCTTCCGAGGCCGCCTCCACAGGAAGGGAAAGGGGCGGGAGCTTGGAGGGGGCGGGTCCAGAATGGCGGGAGCTTCCGGGGCCGCCGCCTCTGGAAGGAAAAGGGGAGGGAACGTAGAGGGGGAGGGAACGTAGAGGGGGCGGGACCAGGAACGAGAGCGCGTGGGTTTCTGGGGTGTCCGCCGGCGCCCCCTGGGATTGGGGAGAGAGGGAAGGGCTGAGGCTCACGGTTTCGGAGTAAGGGGAGCGGCCCGGCGAGCCGCCGCGCCTGGGTTAAGAGCTGCAGGAGGAACGTGGCTTCACGAGTTCGGCTCCTCGGCCATCCACAGCCCGGGCCTCCGCCTCTGCTGACCTGGCGGCTGTAGAAGGCAGAAGAGGCCTGAAACCTGCAGCAGGAGCACCACCCTGCCCCGCGGCCCCGCGCGCCCTCCAGTGGCGTCATCCCATCCGCTTTGATCTCGACTGGCGCGCCTACCCTCGGCAGCGGCACCCCTTGGGAGCGCAATCGCGGGCAGACTCCGAGGACCCATCTTGCGAAAGTTCTGCGAGGTCCTGACTTTAAGGGAACAGGGGTCGTACTTGGGCCATGGCCGGAAGGGAGATCCAACATCCATGACGACGTCTACCCCCCAGCCTGCCCCTTCAGAGCCCAGTCTGTGCCTTGCGTCAAAGTCAAGCAAGGGCTCTTGTAGGGCACCGAGCCCCAGCCAAAATCACCCTTTTCTTTCAGATAGCCCCCACTTACCCCCAGAAACCTTACTCTCTCCCTCGGGAGCAGGTGGGAAGTGAAAGGCCGGGGGGGCTGTTTCTGCTCTGCTTGTCTGTACCTGTGGCCCTTGAGTGGAAAACCCCGCCGCTGGACCAAAGACCTGGAGGCTCCAGGATTGCCCACTTGGGACCCTGACTATGAAGGGTCAAGATAGCCCATTCTGCCCCAGCACTCAGAGCCCTATTACCAAGGCCCCTACTCCAAGAATCCACCATCAAAACCGGGGCCCTGCCAGTGCCTTCCCAGTGTTCAGGCCTAGGGAAGAATAGCCCCATTATGCCTGTTACTCCTGATCCTTCTGCAGTCTCTCTCTTTGTGACCCCATGGCCTTTGCTGCTATGTCTGCCCTGGCCCCACAGAGTGCCAGGTCAGAGCCACCCTGGCCTACATAGCAGGGCCCCGGTTCACAGGCTAAAACCTGGGCCTCCTGCCAGGCTGCAACTCCCAGCTGCACACCGCAACCTGAGACATCTCAGCATATTCTAGGAACTAGTAATGGGGACGCTTCCGACTCGCTGGGGAAGGGAGATGAGGGCCTCTAGCTCTCCATGCCCAGTCTCTCATCATCAAAGTCATTTAAGGCCCCAGCGACCCCAGGGTTCAGCAGCATCCTGTTCATCATGAGCAGAGGGGTGACTGAATAGAATGGGAGGCAGGTGTGGCCTGAGCAGTTCCCAACCTGAATTTTCCTTTGAGCTTGGTGATTTGGGGCGGGGGATTGAGATATTTTCCTTTCACTTGTGGGAAATCTTGGGGCCCCACAAATCACTAAGCTGAAGGGAAAAGTCAAGCTGGGAACTACTCAGGGCAAACCTGCCTCCCATTTTATTCAGTCACTCCTCTGCTCGCTGAGATAGACACATACCTGATTGCCTCCTTTGGAGAGGCTTGTCAGAAACAAAATAATGCAACCATTTGTCTCTCAGCTACCTGCGACCTGGAAGCCCCCTCCCCACTTCGAGTTGTCCCCGCCTTTCTGGACGGAACCAACGTACTTCTTACATATATCGATTGATGTCTCATGTCTCCTTAAAATGTATGAAAACAAACTGTGCCCTGACCACCTTGGGCACATGTCGCCAGGACTCCCTGAGGCTGTGTCACGGGCACGCATCTTCAACCTTGGCAAAATAAAGTTTCTGAATTAACTGAGACCTGTCTCAAATTTTCAGGGTTCACATTTTGGTAATCATTGAGGGATTCTGAGTGGAGATGCCCCTGACTTTTGACAAATCTCCCATTGGTGCATGGTACCAGCATGAGCTAACTTTATGGCTCAAACCAATAGGACAATTTGCTGAGGTCTGAGAGTACCCCGTCCAGAGAATCCCTGATCTCCCAAAATTTAGTCAAGATCTAAAGTTTATTTTGCTGTACAACTCCTCTTTTTCTAGAGTTTTACTTGCTTCCAACACAAGGAAGGCAACTTTTCTCCTGCTTCCATGACAATGGAATGCAGGTAACTCCTATGGAGTCTGAGCTCACTTCTAACAGGGAAGATGAGTTTGTTTTTTGTTTTTTTCCTGCTTCTAGGATGGTAGAAAGCAGCCTTCGGCCTGAGACCCATCCCTAGATAGGTAACTGAATTGGGGTTTGTCTTGGATAAAGTTAAGATTAACAACCAGCTGGTCTTAATTTCTCCTTACCATTAGAGCGCTCAGTGATCATATTGTTGGTTTTTTTGTTGTTGTTGCTTTGTTCCAGTCTGAAGTTGTTGTTTAAGGATCCTAATTCTTGTTCAGAGATGCATTCTAAAGGGTCTTCTCTATTGCTTTTTCTCCCAAATTTAAACTTAATTCGGTTTGTCTGTGTGCATTTGCGTGAAGAAGTGAACTGTTGTTTTCATACGTTAATGACAGTTTTCTCAGCTCTGAAGAGAAAAGGCATTTACTCCTCCCAGCTGAAAGCGCCCCTAGGTGACTGGGGGCCTCATGGGAGTCTCTGGGGGGGTTAACCCCTTGCGACGTGCAGCGGCCCTGGAGGGAAATCCCCAACAAAAATTAATTTTAAAAATGGCTCATCCAGGAAACGCATATAAGGGCTGATCGCCCAGCCTTTTGAGCCTTTTCTGGGGTCATAAACCTCTGGAGAGAGAAACTGAGACATGTAAGAGGGTGGAAACGACTCAGCGATGACACACTGTAGCATCCTGCCCACAAGCAGCACATAGCAATCAAAAAACCTGGGCCACAGCTCAGTTCCTCCTATTAAGAGAGAAAAAAAAATTGGGAAACAATATAAGAATGAGGAGGAAACAAAGAGAATGACCCCCTTTCCAGCACTCCATAGGTTGTATGGCACATCTACTTGCCAAAGTTTATGTAAAATGGAAATAATATGGTCTTTGTGCACATTTACATTAAGGAAAAAGAGCCCTAAGATCGACCTGCAAATTATAGAGTTCCTAAGTGCTCTTTTTCTCGATTTTTTTCTTTTCTGCCTGCTCTAAATCTGCTGTTATTTTTCTATTAAGATAAAAACCACTGCATCCAACAAGTTCTTTTTGCAGGGTGGTGAATTTGTGTTTATCTCATGGCTAAAAGTTCTGAAGTAAAAGCTATAGGATATTTGTTTATGTGTGTGTCTATGTGTGTGTGTATATATATTTAAAAGGCCTTTATAATTTCTACGATTTTATGCTTAATTGGCAATTAAATCTGTTTTAATTTCCCTCTAGCACACCAAACGTTTTCTCTCCGACCTTATAATGTAAATTTTGCTATTTGACTTTCACCTAAGTTGTTTCCTTTAATATGCAAATTTAAGGCTATTTAGCTGAAAACTGCCCAGGGTTATGAAATAGGTCATCAAGAATCTGAAAGTCTAATATAGGGGAAAAAAAGGTTTTCATAAATCTGTAAAATGTAGTTCTAAAGCATGCCTAATATGTCTGTGTATTTATGTGTTGTGTACACAGTGTTTCACTACTAAAAATATATAAAAGAGTGCTAATTAATTGGCTTAAAACAATGAAAAGCGCTTAAATCATATACTACAAAAGACTAGTGAAATGCTCTTTCAAGTTTATGTAACTTAAGTAAAATCTTTAATAAATAAGCTTGCTTTAAAATTAATGGTAAGGTAATATTAGAAACATCTTAAGAATTGCCCGCCTACATTTTTCTTTGCATGTATTAATGAAGCAATTTCATACTCATCCCTGCCAAATATTATAAGGTGTCAAAATTTGGCATAGGGGTAACAAAACTATAAACGCAGCCCAAGACAGAATGATCTTGCTTGTGTAACCTTTAACAAATAAGATGTTGATATTGGTTTAATGAATGTAGTTATATCTTGAATTATTTAGTAAAATTACCATAACCTCTAATTTTGTGGCTTTAGGCAGTCTAATCCACAGATGGTAGGTAGGTTTGTTTTGGGAAAGGACTGTTACCATCTTTGTTTCAAAGCTAAACTATAAACTAAATTTCTCCCAAAGTCCAGGAATGAACAACGACAGCTTGGAGTTTAGAAGCAAGATGGAGTCAGTTAGGTCATATCTTCCTCACTGTCTCAGTTATAATTTTGCAATGGCAGTTTCATAACTTTATTTATTTTTTAATTTTATTTTTGGAGATGGCGTCTCACTCTGTCACCCAGGCTGGAGTGCAGTGGCACAATCTCGGCTCACTGCAACCTCTGCCTCCCTGGTTCAAGGGATTCTCTTGCCTCAGCCTCCCTAGTAGCTGGCATTACAGGCATCCGCCACCACACCCAGCTAATTTTTGTATTTTTAGGAGATATGGGGTTTCACCATGTTGGCCAGGCTGGTCTTGAACTCCTTACCTCCGGTGATCTGCCCACTTCGGCCTCCCAAAGTGCTGGATTACAGGCATGAGCCACCACGCCCAGCGGTTTCATAACTTTAAATCATGACTTTTGGGCCTGGGTGCAGTAGCTCACGCCTATAATCCCAGCACTTTGGGAGAATGAGGCAGGCAAATCACCTGAGGTCAAGAGTTCAAGACCAGCCTGACCACCATAGAGAAACCCCGTCTCTACCAAAAATACAAAATTAGCCAGCTGTGGTGGCATGTGCCTGTAATCCCAGCTACTGGAGATTACAGTAGATTACAGGTGCCTGGGCAACAAGAGCGAAATTACATCTCAAAAAAAAAAAAAAAATCATGACTTGTGGTTTTCATAATCTAGGTAAACCATTAAAATAAAAAAATTAGGTAAATGTAATGGGATAAATACTGGCAGACAAATTTGTCTTAATTTATAATATAAAGTTAAATTAATAGATATTTCATTATTTGGGTATTTTCCAATAAAATATATAATATAGGAAAACATTCTTGATTTTAAAAAGTGTGAACTTTCTTAAAAAAGGTGAAAAAGTTTTGTCTAATTCAAAGATTATTTTAAGGTTGTGAATAAAACAAGGTAAAAGAAACCAGGAAATAAAAAGAGATGTAAAGACAGAAAAAAAAAAGGTTTTTTATGGTAAGAAAGCTTAAAGAGAAATAATGTTATACGAGAAAGAATCTTGTATGGTGGCTGCGAGCAGTGGCTTATGCCTGTAATCCCAGCACTTTGGGTGGCCAAGGTGGGTGGATCACCTGAAGTAAAGAGTTCTGGACCAGCCTGACCAACATGGTGAAACCCCATCTCTACTAAAAATACAAAAATTAGCCAGGCATGGCAGCATGCGCTTGTAGTCCCAGCTACTCAGGAGGCTGAGACAGGATAATTGCTTGAATCCATGAGGTGGAGATTGCAGTGAGCCGAGATTTCACCACTGTACTCCAGCCTGGGCAACAGAGCAAGGCTCCATCTCAAAAAAAAAAAAAAAAAGCACTTACTAAAAAAAAAAAATATTGAATGGTAAATTTAGTCCTAAAATAAAATGACTAATTGTTTAAGAAGGAGGGATGTTCAGCTCAAGGCAACCTCTGCCTCCCGGGTTCAAGCGATTCTCCTGCCTCAGCCTCCTGAGTAGCTGGGATTACAGGCGCACGCCACCATACCCAGCTAATCTTTGTATTTTTAGTAGAGACGGGATTTCATGATGTTGGTTAGGCTGGTCTCGAACTCCTGACCTCAAGTGATCCACCTGCCTTGGGCTCCCAAAGTGCTGGGATTATAGGCATGAGCCACCACGACCAGCCCAAAAATTTTTTTAATTGAGGTTACTATATCCATGTGTCTTCTTGTGTGTACTTCTAAAGTCCTTGTGACCTTGAGTTACAGGGCTTTGACTCCTGGGTCAAAAAGGACACCAAGTCCTGCTAAATCTTAAACACTGACAGCAATTAAAGCCTCATCAGGCTCCATAGAAGATGCCGGTCAAAATAAACTGCATTTCTGAGACACAGGGCCAAAAATTAAAGCCGTTCAACTCCTTAAGGCCCAGGGACTATCATGGAAGAGGTGGGCACGTGAGATTCTAAGGGCTGATTTTGAAAGATAAAGTTCAATTTCTCTATATATTAATCACTAACGTCAAAGGCACTTGAATGTGCTGATGAAAGACTAGCACATGGGCCCCTGTGTCAGATTAAAAGAGACTCTCCTGCCTCTTGAAGCATTAACTGACTCCTTAAGAAAGGCTATAGGCTGGGTGCGGTAGCTCACGCCTGTAATCCCAGCACTTTGGGAGGCCGAGGCAGGCGGATCATGAGATCAGGAGATCAAGACCATCCTGGCTAACATGGTGAAAGCCCGTCTCTATTAAAAATACAAAAAATTAGCCGGGCGTAGTGGCGGGCGCCTGCAGTCCCCGCCACTCGGGAGGCTGAGGCAGAAGAATGGCATGAACCCAGGAGGTGGAGCTTGCAATGAGCCGAGATCGCGCCACTGCACTCCAGCCTGGGAGACAGAGCCAGACTCCGTCTCAAAAAAAAAAAAAAAAAGAAAGCCTATAAAGTTTATAAAAGGCTTATGGAAGCTCTATCTTACGGTCAACATTAAAATTTTCTAGATCACTTATAAAATTTTGAAAAACAAATTTAATTAGCTTATTGCTGTTTTTCTTAAGTCTTCTTGCTTGGAAAATTAAGTTGCCTCTCAAAGAATGAAGGTTTTAAAAAAAAAAAACATTGAGTTATCACTTTGGTTAAATGAATGACTTATTTGACAATGACCTGTGATCCTATTTTGTGATATCAAGTGTTTTAAACCTTTGATACTCAACAAGCTTTCTAAAATCAAATTGTAAATTAGGTCTTTTTCTGATGTAATTAATCCTTTGAGAGATTAGGTTCCCTAAAGTCCAAAAATGACATAATTTGGTTTATTTGGTATAAAAATGATACAGGTAGCATTGTCAAATATGAAATGGTGTCTCATTTTCTTTAGGCTGTATTTCTATAATTATGTTATTAATATGTGTTCCAATATTATGGGAAACTCCTATAATTCTGATATAACTTAGTGTACATTATCAGTAATAATTATAATTGTTATGTTAAATTATTGTATGCCACAGAGGTAAATTTCCTTGTCAATTTTGTCTTTGACTATGGCTGCCCTAAAACCTTTTGTCATCTACGAACAATTGTTGTCTTGTTTTGGTCCTCTTTGGAAGATGGTTCTATAGTCAGCTATGGAACTCTAACAGTTGTTCTTGAATGCAGGTTTCTGATAACTTTGGAGAGTGTGACATCAGAATAGAAGAAAAACTTTAGGACTCATGGAGAGCTAAAATGTTCATGAGTATCAGGCAGAACAGAAATTAACTGCATGGACTGAACTAATCTTTATAACTTTTTGCTTAAAATGTTTGCTGAACATTTGTTTTGTGTTTGAGAGTCTTAAAACTTCTTTTGAGCTACTGACAGCTTTTAACAATTTAATATACTCCTATGAAAAAATTTGGAGCATATTTGTTTCTCTCTACCTGATTTCTTCAGAAATTAGAAGCTATTTGTGAATATTCTTAACTTATGGCAAGACAGTTATTTGCATAAGTGCAATAAGAATCTGTTTTTGGCCG